>NC_000021.9:32404984-32714938 GCF_000001405.40 Homo sapiens | reverse complement strand
AGATCCAGCTTTTTGAAACTCAGATAATGGGTTAGAACCCACAAAAGGAAAATGCACTTCCCCTTGCACCGGATTGAGTGTTTGTGTATTCCTGAACCAAAAATGACTGTTGAGATATCATGTGCTGTTTGCATCAGGTAGATCATTGGCAGAAGAAGGTAGAAATTTCTGTGATTTCCATAGTATCACAAACTGTTTGGTGGCTACCAAATGAGGAAGAGTTGGAATAGGTACCGTATTGATGGTCTTACCAACCACTGCATATCCTCAAACCTGATCTTTCCTTCAGTCTCCCTTATGTCAATGGATTGCACTCCATCTACCAAGTTGTTTCAAACAACTTAAGAATCATCCTCAACACCTCTTCCCCTCACATTTCACACATTCTCTCTATTACCAAGTCTAGTCAATTCCTCCTCTTAATTTCCTTGAGATTCCATGCAACTGCCTGCATTTAGCTGGCTCTGTTTCAATCAAGACACTGTTGTCTCTTTCATGGATCATTACAATTCCCTCCTTAACTGGTCCCTCTGCTTCTACTTACCACGCCTACACCCCAGTCTTTTAAAAAACATGGTTTAGATCTTATTAATCCCCTGCCTAATACTCTTCAGTGATTGGCCACTGAAGTTAAAATCTAAACTCTAAGATGACCTACAATAAAATCGAGTTTCTGCTTCCCTCTTCAACCTGTTACCACTTTACCTCTTGGTTTCTATGTTCTAACCTCATTGGCCGCCTTTCAGTTCTGAATGTACCAAATTCTTTCTGGCGTCAGGGTCTTTACATATGCTGTTCCGTCTGCTCAAATGTATTTTTTTAAAATAATAAGCTTTTTAAATTATAATACATGTAGAAAAGTATATAAATCTTAAACATACAGCTTGATATATTATTATAGAATGAACATACCCTTATTACCACAACTGGGTTGAGAAATAGAATATTATTACTAGCATACCAGAGAGCTTTCCAGAGAATAATCCCCTCATGCTCCTTCCCAGTTATCTTTATTATGATCTGCAAAGATAATCACTATTCAGACCTCTTACATCATGGAATAGTTTTAAGTGTTTTTCAGCTTAACATAAATGGAGTCATTCTCTGTGTATTCTTTGGTATCTAGCTCCTTTCACTCAATGAAATCATCCATGTTGACATATGGGAAATCATCCATGTTGACATATGGGAAATCATCCATGTTGATATATGGGAAATCATCCATGTTGATATATGGGAAATCATCCATGTTGATATATGGGAAATCATCCATGTTGATATATGGGAAATCATCCATGTTGACATATGGGAAATCATCCATGTTGACATATGGGAAATCATCCATGTTGACATATGGGAAATCATCCATGTTGACATATGGGAAATCATCTATGTTGATATATGGGAAATCATCCATGTTGATATATGGGAAATCATCCATGTTGACATATGGGAAATCATCCATGTTGACATATGGGAAATCATCCATGTTGACATATGGGAAATCATCCATGTTGACATATGGGAAATCATCCATGTTGACATATGGGAAATCATCCATGTTGATATATGGGAAATCATCCATGTTGACATATGGGAAATCATCCATGTTGACATGGGAAATCATCCATGTTGATATATGGGAAATCATCCATGTTGACATATGGGAAATCATCCATGTTGATATATGGGAAATCATCCATGTTGACATATGGGAAATCATCCATGTTGACATATGGGAAATCATCCATGTTGATATATGGGAAATCATCCATGTTGACATATGGGAAATCATCCATGTTGACATATGGGAAATCATCCATGTTGTAGCAAGTGGCAGTAGTTTACTCATATTTGTTGCAGTGTAGTCCATTTTATGAATATTAAAATATTTAGCTGTTTTGTTGACATTTGCTTTATTTCCAATTTTGCTATTATAAATGACACAAGTATGAACATCCTTGTACATGTTTTTTGGTACATATATGTACACATTTCTGTTGGCTGTATTCTTAGGAATGGAATTGCTGGATCACAGTATATACGTATGTCGCCTGAAACATTTTTATCTCCACCGTTTATTTGGCTAGCCTTCCTGTCTCACTATAAAGGTCACTTCCTCAGTGAGGTTTATTCTAATCATTGTCCTCCTCCAACAAACAATTTAAAATTAGGTTCTCCCATTGTAATCTGTTAGAACTCCATTATAGTACTTACTATAATTTATAATTTTGCATTTGTATGGTTATATAATTCCTGTCTTCCTAATCTGATTCCTAAGAAGGTGTCACGGTACTGACTGTTTTTATTCCTAGAACCTTGCCAGGGGCCTGGTGCATGGTAGGCATTCAATAAATACTTCTTGCGTGAATGAAAGTTTTTTTTTTTTCCTTAAATGTCACCAAGATTGGAATGTGAAGTTTAAATAGGACATTAATTTAGATAGTTTAATATCTTTCAGCTGGAATTTTAATTACTTTTGTAAGAGAAACCTTTTCCTTTTAAAATAATTTTTCTCTTTATATATGATGAAATGGAAAGAAGCTTTACTGCCAGCTAGTTATGTGATCTTGGATGAATGATCTAATCTCTACTCTTTTTCTTCTGAAAATGAGAAGCTTGGATTACATGATCTCTAGGATCCTCATACAGGAGGTTCTCTGGTTCTATACCAAAGTGCTGTCTGCATGCAAATAAGCTCACCACAAACTGCAGTGCATGCAACCACAGGCAAATTGTGGTTCTAGAGAGATCATTCTAACATGCAGTCTTATTTTTACATTGTTATTGACCTTCTTTAGCTTAGTCTTCTGTATCAGCTGGGGAAGAACAGTGTATTCTCAGACTGCAAGGTTTGACCCACAGCAGAATGTTGACATTGGATAGTAGGCCCTTCATTTGGATGGCTTTATTATTTAGCTTAAATTATTATAATCCATCAGAAGTTGGAGAAATTTACATTTAAATTTAATCCTGAAAATACTTTTAAAGTAAAATGAAAGTGACATTTAAGTTACCTATTGCTCTTGGATAAGAAGTTAATTTTGTTTCTTTTCTGTTCAGATGTGGAGTTAGCAATGCAGGTGTGATTATCATGCGACAACTATGTTATGTTTAACAAGCCTCTCTTTTAGAGCCACAACTCATGAAAATCAAGAAATAGGTATATGATTATGTCTTCATCTGAATTTTTATATTTGATCCTAATACTTCATTATTTGCCTTAAATTCTAATTTGAGAAACGAGGTTGTAATACAACAATGCTGAATAATGCCAGTTATGTCACATGACATAGTATTATAAGTCATTGCTGGGCGCGGTGGCTCACACCTGTAATCCCAGCACTCTGGGAGGCTGAGGTGGGCAGATCATGAGGTCAAGAGATCGAGACCATCCTGGCCAACATGGTGAAACCCGTTTCTACTAAAAATACAAAAATTAGCTGGGCATGGTGGCGCGCGCCTGTAGTCCCAGCTACTCTGGAGGCTGAGGCAGAAGAATCGCTTGAACACAGGAGGTGGAGGTTGCAGTGAGCCAAGATCACACCACTGCACTCCAGCCTGGCGACAGAACGAGACTCCATCTCAAAAAAAAAAAAAAGTAAGTCACTCCAGAAAAAAGAAAAAGGTGGAGGATGTCAAATAATATGATAGAGCACAATTGATATGTTAAATTTTGATAGAGAACAATTGATATATTTATACTCTGAGTGTTTTCTGTAGTCTATAAATAGACCACCTCTACCGTTTCTATTTTTGTCACCTTCCAGTAGCTTAACGAGGAAAAGTTGTAGGTTGGGGCTCCCTTCAGTCATGCATGAATTTGTTCAGTTAAAAGAAGTTTGAAAACATGCACAAAACTAAAATAAGGAAGGAGTTGAGTTATCTGAATTAAGTTGTAGGATATTACTACCTCATGGCTTTATATAGTTTTAAATATTTCCTAACTTCTGTGATAATGAGCAAAAACAAACTTATTATTTTCCAAGTATAGTTTCCATTTCAACAGTTAGAATATTAAAACTAAATTATTTAGGAAGAATATAAGGAAAACATTGATGGCAGGGTATAACAATATTTACCCTTCCTAAGGCCTCCATTCTGGAATTACTAAATCTTTTCCTTTCTTAATTTATTATATATTTACTATTTGATGAGTGTTTGAGAGCCTTGGGAAGTGTGGGCTATGGGGCCATTCTAAAGATTGTAGGACTTACAAGTCCCTTTGAAGTTTATAAAAGTCCAAATCAATCAGGTGCAATGGCTCACACTTATAATCCCAGCACTTTGGGAGGTTGAGGCGGGAGAATCGCTTGAGCCCAGGGGTTTCAGGTTACAGTGAGCTATGATCATGCCACTGCACTCAGGCTTGGGTGAGAGTGAGAGATCCTGTTTGGGAAAAAAAAAAAAGTTCAAATGTCTGTTAAACTTTTGGCTAATGCACTCCTGGTCTAGGGTAATTAGAGAAAAGTTCTTCTCTGATCCCTTAGAATTCCAGTAGCTTCTGGCTGTCTCAAGATAATTGGCCAGAGTTATCTCTCTCCTTTCTGAATTTATCCAATAGTTCAAAGAATGTAATAATTTTTTTAACATTTTATTTGGAGAAATAGTGTAACTGTTACATATGTCACCTAGCCTCCATAATATCAACTCATGGACACTTTTGTTTTTCTATATTTCTACCTACTATCTCTCCCTCCTTATTTATTTATTTATTTATGTTTTTATTTATTTATTTTGAGAAGGCATCTTGTTCTGTCACTCAGGCTGGAGTACAATGATGTAATCTCGGCTCACTGCAACCTCAACCTCCTGGGTTCGAGCTTTTATGCCTTAGCCTTCCAAGTAGCTGGGATTACAGGTGTCTGCAACCATGCCCGGCTAATTTTTGTATTTTTTGTAGTAGAGATGGGTTTTTTACCATGTTGGCCAGGCTAGTCTCAAACTCCTGACTTCAAGTGATCCTCCCACCTTGGCCTCCCAAAGTGCTGGGATTACAGGCATGAGCCACCACACCCCACCTGATTTCCATTTCTTTCACATGAAACACATGGCAGTGAGAATTCTGTCAATACTCTTTAAGCATAACATAAGTACATGAGTTTAATAGGCAGTGTTTTTGGCTGGACACCATGGCTTACGCCTATAATCCCAGCACTTTGGGAAGCCAAGGTGGGAGGATCACCGGAGCTCAGGAGTTCAAGACCAGCCTAGCCAAAATGGTGAAACCCCATCTCTACTAAAAATACAAAAATTAGCTGGGCGTGTTGGTGGGCACCTGTAATCCCAGCTACTCGAGAGGCTGAGGCAGGAGAATTGCTTGAACCCAGGAGGCGAAGGTTACAGTGAGCCAAGATCGCGTCACTGCACTCTAGCCTAGGTGACAAGAGTGAGACTCTGTCTCAAAAAAAAAAAAACACTCCATAAAATCTCTTTCTTTTTTTTTTTTTTTTTTTTTTTTGAGACAGAGTCTTGCTGTGTCGCCCAGGGTGGAAAGGCGGTGGTGTGATCTTGGCTCACTACTACCTCCGCCTGCCGGCTTCAAGTGATTCTCCTGCCGTAGCCTCCTGACTAGCTGGGACTACAGTTGTGCGCCACCACGCCCTGCTAATTTTTGTATTTTTAGTAGAGACAGGGTTTCACCATGCTGGTTTCAAACTCCTGACCTCAGTGAGCCACCCACCTTGGGCCTCCCAAAGTGCTGGGATTATAGGTGTGAGCCACTGTGCCCAACCGGCAGTGTTTTTTCTTAAGTCAGTAAAAATTTTACTGTCTAAAAGCGTGTTGGATCCATGGGTGAATTGAAATATATTTCTAATACATAAGTAAGATTGGTTTTTATTTAGCTTTTTAATTGTTCTGTGATTAACAAGCCATTGAAAAATGAATCTTGTTAATTGTTAAAATCTTCTTATTGTCTTTATATGGCAAGTTTTGGTTATCCCTCACCTGTTACATATTGTTCCACCTTTATTTTTTATTTTTTAGAGGTGGGGTCTTGCTATCTTGCCTAGGATGGTGTTGAACTCTTGGGTTCAAGCAATCCACTTGCTTGGCCTCTTAAAGTGTTAGGATTACAGGCGTGAGCCACCACACCCAGCAAAATGATTCTTTTTGGGCCCACAAAGAAGTTTTTCTTTTCTAATAAAGAGCTGGTATCAAATGAAAAAAAAAAAAGGTACCTAAGAAAAGGTATGAATGAAAGATGGTGTTGAGTATGACATGGGAAAAATAGTCTTTTCCTTTAAAATAAGCTATAGAGGGAGTTAGGTACTATTTATTCCTGAGGTGTTATAGCAGAAACTTTAGAAGTTGGAATTTGCTTTAGCTTATGTGTTCAGCATGTGAACTAATGCGGTGCAGGCCGCCTTACCTCACCTGAACTGCTGTCGATCTTGATGGGCTCAGAATCACTCCGAAAGCAATTCTCTTCTGGGACATTCCTACCTACTTATGGTTAGAAATCAGTAACTTACAAAGAAAGGTTTGTTTTGCCTAGCATCTCGTTTGTTTAATAACCACCATGAATAGGAGGGGAAAAAAAATACCTCTTCACAAAAGGGAGTTTATTCCATTCGTTGAAAGTGCAGTGGATGCCTTGAAAGACTGCACTAGCAGGAAAGTGACCTGAACTTCCTCCCTAACACGGTATCTTCCGAACTTTCATTTCCGCTCATTCTTTCAGTTTGTTTCCTCTGAGCTCCCCACACACCCTGCCACTTCATAAACTTCAGTATTTTAAACCCTAGTTAGCAACCATTTAACAATGCCTATATTTCCCACCCCCACCTTACTACTCCCTGCCACAGGCATACACATTTGAAAGTTTCCAGACGTAACTGAGGAGTTGTTGAATGTGAATCTCAGTAATGAGGGCATTCAAATACTTTCAATGATAAAGTAAAATGTTTTACCTCTTTTTTGAGACGGAGTCTCACTGTGTCACCCAGGCTGGAGTGCGGTGGCACATCTTGGCTCACTGCAACCTCCGCCTCCCAGGCTCAAGCAGTTCTCCTGCCTCAGCCTCCCAAGTAGCTGGGATTACAGACATGCATCATCACGCCCACCTAATTTTTGTATTTTTAATAGAGACGGGGTTTCACCATGATGGCCAGGCTGGTTTCGATCTCCCAACCTCAGGTGATCCACTTTATATATTATTTTTAAATTAGCAAAACATGTTCTTTAATGCACAACCTTTCCATTTGTTTTTGTCTATTAGATGAACATTTAATCAGCAATTGCAGTGTTCCATTCAGAGTCTCTGTGTTAGGTTAGGTATTGTGTTGAGATATAAGGAAATGAGGCTAGGTGCAGTTGCTCATGCCTGTAATCCCAGTACTTTGCGAGGCCAAGGCAGGAGGATCACTTGAAGCCAGAAGTTTCAGACCAGCCTGGGCAACATAGAAAGACCCTGTCTCTACAAAAAATAAAAATTAACCAGGTATGGTGGCACGTACCTGTAGTCCTAATACTACTCAGTAGTAGTCCTGTAGTATTAGTGCCTGTAGTCCTAGCTACTCAGGAAGGAGGCTGAGGCAGGAGGATCACTTGAGCCCAGGAGCTTGAGGTTACAGTGAGTCATGATTGTGCCACTGTACTCCAGGGTGGGTGATAGAGTGAGATCCTGTCTCAAAAAAAAAAAAAAAAAAAAAGGAAAAAGAAATAAGACTTAGTTTCTGTTGTTACTAGTTTACATGTAACTATAGTATAAAATAGGAGAAAGATTTACCTCCAGCTAGAGTGATCAGGGAAAATCTTTGGGAAGGGAAGTGGTGTTTTAATTTGGAACTGAAGGATAGGTAATATTTGGAAACACAAAGATGATTAAAGGTTGGTCCAGATGAAACAACAGTATGAAAAAAGGGAGAAAGGGAAGAGAATGTGGAACATGTGGGCAACAAAATTATTCATTTTGGCTGAAGCATGGGATGCAAGGGAGATTATTAAGGGAAAAAGAATGATGGTGATGATTGTAAAATATTTCCAAGTGCTGTATTTTATCTAAAGATTATACATATTATTTTATGTAATGTTGTATATAGCCTTTCTTATTTTAAATAATCTCTTTATAGTAGAAGATTCTAAAATAATTTTCTGGAATTAAATTATCAGAGAAGTGGGGCAGAAATTTAATTAGGTTCATCCCCCTTCCATCATGTATTTTTGTGAAGTTTATGGAGTCTCATAAAATAAGGAAATCTTTTTTCCCCATTAAAAAAATGTACAGGGAGGGAATAACAAGGTATTTAGAAGAGTTTACCTTATTAACGTCAGAGATAAAAGCTTCTTTATCTGGGAATAAGTATATGTATTTTTAAAAATTATTTTTGCTGGTTACATTGAAAAAATTTTAATTTTGCAGCAATTTAAAACATAAAGAAAGGTTGAAGTATAGTACAAATAACTTTTTTTCCTCTGGACTTCTTTTTTTTTTTTTTTGCCCCAGAACTGAGTGGATTCTCTGGACTTTTTAAGAATAGGTTGCTGACATGATGACCCATCACCCCCAAATACTTTGCTATGTATTTCCTAGAAAGACATTCTCTTGTAAAACTATCATAAAATTAACAGTGATGTATTATGGCTATCTAATCCTTATCCTCTCTTCAATTTTTACCAATTGCCCCAACAATGTCTTTTATAGCAAAAGGATCCAGTTCAGATGTGTACATTTTATTTTGTTGTCATGTCTCTTTAGTCTCCTTAAATGGAAAAATTTCTCGATCTGTGACATTTGTGGCCTTAAAAATGTTGAAAGTGAAAACCAGTTACTTTGTAGATTCTCCCTCACTTTGGGTCTGTCTGATGGCTCATGCGTAGATTCAGGTTATTCACCTCTGGCAGGAGTATTGCAGCAATGGTGCTTTTTTCATAGTGTCTTGACAAGTGGCTCGCAGTTTTGACTTGTCCTCTTACTGTTGGTGTTCACTTTGGTTTGCTGTTGTTGTTGAGACAGGGTTTCACTCTGTCGGCCAGGCTGGAGTACAGTGGCATGATCTCAGCTCACTGCAGCCTTGACTTCCCAGGCTCAATCAACCTTCCCGCCACAGCCTCCTGAGTAGTTGGGACCCCAGGTGCATGCCACCACACCTGGATAATTTTTATATTTTTTTGTAGAGACAGGGTCTCGCCACGTTGCCCAGGCTGGTCTCGAACTCCTGGGTTCAAGGGGTCCTTCTGCATCAGCTTCCCGAAGTGCTGGGATTACAGGCGTGAGCCACTGTGCCAGGCCCCTGTTGGTGTTCACTTTGATTACTTGATAAAGGTGATGGTTTGCTAGGCATGTCGGGAAGACTTTTTTTCCCTTTATAATTGTTTTGCCCATTCCTCATGAGACTTTCAATTCATAGGCTTATAACCCATTACTCTTATTATTTATTTTGATGCTCAAATTGTCCTGGATTTCACCAGTAGAAGCCCCTTCAAGCTGCCTTCTGCATGTTTGTGACATATCTCAATTATCCTTTGAACACTTGCTTACTTTTTGGCACAATACTATGTTTTAGGCTCATTTTGTCCCTGCCTTTGCCCTGGAATCAACCATTTCTCCAAGGAATGCTAGTAGTTCCTTTTAGTGGAGAATGGTATGTAGAAGCCAAAGTATGCTAGGTATGCGCATTGCTGTCAGAGTATTGTAGATCCTGGGTCTGCTCAGTGGCTAGTGCTAAGGAGTATATGTAACTATATATGTATATGACATATATACTTATATCTGTGTTTCTATCTTTTTGTCTGTCTTTAGTCTATCTAGAAAACACTGGTAACTCCAATTCTTTTTTTTTTTTTTTGAGACAGAGTCTCACTCTGTCACCAGGCTGGAGTGCAGTGGTGCAATCTCGGTTTACTGCAACCTACGCCTCCCAGGTTCAAGTGATTCTCCTGCCTCAACTTCCCGAGTAGCTGGGACTACATGTGCCTGCCACCACACCTGGCTAATTTTTTGTGTTTTTCGTAGAGACAGGGTTTCACCATGTTGGCCAGGATGGTCTCAATCTCTTGACCTCATAATCCGCCCACCTGGGCCTCCCAAAGTGCTGGGATTACAGACGTGAGCCACCATACCCGGCCTGGTAACTCCAATTCTAATCAACACTGTCCATTCTAGTTTCTCTGTTTGCATTTGTGAGTACCTTCTCTGACAGTGAGAAACCTGGCTCTCATTATCCTTGATCATACCCCATAGATAACCACTCTCCTATTGCCAGTGTAGCCTCCTCCACTGCATAGGTGCCCTCCTTACCCCACTGGCACTTCAAAACCCTGCCTTTCCCATCCCTCTCAAGCTCTAACTTACCATGCCGGGGTGCCCCTAACACCCATGGGTGGACAGTCCTCTCCTCACCCTAGTCAGACTTCAGGAACTCATGCCAGGCGGCCCCTCCCACAAGTGGACGCCCTTTTCCCCTGCCTCTAGCTTCAGCTTCTTGCACAGGCCATCCTTCTCCTAGTGGCCATTACTGGGCCTCCCTCCAGTCTACTCAAAACCTTTGAAGCATATATCGTAAAGTAGGGAAACATCTACTGTCCTTCAGATACAAATGTATTTATGAAGAAGATACTGTTTTCTCTTAAGAAATTTGGAGTGTCTGGAGTTAAAAGTACCTTTGGCTCTAAGAGTATGCACTTTAAGGTGTGTGTGTGGGTGTGTGTGTATCCTGTTTCCTGAGTGTCCGAATAGAATACAAACATGTAAATAACTAAACTGCAAGGCATTTGTTTGCATGTTTGAATTAGATGATAGTCTAATAGATGGGCCTTCATCAGTCCTGAGAGACATACGTTTATGTATTTGGAGTGTAATTAATGAGAAGATAGTTATTATGCATTATTAGAAGAGAGAACATTTTGTTACATGGTAATTTAAGTTATAGAATGACTTCTCTGTTTTCTAAAGGAAGGTGGTGACTTAATGTTAAGAATATGTTTTTTGCCCATGCCTGTAATCCTAGCACTTCGAGAGGCTCAGACAGGAGGATTGCTTGAGCCCGAGAGTTTCCAACCAGCCTGGGCAACGTAGAGAAACTGTATCTCTACAAAAATAAAAAATAAAAAAAATTAGCTGGACATAGTGGCACATGCCTGTAGTCCCAGCTCCTTGGGAGGCTGAGGTGGGAGGATTACTTGAGCCCTGGAGGTCAAGGCTGCATTGAGCTGTGATTGTGTCACTGAACTCCAGCCTCTGTCTCAAAAAAAAAAAATAAAAATAAAAATAAAACTATATTTTCTTCTTAACTCCTACTGCCTCCTGGCATTTGAACCCAAATGATGATTGCTGCTGAAATGGATATATCTAGTACTTTCTATATTACTATATTAGTGATTGTATTTTAAATGTATATGGCATATAACTTGTAAACCTCTAGAATAATATTTATCCTGGAAGTCATGCCTTCTGTCCTGAGAGGTATAACAAGTCTCTCTAATGTTTACAGTACATATGGTACTCTTAACGAGGCAGTATTTAGAAGGCAATTCTATTTTGCTTTATAAAATGTAATTAAAGTTTATATTGTAATGTTTTACATTTGGGTTGCTTGTCATGGAATGTTAGGATCAACTGTTGGATAAACATAAGATGTAATAATAATAGGAACTCAAGGAATACAGAATGAAATATAAATCCCCATCACTTTAACGGGTTGGCGAATCTCCACTCCCTAATTTCATACTGGGTGGTTTGATAATGGCCCACACTTAATAATGAACATGTTAGAGAATCGTGAAAATATCAGCTAATTGAGTGACTGAGTCAGTTAGTCTTAGCCTGTGCTGCAACTAGCAGAGCAAAACTCATCAGAAGGCAGAAGCCAGATCACTAGGAAGAAGGCTTAAGCCTACGTGGTCTGAAAAGAGGTGAAGCAGGCAGGGAAAGTGAGATGTTCTATAGGACTCTGGAGAAGAGCTTCAGGCAAAGTAGAAGATCTCTAATGCAAAGTACAAAGGAGTATTAGGCAAAGCAGTAGGCTGAGAAGAGCCCTTTTGTTGGCAATAAAGATGGACAGGAAATGAGACAGTCATAAGTATCTACTTACGTGATTTTCTAACGTGGAACACGTCAGTGTTGCCAAACATCCTATTTTGTAGATAAAGGAAAGGGGATAAGTGTAAGAGATAAGAAGTAAATAAGGTATGAACCAGTCAGCCAGGAGGTGAGTTGAGTGTGGTGTAGATAATGGAAAAGGGAAAAAAGCAAAGAAGGAAAGAAACCTGGAAGGAAAGGAAGGTATCTTTCTCAAGGATCAACTGTAGACTGTGGGATGTATTATTTGTATTTGTCCTTTGAAATACTGGTTGTTAATATTTCTTTGGTTCTTTGTGAAATTTTTAATGTGTAATTGCTAAGTGCTAGGAAGGTTTTTTCTTTAACGTTTCAGGATTTGATTTTTTTTTGTTGTTTTTTCTTCTCAATAGAATAATCATAATAGCCTGTCTTAGGAAAATTATTCTGTGGTTTATATTCATTAACAAGGTAACGTTAACTTTATAGCAGAAGAAATAAATCAAGGCAAAGACCAGACTTTTGTCCTTTCAGAATCAGATTTCCCTATTCTTGCCCTACATTTGTGTAGTCAAGTGTTGCCATTAGCTTTTATCATTTAAATGTTTTGTCAGTTTCTAAGTGTCGAGCACTATTCTGTCAAGAATAAAAGGGTAAGAAGACAGAGTTCAGATCAGTGGACAGGATGGATTAATTAATAGATGGTCTTGGAATAATTTATTAACTCTTTGGGAAGAATACTAATGTTACTAGTTTAAGAAAATATGCAGTACATTTATTTTAAGAATATCAGATTTAGAAACTTTTGATTGAAACTCTGGATTTATACTTAGCTAAATAGAATCCAATGTTTCAGGTCATTTTTCTTAAACTAAAACTTTTTTTTGTAGCATCTGCAGAAAAAGAGGCAATCAAGGGTACATACTCCAAAGTACTGGATGCATATGGACTCTTAGGTGTTCTGCGGTTAAATCTTGGTAAGTTTATCATTCAGTAGAATTCATCCATTTTTTCATTTCTATTTTGTAATTCTAAGGATTTGAGAGGGACTAGCTATGAATTATTGTAGACTCCATATTTAAGCTACACATGTGCTAACATCTTTTAAACATTAATGTAGCTAATATTGTGATAATGTTTGTTGCCCAAAAAGGCGTGCTACATGCTCAAACTCATGTGAGTGGAAGTTCGGAGACAGTCTCTGGTTTGACCACTTGAAGAGATAAGTATCAGTTGTCAAAAGAGAAAATCAGAACATTCTCCTTTTTGTTGATTCAGTGCATTTAGGAAAAAGTGTCTGCATGAGAACTACACTGATTTTTCTTGGTTTGTATTGGAAAAGACATCTGTTTTGAATTCAGAAAGTGTCTGCTTGAGCCTTTTTTTTTTTTTTGCCACGTAATGTCACCGTGAGCTGCAGAGTAACCTTTGCAGTTACTAGTTTATCTGTAATTTTGCAGCTCAAAGTGTTCTTCAACATTGGTACTGGTCCATAAATCATTTTGTTATTGATCCGTGATAAGATAAGGAGCTTGCACTATGATACAAATCAACATGTGGCTTCCTTCATTGATAAAGTCTTACTAGAAAAAAAAGTCAGCTCAACTAAAGGGTGAACTTAGTAATATAGTTGATTTCCATTCTGGTGTAAGTGTCCTTTCTCATTGTGAGCTGGTAACAGTTCATGGACCATACTTTGAGTAGCACTGGTCTATAAAATGGAGATTTGTCATTTGTTATGAATCTATCACATATAAAGCACTGCGCTTAGGTGCTTTACTGATTACTCCTGGGTAAGCCTCACAGTATAATGAGGTATTTGCTTTAATCTCTTTTTATAAGAGATGATATCTCAGGTTCGTTATGCTACATACTGAAATTGGTCCAGGTAATAAGTAATGGAGCCAAGATTCAGGGCCGCTTCTACCTGTGTCAGAGCCCATGCTCACAGTATACCATTGCTCAATTTCAACTTTATACTAATTTCATAGGCTTTTTGTCATAATTACATGAAAAAAATCTCTGTGAAAGTTTTTGTAAACCAAATTGCTTTATAAGTTGTTACCAGAGACTTTTGTCCATTTGTCATCAACATCATCAGCTGATAATAGTATACCATTTTTTCAACTTTACTATTTACAAAGAACTTGTTAAAATGAGTGTGAATTCATTATCTTACCTGAATTTTCTGACAATCATTAAGCAAAAGTAGAGAAGGTAACACATACTTTTTTATTTGATAAAGTTTTTTTCTTGTTTGTTTGTTCGTGTGGTTTTTTTTGAGACGTAGTTTTAGCTCCTGTTGCCCAGGCTGGAGTGCAATGGTGTGATCTTGGCTCACTGCAGACTCCACCTTCCAGGTTCAAGTGATTCTCCTGCCTCAGCCTCCTGAGTAGCTGGGATCACAGGCATGCACCACCACGCCCAGCTAGTTTTTGTATTTTTAGTAGAGATGGGGTTTCTCCATGTTAGTCAGGGTGGTCTTTAATTCCCGGCCTCAGGTGATCCACCTGCCTCAGCCTCCCAAAGTGCTGGGATTACAGGCGTGAGCCACCGCACCCAGCCAATTATTCGATAAAGTTTTTTTAGCCTCAGAATAAGTTCAGGAACAATTTCGTGTGAGATTATCCTGTTAATGTTTAAATGCTTTATTATACTTAATATATTTAAACAAGGATTTTTTTCAACTAAAATGTCTAGTGAATTTCAACACATCCATGATAAGTTTAAAATAATCACAATGTCAGATTTAAAAAATAGAGGTGCAAGAAGAAATGGAATAGCTTGAAAATGTTGGGATTTTTCATCCAGTAAAATCTTTGGGTTTTGCAGGTGATACTATGTTACATTATCTGGTCCTAGTCACTGGATGTATGTCTGTTGGAAAAATTCAAGAATCTGAAGTTTTCCGAGTTACTTCCACTGAGTTTATATCACTGCGAATCGATTCTTCAGATGAGGATCGCATTTCAGAAGTGCGGAAAGTTTTGAATTCAGGAAACTTTTATTTTGCATGGTCTGCATCTGGCATCAGTTTAGATTTGAGTCTTAATGCGCATCGTAGCATGCAAGAACAGACAACTGATAATAGATTTTTCTGGTGAGTTCATTTTTTCCCTTTTGGTGATTTGGGACATAATATGTTCAGCAGTTGTTCAGTCATCAAAAACCTCCTCACCGTGACAGCAAGAAAGGAGGAAGAACCCTGAAGACCCTCGATGCCCCTTTTCAGCAGCAAGTAGCTACAGAGAATGACCTCTACCTCATCTCCCAAAAGATTTCTGGGTCCCAACGCCTTGAGGGAGCAATGTAAGAGTAGACAGTCAGATATGAGCAGGCACGAGGGGGTGGTATACGTGTTGGAAAGAATGCCCCGGAACTCCTCTTAGGATGCTCAGTACTCACTCCGTGGTCGAACTGTCAGAATGTTGTTAAGTAGATCCTGATAAGGAAGGAAAAAGGCAAAGGGGAATTCCTGAGAGCTGAGCAGGCATAATGAGTACAAAATTGATGGCTATACCTTCCTGGGGTGGTGGTAATAAGCAGTGCCACCATTAGATAGGATTCATATTGATCACTGGTTCCCGTGCATGTGCATTAAGCACAGTAAGGGAGGATCCCCCAAACCTTGGTGAGAACTGGGTAAAGAAAGAACTGAGACAATAGAAGATCACAATGCAGAATGTCTTGGGGGTGTTTCCAGCAGGGTCAGCCCACTCCTTTCTTGGAGTGTACTTGTACTTCCTCAATAAAACTTTTGCTTGCTTTACAAAGAAAAAAAGTTCAGCAGTTGTTATGTCTAGAGATAACAAGGGATAGACATTGCTAATTGAGTGTATCCATCTTTCCTTCTCTGGAGTCCTCAGCAGAGCATGGCAGGCAGCCAATGTCGGTTTATTGAAGTTGGCATGTGACATAAAACCCCTGTGCTCCCCCCAGTCTACACTGAACTTTCATTTCCAAAATACATTTAAAATAGTTGTGTATATTTAGAAATGAATTTAATTGTAACAAAACTGTGTTACTCACGTTTCCTATTCTTGGTTTTGAGATCTTGTCTCTGGCGGCATTCCCTTTCTAAGCCAACATTCCCTTATTATTCTAAATTTTAAGGTTATAAGTAGGTGGTCTTGATTCAAGAGCAACAGATTGTGAAGAAGTAGTATACTGGGACAAAATCTAGTACTATAATAAGTTAGGACTTATGTAGGTAAGTGTGATGTATTTCATGATTATGCATAACTGTGCTGTATTCTAAGTAGGCACAAATGGTGAGCAGAACACATGGGACTATAATTAGCATTGTTCTATTGCAGCAGACCAGATTTCTAGTATAGTGGTTCTGTTGTTTACAGCCAGCATTGATGTTGACTTTTTCTCTTGATATCATGTGCAAATTATGTATTATTATATTGACATATGTTATAAGGCCAAAGTTCAGGACTCTTTGCTCTTGGCCTCCCTTAACAGTTCAGATTCAAGATGGTTTCCTCTTGTGTACTTTTTCTCTCTCACACTTTCACTGTCACTTATATAGTCCTTGAGTAGCACATTCGGGTGTCACCCATTTGCCCTAGCTGTCAGAAGACTCAAAGTCAACAACAAACTTAGGATAAGAAACTTAACTTTAGAGCAACAGCTTGGTCACGTTGTAGCTCACATGGAAGTGTTTTGACCCAGAGTGGTGGCATCAGGGAGAAGAGTGGACAGAATAAAAACAGGGTTTATAGCATTATGTGTTAGAGACTTGGGTTTAGCAGAGGAGGAGACCATGAGGGAGAGGAAAGGAGAGAGGGGATGCAGGGACTAACAGGGCAGATGAATGGACATGAGTTCCTGCCTGCCCAAAGAAGCTAGCAGTGATGGGATGTACTTTTGTGAAGCATTGAGAAATAGGCTTCCAAGAGTTAAAACCATGCCAACACTACATTTTTTCTAGTAGAAGATGTTGAAGTCCCTTGAAAAGGTAAATGTGTTGCAGCTGTCCTTACATTTTTTTCCCTCCTCATTTTTACCCAAAGTTTCTTAGATTGAGAGATAAAAGCTTTCATACAACAATTAGAAGTCCAAGCAGATGCAGATATATTGCCTAGGTTTAATCAATAGGCATGATTAATTGGATGGTTGGTTGATTGATTTTTTTGAGTGTCACTCTGTCGCCCAGGCTGGAGCGCAGTGGCGCGATCTTGGCTCACTGCAACCTTCACCTCCTGGGTTCAAGCAATTCTCCTGCCTCAGCCTCCTGGGTAGCTGGGACCACAGGCGTGCGCCACCACGCAGGCTAATATTTTTGTGTTTTTAATAAGGATGGGGTTTCACCACGTTGGCCAGGCTGGTCTCCAACTCCTGACCTCAAGTGATCCCCCCCACCTTAGCCTCCCAAAGTGCTAGGATTATAGGCATGAGCCACCGTACTTGGCCTCCTTTTTTTTTTTTTTTAATTCACTTAAGAGTAGAGATGGGGGCAAAGTCAGATAAAAGAAAGCCTGAGATTTGTCCAGCAGGAGACAGGTTGAACAAAGGGACAGCTAGAGCACCAAAGGTGAATTTTGCTCATTTTACAATTTTGCTAAGGATTGGCATTCTTGAGCTTCAGTTTATATAGAAAAACGGGAACTTTTGGAATTCATTGTGCATACCCTTGCACTTAGTAGCAATATTTTCCAGGATACAACCATGTAATTTTTGTAGCCAAAGAGTGGCAGATACCTGTGACAAAGCCCAGATAGCTTTACTCCATTGGAAATTCTAAGCTGCTGCCAGTCAAAAGTCATGTATAAATTTAAATGCTAAAACAGTGACACACTGACAGCAAAGAAAAATGAAAACTGACAGCAGAGAGAGAAACTCTGCCTGCACAAAATGCATAGGATTTAAGGTCTATTTAAATGAGGACAAGTAAGTTTCTTATAACTTTGCTGTGGCGTAGGTCTCAGCTGTGGTGGTTGGACATACTGGGTCACAACCAGTTTGAACTTTGCCTCAGATCAATGTGGGTAATAGTAAAGTATGGAAGTTTAAGTCAGTGTATTTTTAAAATAAGTAATGGTCATCAGATTTAACATTATCCCTGTTGTAATATCATCACTCATTTATATTCCCGTGTGATTTCCTGGATGGATAAGAGGGGTTGGGGTCATAGCTGGTTTTCCAGAACTGCTGACCACCCTTTTTATCTCTGTTGCAGCCTGTAATCTGAGGGGCTGGCAGGGAGTTGGGGCTATTGCTGTGAGTCTTCAAGATAATGCTATTACATCTTTTATACCTTATTTAAGACAGGAAGAGAGAGAGAGTACGGAGCACTTAAGTAGAAGAATTCCACTTAAAACCTAAAGAGTCAAGCTTCAATAATATAGAAAACTCATTTTCAAATTGATAGAGTTTTTCCACTTAACAATGTATTTTCCTTAGTGGTATATTGTTAGTAGCTTCTTTATATGTTCTGTGGAGGTCTAAGGTTCCAGGAGAGATCCCTGAGGGGTAATCAGGGTGAGAAGGCCAACCCAGCAAAGTTCAGTCCCAATCCCCACTTTAGCCATAGCAGCTTTTATCTGTATCATAATCATTGGGCTTCTGCATGTTTGTTTGAATAAAATTTGTTTCTCTGAAAAAAGTTTGGAAACCAGGCCACATCTGTTACCTAGAATGCTAAAAGTATTTGGAGCGATGATAAACCCTATGCCTGCACTATCTAATGTGGTAGCCACTAGCCACATCTTGCTATTTAAATTTAAATTAATTAAAATAGAGCCTTATAAAAGTCAAGCCTTAAAAGTAGAGCTTCATGGGCGGGCGCGGTGGCTCACGCCTGTAATCCCAGCACTTTGGGAGGCCGAGGCAGGTGGATCACAAGGTCAGGAGTTCAGGACCATCCTGGCTAACACTAACACGGGGAAACCCCGTCTCTACCAAAAATACAAAAAATTAGCCAAGCATGGTGGTGGGCGCCTGTGGTCCCAGCTACTCAGGAGGCTGAGGCAGGAGAATGACATAAAACTGGGAGGCAGAGCTTGCAGTGAGCCAAGATCCCGCCACTGCACTCCAACCTGGGCGACAGAGCGAGACTCCGTCTCAAAAAAGAAAAAAAAAAACAAAACAAAACAAAAAATTAGCCCGGCTTGGTGGTGCATGCCTGTAATCCCAGCTACGTGGGAGGCTGAGGCAGAAGAATCGCTTGAACCTGGGAGACAGAGGTTGCAGTGAGACGAGATAATGCCACTGCACTCCAGCCTGGGCAACATTCCGAGACTCCATCTCAAAAATAAATAAATAAATAAATAAATAAATAAATAAATAAATAAATATTTTTTTAAAAAGTAGAGCTTCATAAATTGGGGTGGGGACATGCATATGTATTCCTTTTTGGAACAAGTTAGGTTATAAACACATTATATATAAAGACATAACAGAAATGGGCCACAGATACTAAAAACACAAAAATACTCCTTTTCTGTGGATCATAGATCACATGTTGAAGGATCTCGTTTTATAGCCCTATCTTCTGATCCCTAGCATAGTAAATGTAAATGAATTGATTTGTTGTTTGTGCCTTTAAATTTAATAATATTAAATTAATTTTCCAGGAGATTATTTTAAAAGTCATACTTTGTTACTTAGTATTCCATAAGCTAATCATTTATTTCTTTTCCTATTAGGAATCAGTCTTTGCATTTGCATCTCAAACACTATGGCGTGAATTGTGATGACTGGTTATTACGTCTTATGTGTGGAGGAGTAGAAATCAGAACAATTTATGCTGCTCATAAACAGGCGAAGGCTTGCCTCATTTCAAGATTAAGCTGTGAACGAGCTGGGACCAGGTTTAATGTCCGGGGAACAAATGATGATGGTCATGTTGCCAATTTTGTAGAAACAGAACAGGTATATATAGTGTTTTATATTACTTAATTAATTTATTATAGGAGAAGCACAGAAAATACTAGAATAACAGATTTTTATTTGATTCGGAGCTTATTTTAACATCTATAATGTTTTATGATTGTTCTTGGTTACTTATGGGCCTTAAAAAAAGGCTTCCCTAAAAAAAACTTATTTTGGTGTGGCTCTTCATCTAGGTAAGAAGATGTCACTAATCAGCATGACATAGTCAGTGTTGTGTGTTTTGGTATTGAATTTTAATGAATTTTAAAATCCTCAGCTGTAGAGTTAGACAACTTGTTTTTTTGTGAAGTGAAATTAAACCCAGCTCTTAATGGCAAATATGTGTACCATCTAAAAATCAGAAATTATGATATTTTTGGCTATGAAACTATATGATTATAAATTCAGGCCATGAACCCAGCCCAACACAGATCTTCAAATTAGGTTATAAAGAGCTAAACAAAATGAAATATAAAGATATGTATGTAAAATATTAAGATTTAAAAGGAATTTATTTTTTAAAGTTGTGAATCTTATGCTTATAATTTTACTAATTTTTTTGGTTAATATCGCTAACAGAAAAAAAAGTCAAACCTGTATAGTGGCCTGTTTTGGACAATTGTATATGAGAGTTAGATCATAAAATGTAACTAGTATGCAATAGATTTTAGTAAATTTGTTTTTCTAATGTAAGTGTAACAACTTTTCTGTGGAAATAGTTTACATATTATTTTTTTTTCTGTAGGTTGTGTACTTAGATGACTCAGTTTCTTCCTTCATACAAATCCGAGGATCTGTTCCATTGTTCTGGGAGCAACCAGGGTTGCAAGTATGTGTTTGACATTCAGTTATTTTTGTTTTTTGAACAATTTTCATATTTTCTAAACTTTCTGGATAGTTTATTAATTAATTCATTGATGGTTCCATTATTCCATCTAATAATGTTAGCTGGATTTGCAAATAAGGGTCTAGACGAGTACAGAGTTTCTGGAATTATCTTAGATATTTTTTCTTTTAATGCTCTTTCAAATAGCCATTGAAATTGAGCTGCTGTATTTAGTGTTAAAAATTTTGAAGTCTTTATAGTGTATTGATTTGCAATGTGATTCCATATTTATTACCTTCTTATCTTAGTATATAATGATTTAGTCTCTTTAGGCAGAAGAATGTAGTAGATAAAACAAAGCCTTGGGAACCAGACTTCTTAATTGGGATCTTTACTCTACCACTACTAGCTGTGTGATCTTGGGCAAATAATTTAACCCTTGTGTGTCTCAGTTTCCTTATCTGTATAATGGGAATAATATTAATAGTACCTACTTTATAGGGTTGTTGTAAGGATTAAATTAAAAGCACTTAGAATAGCACCTGGCCCCCAGTCAGCACCATGTAAGGGTTAACTATTGTTGACATTTTATTTTTATTCAAAATTTATTAGTCCTTGAAGTATATCATATTTACTTTAGGATCTGGGTATGTATAGTCTAGTAAGTTTGGTGCTTCAGCCTATAGTATTGAGAAAAGGGAAAGAAAAAAAAATCTTTCTTCCTTTATTTGACTGCTGGATCTCTTACATCTTAGACTGGTTATTGCAGAGAAAAATTACAGACTACTTGAACCTTTTTAGTAACATTTTATTTAAGACAGTCTAAGAGTTAACAAGGATTAACACTTCTACTGCTCTGCAAAAATTCTTGAATTCTTGTCAAGACGATTTGACTTGTTTTATCTTTGTAGGGATAACGTAAATAGATATATCTTTCCCTAAATTTCCCTTAGGAGAGAATGCCAACAGAACCCCACTTCTCCTACGCTTTCATGATCAACAGTGGGTGTTTGGAGTATTTGCTTTAAGAACATTGCTGAAACCCTGATGTGATGCGAGGTGAATGCTTTTGTTTTAGGGACAGGCTAGTGTTAGAGATTCTAATAACCAGTTTATGAGCCCTATGGTACACTGTTTTTATGTTATTTTATTTCTTTGTTTAATTTATTTATATTTATTTATTTATATATTTATTTATTTGAGACAGGGTCTCACTCTGCCACCCAGGCTTGAGTGCACTGGTGCAATCATGGCTCACTGCAGCCTCGATCTCCCAGGCTCAAGTGATCCTCCCACCTCAGCCTGCCAGGTAGCTGGGACTACAGGCACATACCACTATTTTTTGTAGAGACAGGGTCCCACCTTGTTGCCCAGGATGGTCTTGAACTCCTGGGCAAACAGTTCTCCTGCCTTGGCCTCCCAAAATGCTAGGATTACAGGCCTGAGCCACTGTACTTGGCCTGTGTTATTTTAATAAGTTCTGAATTACAGTGTTTTGATGATCCAATAAGGTTGCGTCCTGAGTAGTTACACTGAGGGATCTTCCTTGAGTGGGACTTCCTTGTGCCTTCCTTCTCCTGTGTGCTTTCCTTCCTATACGGTCTGGTTGGCTAATGTTATGTGGTGATAGGTGGAAAATTATGGATTTTTTTTTTGGCACGGAATGATGCTCTGTCGCCCAGGCTGGAGTGCAGTGGTGCGATCTCAGCTTACTGCAACCTCCGCCTCCCAGGGTCAAGCAATTCTCCTACCTCAGCCTCCCGAGAGCTGGGACTATAGGCGCGTGCCACCACACTTGGCTAATTTTTTTATTTTTAGTAGAAATGGGGTTTCACCATATTGACCAGACTGGTCTTGCACTCCTGATCTCAGGTGATCCACCTGCCTTGGCCTCCCAAAGGACTGGGATTACAGGCATGAGCCACCGTGCCCGGCCAGGAATCCTCATTTTTAACCAAGTTCTCTACCACTCAAAGTCAAGAACTTCTATTTTATAAGATCCTACTCTAATGGCTATGAAGCAGCCAGTCCTGACCAAGTGAAAAGTAGCCCTGTTACCATTAGTCTCAGCATTGTTCTAGGCAGTAGGACTTTCTTTTTATTCCCACTACTATCCTCTGAGTTAAGGTTTTCATAATTTCTTCTAGCCTGGAAGATTCTCACAGTTTTCTGTCTTGTCCCTCTAGGCCCTGCTTCCTACTAGCTCCGACAGGTCTTCTTATTTTTGATATATATGTTATGCGTGTCAGATTTACTAGGCACCTATGTCCTTATGATCTGGTTTACTCAGCCTGTCCAACTTCAGGCCTTGCAGTTTTCTAGCAGGAATCCTCTACTTCCAAAATTAAGATTTATTGTCCTTCAGTGGCCACTCAGATCTCTTCACTAAATACTTGAGTTCTTCCTGTGTATGTTATTTTATGCTAGGTGCTATGAGAGATTCAAAGATATAATGATGCTTCATAGAGAGGTTGCCATTTGGGCACTCAGGCCTTTTATGGAAAAGATAAATACCAAGATGAATTTGTTTGAGGCATTATAAGAATTGTCATAAGGTGTTACACAAGTAAGAATGACATTTTTAGTGCTGGCAACTTACTTATGATTTCCTTTGACTTGTGATTTTCCTTTTACTTATGATTTCCTTTCCCTGAAGTTGTTTAGCATTTATAACTTATAATACTCAGATCATATATTATTATACTACATTTACAGTATATATCAGTTTATTAGTCCATTCTCACATTGCTGTAAAGAAATACCCAAGTCTGAGTAATTTATGAAGAAAGAAGTTTAATTGGCTTATGGTTCTGCAGGTTGTACAGGAAGAATGGCAGCATCTGCTTCTGGGGAGGCTTCAGGAAGCTTCCAGTCATGGCAAAAGGCAAAAGGGGAGCGAGGAGTCTCACATGGTGGGAGCAGGAGCAAAAGAAAGATAAGAGCGAGGTGCTACACACTTTTAAGTAACCAGATCTCATGAGAACTCACTCACTAGTATGAGAACAATACAAGGGGGCATAGTGCCAAACCATTCATGAGAACTCCACCCCCATGATTCAGTCACCTCCCACCAGACCCCACCTTCAACCTTGGGGGTTACAATTCAGAATGAGATTTAGGGGGTACACAGATCCAAACCGTATCAATCAGTCAAAAAATGGTAAACATTGTAAGGTCTACCCCCAATTTTTGGTTGAAATTTCAGAAATATGTGAAGGTAAAGAAGTAATATTGATGGAAAATGATATACCATACCACACAATTAAATGATTTTTAAAAATACCTTTAATGCAAGCTTTTTTTTTCCCCCAAGTTGGAATTTAGCTCTTGTTGCCCATTGGAGTGCAATGGCACAGTCTTGGCTCACCGCAACCTCCGCCTCCCGGCTTCAAGTGATTCTCCTACCTCAGCATCCCGAGTAGCTGGGATTACAGGCATGTGCCACCATGCCCAGCTAATTTTTGTATTTTAGTAGAGACAAGGTTTCACCATGTTGGTCAGGCCGGTCTCAAACTCCTGACCTCAGGTGATCCGCTGGTCTCGAACTCCTGACCTCAGGTGATCCAGCTGCCTCGGCCTCCCCAAGTACTGGGATTACAGGCATGAGCCACCACACCTGGCCGCAACTTTTTTTTAATTGGGTAAAGTTATGGTTATTTAAAGCCTTAACACTTTCTGGAGTGCTACTTTTATCACGATTGGCAATAGCTCTGTTATTGTAAAACTTTTCTTTCAACATTGAGTAATAAAACCTAGTCTAGGAGGCCATGATGGGAGGATTACTTGAGACCAGGAGTTCAAGACCATCCTGGGCAACATAGACCCATATTTCTACAAAAAAATAAAAAAATAAAAATCATTCGGGCATGGTGACGTGTGCCTGTAGTCTCAGCTACTCAGCAGGCTGAGGTGGGAGGATCCCTTGAGCCCAGGAGGTCGAGGCTGCAGTGAGCTATGGTTGCACCACTGCATTCCAGCATGGTTACAGAGTGAGACCCTGTCTCTAATAACACAAAAACAGAAATCTAATCTAGTCTAGCCAGTATATTGCTATGAGAGCTGTGATACATAGCTGAATGTATATATGTGTTGGGGAACAGAGTGGTGGAAAACAACCATAGGCATTACCTGGAAGACATGAAAACTGGATTTTTTTCACCTTATGCACCGTTGCAGTACTATGCAAAATAAATGTTAATCAGTAAACAAAAATGCTAAGTTTTGAACTTGTATGGAGTGATAGGCAATTAATCTGGGATTACTCCAAAGAAAAAGTATCAACTTGTGAGTTTTCTGCAGTCTAAAATGCTTAATGTCCTGGGACATACGTCTTTCAAATTTTAAACTTTTATGAATATTATTAAGTACCATAAAATGAAATTGAACACAGATGTGACATTAGGCTAATTGATTTCTTATTTAAAAATTAAAGAGAGAATCCCCTGGTTATCAGAATACTCATTAGATTATCTGACTTAGTGCAGTGAGGGATAATGCTTAATGAATGATAATACTGTACTGTTAATTCAGTTTTGGAATTGGATGAGCATATTAGAGTTTATTTTCTGGTTTTACTTGTCCAATTACATGACTGATTTGACAACCCCCCTTTTACACCCTCTTTAAAAGCACTTTGCGCGGGGCGCGGTGGCTCATGCCTGTAATCCCAGCACTTTGGGAGGCTGAGGCGGGCAGATCACAAGGTCAAGAGATTGAGACCATCCTGGCCAACATGGCGAAACCCTGTCTCTACTAAAAATACAAAAATTAGCTGGGCGTGGTGGCGGGCGCCTGTAGTCCCAGCCACTCGGGAGGCTGAGGCAGGAGAATCGCCTGAACCCGGGAGGCAGAGGTTGCAGTGAGCCGAGATCACGCCAATGCACTCCAGCCTGGCAACAGAGTGAGACTCCGTCCCCCACAAAAAAAAGCACTTTGTTCACAGGTTAGCAAGAATGAATTTTGGGCAACTTTTTTGCCCCCCCTCAGTGATCCTTGTTGTGATTGGGCAACCTTCATTCCAACGTCTCAGAGAGAAATGTTTAAATTGAAGTTCAGGGAAATAATCTGGTCTCACCTATATATTTCTTCTTGGCATGTTATATCTTTCTCAATTATGCCTCATCTCTCTGCTATTCTCCTGTGTAAGAAAAGAAAAATTATAACAATATACAATAGGTAGATATTTTCCATCTTGTTTAATTTGCTTAACCCAAAATTCCTGATTCTGCAAAATGTGCAAATACTATAATTGGGTGATGGCAAGGTTGACTTGGAAAGTCTGCTTTTCCAGGAAGGAATGATATTCTCAATTTGGTGGAACTTTGGTGTGAATAGAATATTCAACATAGTAGAGAAGAAAACACATAGACATTTGTATTGGTAGGCAGCTTGGAGGAGTAGGAATTTAGGTCAGAGACATAAAGTCTCATCTGAATCTCTTTTGGAATTGGTTATGTTGATCTCAGATAGCAAGTTATTTTACCTGTTGGTATTTTGGTTTTTTTAATTACCCAAATGGTAATAGTATCTGTTACACAGGGCATGTAGTTTGAACTTAAAACAAAGTACCATATATGAAAACACCTTTAAAAATAGTTTTCATCAATAAAAATTCCTACTAGTTTACGAGTATTTCATAATGATGTAACTTCTTTTTTTGATGAGGTTGGTTTTTTAAAAATAAAGGTGGAGGGTGGAAATTCCCTGGAACTTGTTTTTTTAAAAGCATATCATGAATGGAAATCAGTTATTTGATTAACGACTGTGTGTTCAGCAAAGAAATTGTTAGATATTGTAAGCAGTGATATTTCTTTCGTCTATATGTTGGTTTTTGGTTTGATTAAATATATTTTTCTTGTCTAAGGTGGGATCTCATCGTGTCCGTATGTCAAGGGGATTTGAAGCCAATGCACCTGCTTTTGACAGGTAAGACAATTTTTACATAGTGCTTTAAGTTTTGATATTGCTAAGCAGTGGGACTGCTTGTATTTACTGATTCACTTCAAACTTTTTTGGCTTTAAATAAAATTCCTCTGACTCCTAATTTAATTGAAAGACAGTGACACCTAGTGTTACGACTTCTGGGGGTGGTAGTGCTGGAAGTGTGGGTCTTGATCTCTTGACCTTAAAACTTCCTCTGTGGGCGCATTGTCCAGTATAGCAGCCACTAGCCACATGTAGCTACTGGGCACTTGAAATGTGACTAGTCTCAGTTGAGATGTGCTGCAAGTATAAAATGCACACTAGATTTCAAAGACTGCCTTAAAAAATAAAAAAGAATGTAAGGTATCTCATTAGTAAAATCATGTTCGGTATACTCAGAGTATTGGTTCTACCCTCACATACCAAAATCTGTGCATACTCAAGTCCCACAGTCGGCCATGTGGAACCCATGCTTATGAAAAGTCATCATTCATATTCATGGGTTTTGCATGCCAGGAATACTGTAGTTTTGATTCTTCTTTGGTTGAAAAAAATCCATATATAAGTGGACTTGCACAGTTCAAACCTGTGTTGTTGAAAGGTTAACTGTAGTTGTTTTATATTGATTACATGTTGAAATGATATTTTAGACATGTTGAGTTAAAGAAAGTATAATTAATTTCATGTTTATAAATGCACCTTCTTGAAAATTTAACATTATAGGTGTGGTTTATGTTACATTTCTTTGTGTGGCATTGCTCTACATAGTTTCTGGAATGGTTAGAAGCTGGAAAGAGAAAAGACTCGTATTTGGGGCCCATTTTTCTGAAGACTGGAGCTAGTAAGGAGGTCCCTCTGAATACTCAACGGAGTAGGTGATGTCCTCACATGTGAGCAGCAGCCCTTTGCCATCTGCCCTTACTGCCTTTCCAGTCAAGCTTATGGCTGGTGTCTGTCTTGTCTGGTGCCAGCCTCACAGAGTGGGCAGAAGCTGGATGCCTCCACAGCTCCAACAGGGGTGGAAGTCTCAGTACCCATAAGTCAGAGAGGAAGTTGCATTCATGAGTTTTCGTAAATTCGGCTTTGAGACCATGTACAATGAATTCGCACCCAGTTTTCCAATTCTGTGTTTAAAATACTGCCATGTAAGTTATATTTAATAATGGATTATTGTTTATTGAAAAAATTGGGCTTCTTATTTGACATGTATTTATTTCCTTTCTTTCTTAAATAGGCATTTTAGAACACTTAAGAACTTATATGGTAAACAAATAATAGTAAATTTGCTTGGATCTAAGGAAGGTGAACATATGCTAAGTAAAGCTTTCCAGGTAAGTATGGTCATTTCTTATTTCATTCTGGCCCATGGACACCTAGAATGGTATTAAAAAATAAAATAATACAGTAATCAGATTCTTCCAGGAAGTAAATTACTTCCAAGAAAAAGGTTGGGTACTTGTTGGAAACTTGAACTCTTTGGGTCTATTAAGAAACAATTTAGGCTAATGTTGCTGAAATTGGGATTCTAAAAAGCTTTCAATGCAAATGACACTGTTTTCTAATCTGCTTTTTTATTTTGTAGAGAAACAGAAAAATACCCTCCTTGCCAAAAATGTTTATCTGTCACTAGTAGAGAAATAGCAGTTTCCTTCTTCATCTGTTGATTGCTTTGCCTGCTTCCTAGAACCATAGTCATTGTTTTTCACCTATGGAATTGTGAATGATGCATTTATATACATGCAACGCTATACCTTCTTGTACTGATGAGAGAAAACTTGAGAATTTCATGTCAAAAAGAACCCCAAAATTGCCTGACTTCTAAAGAAAAAATATTTTAATGAACACTTATTGAATTAATAATGAATTAATATAAATTATGTTGTTACATAAGATTATAAACTTAAACAAGATTGTTAGAAAACATTTTCTAAAGTTCAATCTCCTAAGTCCAAAAGCATCCTGATTTTATAGCTATTTTTTTAATCTGGTGAAATAAATATTGTTAATAAACAGATTATACTTTACAGAGTGACTTTATGGTAAAATTTAAGAATATTTGTATGTATTGAATGAAGTTATAAAATATGAATCTTTCAGTCTTTGATAGGCTTTGTCTTAGATGACTTTGAGATTCTATAATAGGTCTAAATAGTAAGTTTGTGTTGTAAAAATAAAATGCTGGCAATTGGAAATAATTTTTTATTTCCTAAGCCAGATGAGAATATTATTTAAGTACACTGATGTTAATTGTGTCACCGTATCTCTCAGGGATAGTTTTTGAGGCTTTAGGGAAAAGATTTATTGCCAGTGTCAATGAAATGTGATGAATATTTAGATGGATATTTGCCTTTTTACTTTCATTTAGATGAATATTTGCCTTTTTACTTTCAGAGTCATTTGAAAGCTTCTGAACATGCTGCTGATATCCAGATGGTGAATTTTGACTATCATCAAATGGTTAAGGGAGGAAAGGCAGAAAAATTACATAGTGTTCTTAAACCTCAAGTCCAGAAGTTTCTAGATTATGGATTTTTTTATTTCAATGGAAGTGAAGTTCAAAGGTTTGACTGTTCTGTTTCTCTGTTCTTTGAATTGGAACATTAATTAAAAATTATTCTTAACGTTGAACTCTTAAATTTTCTTTTTAAAATTAAAGTTTATAATTAAATATCTTTTAAATATTTCATTTTATTTTTATTTTTATTATTTTGAAATAGGGCCTCACTTTGTTGCCCAGGCTGGTGTGCAGTGGTGCAGTCTCAGCTCCCTGCAGCCTCTGCCTTCTGGTTTCAGGAGATCCTCTCACCTCAGCCTCCTGAGTAGCTGGGACTACAGGTGTGTGCCACCATGCCTGGCTTATTTTTTTTTTTTTTTTTTTTTTTTGGTAGAGACGGGGGTCTCCCTGTATTGCCCTGGCTGGGCTCAAACTCCTGGGCTCAAGTGATCCACCTGCCTCAGCCTCCCAAAGTGCTAGGTTTACAGGCATGAGCCATCTCACCCATCCTATACTTGATTTTAAACTTGTTTTTCTTTCTTTAGAATTCACCAAATAATAATGAGAGGTTACATTAGTGAGCGCATTTTATGGAGCAGGCAGTGTACTTAAGTCTTTTTTTTTTTTTTTTTTGAGACGGAGTCTCGCTCTGTCGCCCAGGCTGGAGTGCAGTGGTGCGATCTTGGCTCACTGCAAGCTCCGCCTCCCGGGCTCATGCCAGTCTCCTGCCTCAGCCTCCTGAGTAGCTGGGACTACAAGCGCCCGCCACCACTCCCGGCTGTTTTTTTTTTGTATTTTTAGTAGAGACGGGGTTTCACCGTGTTAGCCAGGATGGTCTCGATCTCCTGACCTCGTGATCCACCCGCCTCCGCCTCCCAAAGTGCTGGGATTACAGGCGTGAGCCACCGCGCCCGGCCGTACTTAAGTCTTAACATGTATCAATAACAATTATAGGGATAGACTCTATTATTATGCCCATTTCCATCTGCTGCAAGTCTCATAATTAGCAAGTGTTAGAACTGGGATTCGTCTGGCTCCATACTTCATGCTGTTATATATGAAACTGTTTTGCTTCTCTTTTAAAACTTACGTTTTAATATTTCTTGATGCCAGTAAAGATTATTAAATGCAAATAGAAGTGAAAGGCTTTGTTTACTGTCTGCTTTAGTATAATTTAAATATTCAGTTTTTGTATGTGAAATAGAGGAGAAAAGTAAATGTTAAGAGAGTTAAGTTCAGAATATAGGTTAAGGGAAACTTTAGTGCAGAAAGCTCAAATTTTTAATTTTTCAATTTGTATTTTATTTAGCATCAATGCTGTAGACACAGTCATTAGAGATAACAGATCTTAGGTTTAAAAAAATTTTGTTCTATAAATATTTTTATTTTATGTGCAAAGAACTGTAAGAGCATAAACCTGAATGTATATTTAGTTTCTAATTGTTGGCCTAATTAAAAATAAGTGTGTGATAGATAATGTAATGAAGCATATGTGACAAAATGTTAACAGTTGTCAAATTTAAATGGTGGGTATATGGATGTTCACAGTATAATTTTTTTTGTATATTTGAATACTGTAATAATAAAAAGTTGGAGAGGGAAGGTGGATGCTACATTTTAATTACCTCAATTATTCACTGTTTGTTTTAGCTTTATTTTTGTTCCAAACTGGATATTTAACTTTATTGGTTACAGATGCCAGAGTGGTACAGTTCGAACAAACTGCTTGGATTGTCTTGATAGAACAAATAGTGTGCAGGCATTTCTTGGCTTAGAGGTAAAAGAATAAATTAAAATGTATGTGCCTTGTATCATCTGCCTCTTTAAGTGCTTTTTGAATACTTATGTTTCTTATTACCTTCCAGAAAGTGTATGTAATGTTATGCTTCATTTTGTACTTCTAATCTCTGTCTCTTTTTTTGGCCAAACTTTCTTTTGATTTAAATATTTCCTTTACCTGATCTTCATATTCTCTTTAGGTAGCTCTCTATCTACTTCTGTTGTTCCTTATTCTCCCTTTTAAAATCTGCTGTTTATAGTATTTCAACAATTTTTTCCCTGTCTTTTGGAGGAAATATATATGTGTGGGTGTGGGTGTATGTGTGTATTTGGCCTTTTATTCTCTGTGTTGTCTTTTAAAAATCTATTTTAGGATAAGAAGGGTCTATTTTCATATGTACAATTATATAGGACTATATTTTTGACAATTTGTAACCCAATCCAGTTTGTTTGGTGTTTTCAAATTAGTAGCTATAAAAAAACAGGATCAGATGAAAATGCCATAGTTAGTGAGAATGAAAATGAATGCAATTCAACTTCTCTGATACCAATCCAGTTTGTTTGGTGTTTTCAAATTAGTAGCTATAAAAAAACAGGATCAGATGAAAATGCCATAGTTAGTGAGAATGAAAATGAATGCAATTCAACTTCTCTGATAAGGTCGCTGTTTGCAACGTTTTTTCTTTTTTTTTTTTCTTTACTACTTATCCATCAGATTCAGCCTAAGATAAACATAGTCTCAACTCTTTGACAAACTATTTAGCAATGCTGAGCTTTCTAAGTCTTCCCTCCTCTGCAAGTTAAGGTTATAAGGCTGTGGCTAAACTTCGTTTAGTTCCATCAGAACTTAACATAGTTCTCAAATACTATAAAAAAACAGCAATAGGAAGTTACATGTTCTTATTTCCTTTAGTTAATGATCTTAAATTTGACCTGAGTATTGGTTAATTAGTTACTTTGCAGCTGAGGTTCTTTATCTCAAAAATGAAAGTACAGTGTATAAAATTCTCTACTACAGAATATATTTTTCATGTAACTAAATAAATTTTACTGTTTGGATTTTTTGAGTATGTTTTTGATGTTTATTTGTAATTTATTTAGAAAATTTGACAGAAACAAGAAAATGAAAGCAAGCATGTTGGTCATTTAGATAAGAGTTTATCACATGCCTTGGATTTGTTTCAAGTTTTAAGTGGCTGAATAAATGTACATGGATTCTGATAATAAGCTTATTGAAGTACTTGGACCTCTTCATCAAAATTATAACAGATGTTAGTTTTCAGGATCTGACTTAGCTGATTCTCCACTGTTGATAGTTAGGAATTAGAAAACTCCCTAGGATAGCAATTGGTTGACAGGTTACAAAGTTTGACACCAAGATAGACAAAGCCAAACTAGTAGAGGAATAAGATCAGTTTTGCCCAGTTCCTTGAAGAAAGATTTAAATGATAAAGGAGGCCCTGGGGCTCATTTTGTTTTATTCTCCATGCTAGCAAAGAACAGCTCTGGTGTAAGTCTCTAGGTAATTAAATGAACCCAGTTTAAGGTTTTTTTAATCTTATTTTAGCTTTTGGTTCTTCTATAATTATGGATGATCACCATACTTACATGATAAAATAAAACGTAAATTGGAAAGAGTTAAGTTAAAATGCAAGGCATAGAATATGACTAGATTCCAAATACACAGATTGGATAAAGATCGAACATTGACTCTGTCAGATTTATAGGCTAGAATTCTTGCATATAAAGATCAATAACTTTTTGGAACACTTTTATTGTTATATGTGATAAGGACTTGTGGAAGCCGAGAGGTCCTTGAATTTCTTGCATGCTCTTCCCCCTAGTTCTTCCCTTATATATATTACCGATGTGGATTTTATGCATAAAAAGCTGTCATGACTTCATTCAGAAGTTTTACTTATTTTCTTTATTTTGTGACAATTTAAGAGCAACTCCTTTTTTTCATTTTTTTTACCTTAATTACTTAAACTTATAAAGCCAAATCCAAAAGTTAAAGAGACCTAGTTATTTATGTTTAGGACTAAGTAAACTTTTTTTTATTCTAATGCAGGCTGTTGATTGATGAATTCTTTTAGGTGGGCAAGGTAAACAACTCTGATTTATAGGGATACTTTAATAAGATAAATTTTATCATTTAACCAGAAAGAAGTCCTTATCAATACTTGTAGTTTCCATTGATACAGTATTTGTTTTAAAAATTGAAATGATGGGAAATAACTCAGCCTAGTAAACTGTTATGTTTTCAGAAGCTAGTCCCAAATAGTGCTATAATGATAAATTTTTGGTTTGATTCTGGTAGTTCTTAAAAGCCATATTACAATTAATATATTAATGTACTTATAAAAATTTCTTGTTTGCTTTTTAAGATGCTAGCTAAACAGTTGGAAGCTCTTGGTTTAGCTGAAAAGCCTCAGTTGGTGACTCGCTTTCAAGAAGTTTTTCGGTCAATGTGGTCCGTGAATGGTGATTCAATCAGTAAGATATATGCAGGAACTGGAGCTCTTGAAGGGAAAGCGAAGGTATATCTAGATCTATCATAACATTACAGAATATCCTCTTTTTCCTCTCTTCATAAAGCTTTTAAATGGCCTTTTAAAAGTTAATAGATGGTTTAAATTAATAGATGTGTCTTAGAATTCTGTTTAATGTGCTTTTATGCCTTCTTTGATACTTCCTTTCACAGTGGATACTAGTGAATAAATGGAAGATAGGTATTTCCCTAAGTTTGGGAAGTATGTATATATAACGTATCTAGTCATTTAGTGACAATCCACTAAGATGATATATATTGCTCTTTTTTTCATGATTTCCCTTGTATATCTGTTTTACTTTTTGTATTGTTTGTTTTGATTACAAATATGATTTTTAAAACCATAGACCTCTTAATAAAGGGTTCTCTCTTATTTGGCTTTGCGTTCCCTGCACTTAACACAGTGCCTACTGTTAATAGATGTGTGACGTATGCCACTTGGACAAGTAAGTCCATCAACAGCTTATGCAGTGCTTACTAGGAACCCAAGATTAGGGCATAATTGATCTTTACTTATCTTACCTTAGAAAGGTGGCTATCAAGATGTGCCAACGAAGTGTGAGATATGGGCCAGGTGTGGTGGCTGACGCCTATAATCCCAGCACTTTGGGAGGCTGAGGCAGGTGGATCACTTGAGACCAGGAGTTCTAGTCTAGCCTGGCCAACATAGCGAAACCACATCTCTACTGAAAATAGAAAATACTAGCTGGGCATGGTGGTGCACACCTGAAATCCCAGCTACTCGGGAGTTTGAGGCATGAGAATCACTTGAACCCAGGAGGTGGTGGTTGCAGTGAGCCAAGATCACGCCACTGCACTCCATCCAGCCTGAGTGACAGAGTGAGACTCTGTTCCAAAAAAAAAAAAGAATGGACTTAATTATAATTGTCTGTTTCATCATTACTTTTTATTTCCTGGTATTATCTACAGACTACTTTCTTCTCAAGTATTTGTCCCTTATTGAGGGAGTTTGGAACAATACTTGAGATAGTTTTCATTATTTTATATTCTTAAATATTGTTTAACTTTTTAAGGATCCTGGCCTCACTTGAATTTATCAACTTTCTAAATCTCCACAATTTCTCAAATTATTTCAAGAATAGAAATGAGAACATTTATCACTTTTATAGTTCTCATTCAGCTTCTTCCATACAGCAACTGAAATTCTTTAAAGACCATTCATGGTCTCCAAGTCTTCTTTTAATTTCCAAGTCTTCCTCTTCTGTGTCTCATAATATGCCATGCCTCTGCCCAGAGGTATTGGCCTTACCTGCAAAGTTTCTTTTGTTCAACTCATAGAAATAATTTGTATTGACTTTTACAAATATTTACTTCTTAAGTGGTCCCTATTTTTGTAAACATCAAATTGTTAAACTTTGATTTATTCCTTTTAAACAACATAATTCTTGCTATTAAAAGCTGATTCTCAAACTATTGCTTAAAATATTCTTTTATATACTTCTACCTTTTCATTTCTGCAGTGACTACAATATATGTACAGAGGTTACATATATTTTCAGTGGTCTTTTATCTTTAACATAATATATAGATATAAAATTTTATACATTAAATATGCTAGCCTGAATTGAACTAAAATCTAACATCTGAACTGCTCTTTCTTTTCCTTTTCTCTGGGTTCCTTTTGATTAATTGCCTGATAATGTGAATGGTGAGTGTCTTTTCAAATAATGTCATTTGCATATGCTATTATATAGAAAGAAATAACACTTAATGCCAAACATTAATTGCTTATTAAATATAGTAGCATTCATTTAATGGCATTGAAGAAAACTGGTTCTTCATTTAGTGGCATTTAAGAAAATTGGCTCTTTATTCTAAAAAGAAGCCTTGAGTTACTGTTATTTCTTTAAAGAATAAAAATTACATATTGCAAACTGAAGTTATTTCCTAAAAGACGCAAGTTTTTTGTTTTGACAATCATCAAAATCTGTAAGATCAAAATAAATCATTATGGTAACTAACATGCCTAAGTAAAATATATATTCATTAAAAGTTATAATCAAATCTCACTATAGGAATAAGTTTATTATCTTATGATGTATTTTTGCATGGGCAATAAAATGACTCAAAATATACAAACTGTAGTTTACATGTAATATTCGTTTATGAACTGTACTTGTAAATTTCTTTTGAGACTAGACCTTCATTCTTAGGTTTAGTTTTAATTTTAACTCATGTAAGCTATTTGGGAGCAATTTCCATTTTCTTTTTCTACTACCAAAGTAATTTGAAGTTTTTCTAGGGGCAGTTAAGCTCAGTGTATCTTCTTTTATCTCCCATTTCTCCTTACCCATTTTATCCCCAAGTTTACAAATTACCTTGTAAGAAGGAATTTTCTTGTTTTAAATAAGTTCACTTCAGTTTATTTCCTTTGTAATAAGCAATTTTAAACATTTGTTGCCCTAGATGTAATTACTGGATGAGGTTGTAGCACTGAGCTTTTTCATTTCTTTGTGCAGAGCTTTAATCCAAAAGAAGAAAGGAAACAGTGACATGTTGGAGGCATTTTAATTGTCATGACTATATATTCAAAATAGAACGATTAGGTCCTTTTTTATACTAAAATCATATAAAACTGATTTAAAATTTCAAAAAACCTAATGAGTAAAATCAGTAATATTTAAAATGAAAATCTGCGCTCCTTTCTTAACAGGCTGGAAAGTTAAAAGATGGTGCTCGCTCTGTTACCCGAACAATTCAGAATAACTTCTTTGACAGCTCCAAGCAAGAGGCCATTGATGTTTTGCTACTGGGAAATACTCTGAATAGTGATTTAGCTGACAAAGCTCGAGCACTTTTAACTACTGGAAGTTTGCGTGGTATGTGCACTTTATATTTTATTTGTTATTTATATTCCTAAAGGTCCAAGAGGTAAATGTAAACTTATTTACACAGAATTTTTAGTTGGTTAAAATAGTTTTTGAAGGGATTTCTGTAAAGGTAATTTTTGAAAAGTACATTCTCCAAGGGAAGTTTGTCTGTTTTAAAATATTTGTACAATCAGTGGTATTACTAAGCTGTAAACTGAGGCCCTTGCATGGTTTCTTCTATAGATTATGATTGAGGGGTAAATAATTAAGCATTGTTAACTTTGTACAAGGCAGTATTTCATAGAATATTCAGCTAGTACTTGTAATACAGCATTTAATAATCTAATTATGCAGAAAAATGCTTTACTGGGAAAACTAATGCCTATATTGGTTATTTTTTAAATCACTATCCCAAAAGTTTCTGTAACTTGGTCTTAACTTTTAATTGCTATTGTTTGAATAAGCATTAAATCATATTAATAATTTAAAGTAGTGCTAATTATTGGGCACTAACTGCTATTACCAATTTTAATATTTGAAATAAATATATGACCTTCAGAATAGGTTTTCACCTTCCACTGTGTCTTTTAAAAAAAAACTTCTCCTATCAGTGAGCACATAAAAGTAGCATGACGGGAAAACTCAACATTCATTGTAGAATTTAATAGATTAGACTTACTTTTTCTTTCTCTAAAATGTATTGAGGTATAATTGACAAAATAAATTTTTTCCATTTTAACTTTTTAGCACTCTGAAAAAGAAATTTTTTTTCTGTTAGCCCTAAACCAAACTTTTTAATGTTCCCTGTTCAAGTGGGAGAAAATTGTTTCTGCATCAAGTAATGTATTCTTGGGTAATTACTTGGTCAAATAAGTTATGGATTATTTTAGAATTTGCATGGTGCCTAAAGGTAGTTAATTACGGACAGTTCCTCAGGGACCTGTAAGTGGGCTAGGGAACTTAGACCTACTAAAACTCCAAAAAATGTCTGATCTTAGCTACTACTTTCAACTTCAGGCTTTCTTCCTGGCTTCCAAAAGTAGAGACTTGACTGATTTGTGTTTTGTCACCTCTTTCCACCTGTGCCTACATTGATGTGGAGGCATTAATAAGCAACAATTGAAAGTAAGTGGTTGAAGGAAAGAAGAGGAGAAACAAGGGACCTATGTAATCCTCAAACTTCAGCATTAGTGTTTTTAGTTTCCTGCGCATTTTACTATAAGTAAAATCATACCTTTAAAAAAAAGTACAGTCAGTTCTGCTGTAACGCTTGTTCTGAGAATGGGAATTTGTTCCAATATGATATATTAGGGAACTGTTTGAGCATAAGGCCAATTTTGCATGAGCTTATGCATGATTTTGCTGGGAAGCAACACTAGGTAAATGCAGAAAAGTGCACCCAGCAGAACTAAGATGGCTAGAAATATGTACAACATATAAAACACACATACACATATGCACACACACCTCAAACATCTTCCCCTGCCTCAGTTCACTATGTGTGTTATGAGCCATACACATTCACATCTGTTCTTTCAACTTTTCATTGAATTTCAGATATCCCTTTCTCCATTATTCATATTACAAGCTGCACTCTGCCTGATGCCCATTTCTACAAGCCAACTTCATTCAAGATGAAGTGCCTTATTAATGGTTATATTCATGCATTTCATAACCATTTAACATGTATAATGTCTTGCTACTATTTTTATGAGGTTCCCATCTTTTTTGATGTGTCATTGTTGAAGTTTTTGAACGTGGTACCCCAACCCCATTTTTCCCATAAGCCCTGTGGCTGTGGGAATTTGCAAAATTTGCATAGCATGGTGATGTTTTTAGAATGCATTTTTCTTGTTATAGCTGAAGTGATTATACTTATCAACTGCTAAGTCCCAGAAAGAATACTAAAAGGTGTGTATTAGGGCAGTATCTTCCATATCTTCAACATCCTCCATCTTCTTAGGTTTTCATATTTATATTCATAATATTCTCAAACATGTGCGCATGCATGCATAACATACACACAGGAGCAGCCAGAAGCGCAGGCCTAGGAGCTTCTGATGGTGAAACGGTGGATATCACTGAGTCACTGTAGGATTCTTCTTAGGTGCAGAAGGTTTGTATCAATCATTGTCGTTTATTTGTAACACTTGGTGTTCTATAGCTATCAGAAAAAAATAAAGTCATCAAATTGACTTAAGTGAGGTCTTCTCAAAATGTTTTGTCACTATACTCAACATTTTAATTGTAACTTGTTTTTACTAATGATTCTTTGTTTTCTTCTTGTTGCATCCATAGTTTCTGAGCAGACATTACAGTCAGGTACAGTATAGAAAATCAATCTATAAATAAAAGCAATTTTTTCTTATTTTTTCTGAAGTCGATATTGTAAACAAATAAAGCCATATAATTGGAAACTTTCTCATTTTGCCATCAGATCCTAACAGGATAAATTGATATCTTGTTTTAATCTGAGAAAAGAATTTCAAGCTTGAGAAAATTAAGTACTTCATTCTGAAGAAAATGTGCAGTGCTCTTTGTCTTCCTGTAGCAATTGCTTAATTCCAGTTAAAGATAATTCAGCTAGTTTTAATTTCACTTTTACATTTCATTGAACAAATATTATTAGTGTTATGCCTTACTCTTAATAGGCTGATGGAAAAAAATCCAGATGTAACTACTTTGAATTAATTTCTGAGTGCCATCCGTGATATTTACAACTACTAAACAGTGTTTCTCACATATAATATTTAAGAAGGCATTGTTGCATTTCCTTATTGTGAATGAAATAGTTTCAAAACTATAGACTTGCACTAAAATATGATCTGAAATCTTTTAATTTTAAAAAGTGCCAAGATTTCTAACAAAGAATAGTTAAGTGTGTGAGACCTAAAGACTATTTATTATTTTTCTTGCCTATTTATTCCTAGGAATCTCACGTCTTCATTCTCTGGGCAAGGTTTATGATCTTGTCTTTAAACATGAATCTGTGGCAAAAGGAATGAAAGCTTAACTCTTGCCAGAAATTTAGTTGAAAAGGATTTGCTATCACTTAAGAATTGTTTGGCTTAGTTATTGTTCTGAATGTTTTGAGAAGCTGTTGATTATTTTCTCGAGAAGGGTAGAGGAAGAGAGCACCTAGATATATTTTTGAGTTATATAATGAACACCATTTTCTGAAATAGTATGGTATTTAGGGATGGACATCTGTTGTTTGAGCATAGACTCATTTCTTTTTTAAAATTTTTTATTTTATTTTATTTTTTTGACTCTCTGTTTCTTTAAGCACATTAAGGTGGCACCAGTTAAGAATAAACTAGGACTATTTTTTATCTTTTTATTTCATTTAAAAACTGACTTGACTTTATTAGTTCATACAGTGAGGCAGTACGTTTTTATTCACACAGTTCATTGTCTTGCTGAATATTTTAAGCCGTGTAATTATTATAGAACTTGTGTGTTGATATAGAATGGATTATAGACACTATGTTCGCATTGGTAACAAGCAGTGACTTCAATTTTTAAGAGCAATGATAAACCATAATTATAGAGAATTATTTTTATCTAGGTACAGTCAGCTTTGAATTAACCATACCAACAGGCCAGACAAGTAATCTGCTTTCATTACCACCCAGACACCTCTATACAAGCAATCAAAGCAAACAGCTAGGTGGTGAGAAATCTGCATATCTGCCCCTGGAAACAATGGGGATATACTTATCTAAATCAGCAGTTCCACAGGTCAAAATTATCTTTACAAGAATACTAAGACATCACTCGCCTTTTTCACTCTCATTTCCTCATAAGACTGCTATATCTTGGTATCATAAGAGAATATCATAATAAAATAAGATCATGTGGTAAAAGGTGAAAGTAGTTTTGATGTCCTTTTCCTGTTACCGGTTAGCTACCAATGAAGTACAGATTTTTAGGTTGAGGTGCTTTTAAGGTTCTATGCTGAGAATTTAACCAGGATAGAATGTGGTTTAGAAAGGGAAAAGATGGGTTGTAGACCAAAAAAAAAAAAAAACGGGAGAGATTGAGGATTCAAAATGTATTGAACATTCATTCATTTAACAATTATTTATTGAGCACTTACTGCGTACCAGGTAGTCTTTTAGTTACTAGGAGTATTCCCATAAAGAAAACAGACTAACATGTCTGCCCTCATGGATTTTCCATTCTCATGAGGGGAGACAGTTACAGGATAAATAAATAAAATACATAGTTTATAAATGTGATAAATGCTATAGAGAAAAATAAAGCAGGGAGGGGATAATGGAAAGTTAAGGGCAGAGTGCAGTTTAAATAAAGTGGTCAGAGAAGGCCTCATTGGAAAGTAAAGACTTGAAGGATGTGCGGGAAGAGTGTTGCAGGCTGTGGGCACAGCCAGTGCAAAGGCCCTGTGGTGGAAGCAGGCCTCATATGTTTTTGAAACAGCAGGAAGGCCAGTGTCTGAGCAGTGAGTGCACCAGGGAGAGTGGAAGATGAGGGTGGAAAAACAAGACAAATTGTTGAGGGCCTTGTGGACCATTGTTTAAGCACTTTGGCTTCCACTCTGAGTGAGATGGGAAGCATTTAGTAGTGATTTCATTTTCAGAAATATCAGCTTGTATTTTTCTCAAGGAGCCATTATTCATCAAGCTGCCTGTCAGTAGCTACAATCTTAAATGTAAATGTTCTTAAATGTTTTTGTTTGGAGAAAAATAAAATTTATATTTTTACCAGACTCTTAATGAAAATTGTAGAAAGTTAATTGCTATATTCCTAAAAATGTATAGTTCATTGGATTTGTACATTAATGTACCATTTCATTGAAACAGAACTATTTGTTCTGCATGTTGCTGCAATAATTCTGTATGTGTAGTATTTTTTTTTTTACTTTGGCTATTGTATTTAATGTTGACTTTTTTTTTTTTTTAAAGATGTGTTGGTTAATTGCCTCATACCAGGCTTTGCATTGAAGGCTGATCTTTTTTTGTGCCTGTGCCTGTATCTTTTGCTTGTTTGTGCTTGTGATAATAATTGTGCTTTCCAGCGGACATCGTATCTCAGTTATGAAAATCAATTTTTATAAATGGTTTGATGCAGCTAAAATTCTATTGTGTCTTCTCTTGATTAGCATCTTCTAAAGTACTAAAGAGCATGTGTGAGAATTTCTACAAATATTCAAAGCCTAAGAAAATTCGAGTATGTGTCGGAACCTGGAATGTGAATGGTGGGAAGCAATTTCGCAGCATAGCTTTTAAGAATCAGACACTCACTGACTGGCTTCTTGATGCACCCAAGTTAGCTGGCATCCAGGAGTTTCAAGGTTGGCTTTTTATAATATGGATTTAGTTAATAAATCCTGACTGTGTTGTATTGATCTAGAAAACAAATATAGCACTTCAGAGGATGCATTAATTGATGAAAGAAACTTGGAGCTATACATTTGAAGACCAACAACATCTTTAAAGATCACATCTATTAAAATCTCAGCTTTTTAAAATTTCTAGACCATTATTTTCTACTTCATAAAAATATATGATGGTAAAACAAAAAATCTTTTTTCCATAATTGATTCTCAGGAAATAGGAATTCACACATAGATTTCTTTGAAGGCAACCACACATATAAGAAAATCTAGTTTTGTTTTTATTTTAAATGGACATAAACCAAGATTATGGACATAAACCAAGATTATGTCCATTTAACATTGATCATTTATTAATTTTAATTAAAATTACATAATTAAAATATAATTGATCACTTGAGTTTTATTTTTCAAACCTACTATGTCCCATTTTTCAATTCTTAATCCTCTATTTAGTTACTAAGATAAGAAATGTCAGAGTGGGTCTTGAGCAGCCTTATAAAACTTGTGATATTTATTGGTACTTATGTAATAACTTAAGAGCACTGGTTTATCCTTGAAAAACTTTGTTGGCATTCAGTTTGGGTTCTCTGCACCAAACTGTTAATAAATAGCCAGAACCAAACATTTAGCAGAGGATACTTTTGTTAAGGTTTTGGGCTGGGCACGGTGGCTCACGCCTGTAATCCCAGCACTTTGGGAGGCCGAGGCAGGTGGATCACCTGAGGACAGGAGTTTGAGATCAGCCTCGCCAACATGGTGAAACTCCGTCTCTACTAAAAATAAAAAAATTAGCCGGGTGTGGTGGTGTGCGCCTGTAATCCCAGCTACTCGGGAGGCTGAGGCAGGAGAAATGTTTGAATCCAGGAGGTAGAGGTTGCAGTGAGCGGAGATCCCACCACTGCATCCAGCCTGGGTGACAAGAGTGAAACTCTCAAAAAAACAAAAAAACAAAAAAAAAGAAAGAAAGAAAAAGATTTTGATTAGAATCATGAACTTAATTTTCTTCTTTTTAAAAATTAACTTTAATTCCTTTTTAAAATAGTATATAATTACCAAGTTTTATATGTGAGGGTGATGTGTATAGGAAATGGTGTGAGATAAAATTTTTCTTTTTTAGTTATTTTTCATCAGTTTCATCTTAAACCCTGGGATTCTCCCCAAACTTTTTATTAAAATACCTTTCTTTCTTTTCTTTTTCTTTTTCTTTTTCTTTTTTTTTTTTTTTTTTTTTTTTTGAGATTGAGTTTAGCTCTTGTTGCCCAGGCTGGAGTGCAGTGGCAGGATCTCGGCTCACTGCAACCTCTACCTCCCGAGTTCAAACGATTCTCCTGCCTCAGCCTCCTGAGTAGCTGGGATTACAGGCATCTGCCACCGTGCCCGGCTAATTTTTTGTATTTTTAGTAGAGATGGGGTTTCACCATGTTGGCCAGGCTGGTCTCAAACTCCTGACCTCAGGTGATCCACCCGCCTCGGCTTCCCAAAGTGTTGTGATTACAAGCGTGAGGCACTGCACCTGGCCTAAAATGCCCTTTCTTACTTAATTGAACCTAACTTGAAGTTGTGATAGTAATGATAATAAAATAACAGCTAACACTATAATTCTATGTACCTTACATGTGTTCATTTAATCCTCAGAGCTGACCTATTATTTCATAGACACCATTATTCCAATTTTACAGATGAGGAAACTGAGACATTGAAAGGGAAGGAACCTGCCCATGTTTGTGCAGTAGTGGCAAAGCCAGGATTTGAACTCAGGCAGTTTGGCTTTAGAGTGTGTATGCCAGGCTGCATTTTATGTGTGAACTTGGGCAAGCTTCCTGTTTGTAAATAAAAGATAAAAATAATCTTTCTTAGAAGATGTTTTTATGGCAGTTTAAATAAGATGATGTATGCATGAGACTTGCACATAATAGCAGTCAATAATTTTTTTTTAATTTCAGTGTTAGTTCAGACTATTTATAGGCTCTTCTTTTTTTTTTCTTTTTGAGACAGGGTCTTTCTCTGTTGCCCAGGCAGTGGTGCAGTCTCCATATCATAGGTCACGATAACCTCAAACTCCTGGGCTCAAGAGATCCTCCCTCCTCAGCCTTCTGAATAGCTAGGCATGCCACCATGCTAAGCTAATTTTTTTATTTTTATTTTTTTGTAGTGATGGGGGTCTCACTATGTTGCCCAGGCTGGTCTCAAACTCCTGGCTTCAAGTGATCCTCTCACCTCAGCCTTCCAAAGTGTTTGGCATTACAGGCAGGGGCTGTAGCATCTGGCCATATAGGCTCTTTCTAGCTATTTGTCCTCATTTCTAGAAACTTGGGGCACCCGAAGTCTCCCTGGGCTGCTTTCTCAGGCAGCTCTGTTCTCCGTTAGTCCTTGTAGTTTCCAGAGTGCCAGCAGCTAGACAGAGTGATGTGTCTTACTTTCTGGATCTCTCCTAGTTTTCCTGGATTTCTTTCACCCAGAAAATAGCAAAAAGATCAAGATTATGTTTTTCAAATATGAATGTGAAAAATTCCTCCCAACTGTTACCAGCAATTTGAGGTAGTTTCTCAGTCACTTTATTCTTTGTGCCTTTTCTGAATAATTTCTCTCTCCAGTTTTATGTGAGATTTTGATTTGAGAAATGATTTGTTTCTGTGCTGTCCCTGGTAAAAACTTTAGCAAGAGTTTTTTCAAAGTGAATTCTGAAAGGGCTTAAGAATCTTCAAGGATAACCGTCTTAAAGAAGCAAACTTAGGACACCCTAATAGAAAGTAAATTTTAATAATTTCATTCCACTCAAGAGTGTTTGCCTTTAATATGAATTTGGTTAAACTCAAAACACAGAAATCAGTCTTTATGAGACCTGGTGTTATGTTGTGTTGGATGGGGTTGCTATTTGCCTGAGGCTATATTTAAAAGTATTTCTTGGATGCTTAATTTTAGATAAAAGAAGTAAGCCAACTGATATATTTGCAATTGGTTTTGAAGAAATGGTAGAATTGAATGCTGGAAACATTGTGAGTGCAAGGTAAGCTAGCCACATTAATCCACTGAAAAATTTGCCAGTTGAGGGAAACTATGGAGGACAGATAATTAAGTAATTGTTACAAGGATAGTTTGAAATAATAAATGGAAGGGTGCTCGTAAAACTGTAAAAGAGCATTTCTCATACTTTTGGGTCTGAGGATCTCTCTGCACACTTAAAAATATTGAGAATGTTAAATAACTTTTGCTAATGTTGTTTATATCTTTGTTATATTAGGAATTAAAAATGAAAATTTAAAAACATTTAATTCACTTAAAAACAATAATAAACCTATTACATGCTAACTTAAAATAAATTTTTTGAAAAATAACTTTTTCAAAACAAAAAATTTACTGAGAAGGGTGGCACTGTCTTGTAGTTTTCCAAATCTCTTTAATGTCTAGTTTAAGACAGCCAGATTCTTACATCTACTTCTGTGTCAGTCTGCTGCAGTATGTTGTTTTGATTGAAGTATATGAAGAAAAATCACATAACTATGTAGTTTGAAAAGGAAATATTTTAATAACCTTTCTAGATAATTTCTTCTCTGATACTACACCAAAACAGATAATTTATTCTCTGCTGTAGTATAGATAACAGAGAAGTATTATCTTGGTGTAGTGTGTGGATAAGACACTATACCAAATGGTAGTGTCCTAAAGGTTAGTTGCAAAATGGAATCTGAAACCATATTGATGAACTTTTTCTGCTCTATTATCTAAAATTCATCTTTTACCTTTGCGTGATTTTGTAACATCATGTATTGGTCACTTGGGTTCCCTAAGTTATGTAGCACTTCCAAATTTTAACACATTTCATTATATAATATCAAAGCATCATATTGGTTAATTACCAGCATTGGTAACTGCATCAGAAAATAATTGTTGGGAAGCTGTAAGGATCATGGTAGCAGATACAAGTTTTCCAGAATACTAATTTTTGCCTGAAAACGCAAGTTTTTCCATTGAAAACAAATGCTCTTGGTTGTTTTTCTTAAAGAGACAGGCTTAGTTGAAAAAAATGCCACATAACCTAAATCTGAATAACCACCGTCTGTCATTAGTTCTTTTAAGGGAAAATTGTATTCCAAAAAAAAAGTGGCAGTTTGACTCACAATTTAAAGCATTTTCTTTTTTTGTTACAGATCATAAGTCAGTATGCAACACAAGTGCTTTGTATGTATTTCCTGTGTATCACACAGAATATTAAAAAGATGTGACCTGGGTTGAGCTTTAATAAAATCAATAATGTCTGTTGCTTCATCAAGGACATTCTTAGGCGAAGTGGCATTTTTTTTTTCCTGCAAGTATATGGCAGTGGGGATTGTAATGATGACTAGTATAGTTTGGTGCCTAAATTCGAGTGAAAGCACCAGCACTTTTACCCATTGTTGCTTTTGCACCATCAGTGCAAATGTTAGTCAACACAGTGAAAGATGTCTTAATAGTATGATGAAAATAGTTGTGACCCCATGGGCTTTGGGAACCCTCAAAGATGTCTCCAGATCACACTTTGGGAACGCTGTTCTGAATCCATATTATAAATACAAATTATATGAGTGAGGCTTAAAACTTCAGTGTTTTATTTTAACAAAGTATGCTTGCTTTTAAATTTCAGCAGTTTCCCATCTTTTATGACATTTTTAAAGATTTTTAGGAGAAAATTATAGGCTGAAATAGTCATCAATCTTGCAAGTGACAAATATTTTATTAGGCAAAATGAAAAACAATTCACATCAGGAAAATTGGAAAGAAATCAACTTCACCCATTTTGTTGTTTGATTATGTTTCCTGAAAAATATATTCAGGTCCTAAACTAGACTATAACTCTGAGGGTTCCTAGTACTAAGTGCATGGATCAATTGTTTGTCTAAATAGAGTTTAATCAAATTCTTCTTTAGGCTAGGTTTAATCAAATTCTTTAGGCTGGGTGTGGTGGCTCATGCCTGTAATCCCAATGCTTTGGGAGGCCAAGGCAGGTGGATCACTTGAGGTCAGGAGTTTGAGACCAGCCTGGCCAATATAGTGAAACCCTATCTCTACTAAAAATACAAAAAAATCAGCTGGACGTGGTGCCCCGTGCCTGTAATCCCAGCTACTCAGGAGGCTGAGGCAGGGAGAATCGCTTGAACCTGGGAGACGGAGGTTGCAGTGAGTGGAGATCGCACCACCGCACTCCGGCCTGAGTGACAGAGCAAGACTCTGTCTCAAATATGTATATGTATATATATATACACACATGCACACACACACACACACACACACACACACACACACACACATATATATTCTTCTTTAATAAAGTAGTGAATATTTATTCATTTATTTAAGCAGTACCTACTGAGTACCACTCTTAAGTACCTCCAATGAATCAAACAGACAAAAATCCCTATCTTCATGGACTTCGTATTCTAGTGGGAAGAAACGGACAGTGAACAATAACAACAATAAGTAAATTATACAGCATGTTAGAAAAGTGCAATGGAAAAGAGAGGAAAAGGAGATCAACTATAGGGACACAGGGAAGTGTTGGAAGTCTCAAATGAATGATCAAGATAAGGTTCATTGAGAAGATGAGGAATGAGTTTCAGCTACTTGCGGGGCTGAGGTGGGAGGATCGCTTGAGCTCAGGCAGAGGTTGCAGTGAACCGACATCCTGCCACAGCACTCCAGCCCTGGGTGACAGAGTGAGACCCCATCTCAAGAAAAAAAGAGAGATTAGGAGACATGACAAGCAAATGCAATATGTAGACCTTGTTTGGACCCTTTTTAAAGAAACAAACCAACTGTTAGAAGATTTTTTTTTAATAAATGGGGAACTTTAAGTATAAACTATTAGATGATATTAAGGAATTATTAATGTTTAAATGTGATAAGGTGAAGAGGATGGAAAAAATAGATTGGCAAAATGTTGGTAATTTTGAAATGGGTATATGGTGGTTTGTTTAATGATTATGTCTTCTAATTTCCCATAGCAAGATTTTTTAAAAAGACATTAGTTATAATTTAGAAAAATTTTGAAAAGTGGGGAAATGTATTTGGAAGCACATATAGTCACATATATGTGCACAGTTAGCTGTCCTTATCCATGGGTCTGACATCTTTGGATTCAACTCATCAAAATATTAAATATTTTTTAAAATTGTGTCTATACTGAACATGTGTAGCCTTTTTTTTTTTGTCTTTTTTACTTGCAGACTTTTTTGTATCGTTATTCCCTAAACATTACAATATAACAACTAATTACATTGTATTAGGTATTATAGGTAATCTAGAGATGATTTAAAGTATACGAGAGATTTACATGGGTTATATGCAAGTATTACTCCATTTTATGTAAGGGACTTGAGTATCCTTGGATTTTGGTATCATGGGAGGTCCTGAAACCAATCTCCCACAGATACTTCTATACTTCTCTGTGATCTTAATGAATACTTAAGGAAAAAGTAAAATGTATAAGTTTGAATTTACTCACCCAGTGAGTAGCCATTTAATGTCTTTATATTTTCTTTGTAAAGAAGTAATAGATTAGATTTTGAAATGTGGTTTTCTTTTGGCTAAATTGTAGATTTTCCTTTTTAAAGGAAACAAAAACAGCCTAAGCTTCCTTCAGAGTCTTAGGATATTTGGGTAGATAAAGGTATAATTGACAATTGTCATAAAATAGGCTATTGTCAATACCTTTTTAAAAAATTCTCTTTTTAATATTTTCTTGTAGCACAACAAATCAGAAGCTCTGGGCTGTAGAACTTCAGAAGACAATCTCCAGAGACAACAAGTATGTGCTGCTGGCTTCTGAACAGTTGGTGGGCGTCTGTTTGTTTGTTTTTATCAGACCACAGCATGCTCCTTTTATCAGGTCAGTAAACAGAACACTCCTCTAAGGCTACTTCCTACCATTAAATAACAAGAAAAAAGCCTAGAATGTTTATTGTTTCAGTTCTTCAAACAAAAACTATCCATAGTTCTTGTTTTAAAATGGGGTTTTGGGGGTTTTGATTAAAGACTCACCAATAGCTTCACTGTACTATTTCAAAGGCTTGCCCTCAAAGTACCATACCATGTGTACTTAAATGATTATGTATATTCCTCATTTCCTATGCACATGGAACTCTTGAAATTTCAAATCTGCGATTTAGAATTCTTTGTTTCAAAGGGATGTTGCAGTTGATACTGTGAAGACTGGAATGGGAGGTGCAACTGGAAATAAGGGAGCAGTTGCAATCCGAATGCTCTTCCATACAACCAGCCTTTGCTTCGTCTGTAGCCACTTTGCTGCAGGGCAGTCACAAGTCAAAGAAAGAAATGAAGATTTTATAGAAATAGCACGAAAATTGAGTTTTCCTATGGTAAGCTCTTGCTGCTTGTTCTTGAAGATAAAGCTTTGAAATATATTTTAATTTGCCCCAAATTCTACATCAATGTTTTTGGAAATTTAAGATAGTTCCTAGAAACATTAAGAATATTCACCTAAATAGATATTTCATGAGTATTAACCCAAAATATCTGAGACAGGGCTCAGTCAATTTAGAAAGTTTATTTTGCCAAGGTTAAGGATGTGGCCATGATATAGCCTCCAGAATTCAGAATGACATGTGCCCAAGGTGGTCGGGGGTACAGTTTGCTTTTATACATTTTAGGGAGACCTGAGACATCAGTCAGTATGTGTATGATGTACACTGGTTTGGTCTGGTAAGGCAGGACAACTCGAAGTGGGGGCTTCCAGGTTAGAAGTAGATAAGACGCAAAAGGTTGCATTCTTTTAAGTCCTAGATCAGCCTTCCACTGAATACACAATTTAGTGTGGCTCAGTGAATCTGCATTTTTGCATAAACAATAGGGCAGAGGAAGCAGTCAGATGTGCATTTGTCTCAGGTGAGTCTCAGAGGGATGACTTTGAGTTCAGTCTATACTTTGTCCACAAGGAATTTCCTGTGGGCAAATTGTGAGGGAGTTATGTAGCTTCTTATCTTTGGAGCTATCTTATTTAGGAGTAAAATGGGAGGCAGGTTTACCTGTCATAGTTCCTGGCTTGATTTTTCTCTGGGCTTAGTGATTTTGGGGTCCTGAGATTTATTTTCGTTTCACATGTGTTATTACTGTTGGGTCAAAGAAACAGGACATGGGAGGAGACAAGCATATCTCAGGCAAAGAAATAGTTGTAAAACATTTTTGAACATTGATTGTTTTGAATTTAAAATTCTATCTCATTGCTTTCAGGGAAGGATGCTATTTTCCCATGACTATGTATTTTGGTGTGGTGATTTCAACTATCGAATCGATCTCCCTAACGAAGAAGTTAAAGAGCTCATAAGACAGCAAAATTGGGATTCTCTTATAGCAGGAGATCAACTTATCAATCAGAAAAATGCTGGACAGGTATATCTATACTTGAGAAAATACTTGCATTAAGATTTTGGGTCGTGAAACATGCCTTTTTAAATCAAGATGTTTTAAAATTTTCTTGGGGTCTTTTTGTACTTAAATATGCATCTGTAGGTAAACAGATAATAGAATTATCTTTCCTTAAAGTGTAGCAGGATGAGCTGCAGACAAGAACCCTTCAGACACCAAGTTGTAGAAGGAAAGGGCTTTATTCAGCTGGGAGCAGCAGCGGACTCACGTCTCCAAAAACCGAGCTCCCCGAGTGAGCAATTCCTGTCCCTTTTAAGGGCTTACAGCTCTAAGGGAGTCCATGTGAGAGGGTCGTGATCGATTGAGCAAGCAGGGGGTATGGGACTGGGGGCTGCATGCACTGGTAATCAGAATGGAACAGGACAGGGATTTTCACGATGCTTTTCCATACAATGTCTGAAATCTATAGATAGCACAAGCGGTTAGGTCAAGGGTTGATTTTTAACTACCAGGCCCAGGGCACAGTGCTGGGCTATCTGCCTGTGATTCCATTTCTGCCTTTTAGTTTTCACTTCTTTCTTTGGAGGCAGAAATTGGGCATAAGACAATATGAGGGGTGGTCTCCTCCCTTATTCCCCCCTTTGAGAACTTCACTCATTAATGGGAGTTCTCACTTTCATCCTCATTACCCATGTCTTCTTGCAAGACAGATTGATAGTGATTCATATGGTACACTTGCGCTGAAGCATTTTGGTGAGCTAAGGTAGTGATGAAGCTTTTTATCATTTGAAGAAGTACAAGTAGCAAACAAGGGAGCAGTAAGCAGGTTCCTATTACTATTATAACTCCTATTATAAGAGTTTTAAATCCTCCTAGCACTGGGAACCATTTTTCAAACATGGCCCCCGGATCAAATCCATGCCACACTTGCACAGGCACATGTGTCAGTTTTGTCATATCTCTAATTATGTCTTCAACTACTTGCCCTTCATCATCTGTGTATAGACAGCAATTAGTAAGGTTAAATTTCCCACAGACCCCCACCTTCAGCTGCTAGCAAGTAGTCGAGAGCCAATCTATTTTGATAGATAGCATTTCTCATCTGAGACTCTTGCCAGGGCAGTATAGTCAAGGCTCTGCCAGTTTTATTAGTGATTATTTCTAAGACAGCTTGTAACCGTATGATTCGGTTGAGCATGTAAATGGGGGTCCAGTATCCCCACGAGCCATCTTGTGCCCAAGTAGCAGGTCTGTAATATTGTATGATTCTCTCAGGGGGCCATTCATCATCTTTCCAATTTCCTATAGCTATGCTTCTCTTTTCTCGGGCAGCATAGACAGGGAAACCCAGGAGTTTGCCTGTCTTTATGGGCAGTAGGAAGAAAGATGGTTTAATAGTGCCAATAACACAACTACCTGTCCACTGGTTGGATAATTTGGCACAAGCTCTATGCCCACATATACAGTATAATCCAGTGGGGGCTGTCCAGTCCTGGTGGGACTCCGGATGGGTCCACACGGTTTGCAACTTTGGGAATTTACTAAATGGATTCCTTTCTGTGTGATTTGAACTCCACCAAGTGACTGTTTTTGTGGTACCATTATACAGTTTCTGTCCCAGACAACTAAGTCATCCTACGGGGTGAGTGAATTCTTTTCCTTCTCCAGCTATGCAATATTGTCCAATAATTGAGGTTTTTAGGACCCAGAAATTATCAGGGTGATTCTTTTGAGCTGGGAATTCATCAGGAACTGGGTCTGTAGGTACTAATTCTCGGGCTTCTCGTGGCCATTGATCTCCCATTACAGTTCCTCCACATACATAATGTGAAGCAACATTGAGAGACTAGGCTACATGCTTGGCTAATTGCAAAAACAAATTTCTTGTTTTTCCTGGAATTTCTGGTACTGGCACATTTAGTTCATCATAGAAAGTTTGAAGCACTGGCTCAGGAGAGTGTTTGTAAACTTCTCCTCGAACTAAGATATTTACTCGAGGATCCAGTCCAGCCCCATTGATTCCTAAGGTCACACGCTCCCCTTTTTTCCAGCGAGGATCAAGGGGATTGGTTATTACTAGCTCTAAGGGGTTACATTGTCCCTTAGTACAGGAAGGGCCACTTTTTCCTTTCTGAAGCTGCACTGGATCCTTTTCATTTTTTATCCAAGTGGCCCAAATGACACCAGTATCCACATTGATTTCCACACAGTCCTAATTCATGACAAATATACTTATTTTTGGTCATATAGCCTTTTTCCCAATCAAAAGCCACACCCCTTCCTAACTTATTGCTCTTAATGACAGCACAGGCATCAAATTTCAAGATTATGCGTTTGGGCACCCCTTTTTCTTCTGTTTTGGCTAATACTTGTATCATTTACAAGTCCCCATCAGTCTTCAGTCCTTAATCTTACTTCAAAAACTGTGGACCTGGGAGGCCACAGAGGGATCATAACACACATCTGGGCAGTCGTTTCCTAGGCTACATACCTCGTACTGAGTGTCATTATATAAACACGTTCCTTTTAAAGTTCCTAGGCATTCATAGTAACTATAGAACAGAAAGATTGTTTTAACTTGTTACCCTACCTCAGTAACCTGATGTATACACTGAGAGCAGTCTTCTATGCAGGGAAAATCAGTGGAAGTTTTTACTATACAAGTCCAAATTATAAGGAAAATGAGTCCCACGATGATTCTCCTCATGCCTCGGCCGTGCGTAGACCAGTCAGCTTCCGGGTGTGACTGGAGCAGGGCTTGTCATCCTCCTCAGAGTCACTTTCAGGAGTTGTCTGGGCTCGGTTTTGCCTCCCAAGTTTCAGCAGCTGCAGGTTTCACACGGCTGTGGTGGATCCAGGCTGGGATTCCTTCTCCTTTACAGCCGTGGGGGTGGTCAGGATGATGGTGTGAGGTCTTTTCCACTGTGGCCGCAAAGGGACTACGTTCCAGTCCTTGATCCACATGCGATCACTTGGAGAGAAAGGGTGAACTGGGGAGAATAAGCTGACGGGACACCTCTCATTTACCCAAGTTGAGATTGTTTGTGTAATTTTTCCCAAAGCCCGTAGCTGTCACTGTAACTCAATTTCACCTAACTCTCGGGGAGTGCCTGGAAGTCCCCCTAGTATAGGAGGAGGCCTATGATACAGTATTTCATAAGGGGAGTATCCTGTTAGAAGGGATGCATCTAATTTTAAACAATACCATAGGAAGGGCCTGTATCCATTTTAATCCTGTTTCCTGACATACTTTCCCTAAACTATTTTTGATAGTCTGATTCATTCGCTCCACCTTTCCAGAACTCTGAGGTCAGTAGGCGGCATGTAGTTTCCAAGTGATTCCTAATGCCTTTGCTGTCTTCTGTACCAAGTCAGCCACAAACACCGGCCCGTTATGTGAGCCAATTCGTAAGGGCAGTCCAAACCTAGGAATAAGATCTCGGAGAAGCACACGGGTTACTTCGTAGGCCTTTTCAGTTTGTGTTGGATAAGCCTCCACCCACCCAGAGTAAGTACACACAAGAACCAGCAAATACTTGTTACCTTCACATTTTGGCATTTCTGTGAAATCCACCTGAAGACCCTCAAAAGGAGCCGCTCCATAAGCTTGTATGCTGGGTGGAACCGTGGGGCCTTGCCTCACATTGCGCTGTCAGCAAGTAACACACCATTGTGCTACTGCTTTGGCAAGGGCTGGCAAGTGTGAGATGTAGAAGTACCGGCCTAACAACTTTTCAAGTGACTCTTGACCTAGAAGAGTGGTTTCATGCATGGCCAGTACGACTGTGGCTCTCAGCAACTGTGGCACAGCTACCTTCCCATCTGGCAGTCTGATCCATCCTTCTTTTATTACTTGCCCCACTTCTGTGTGGAAAAAGTCTTTTTCTTCCTTAGAATAGGTAGGTACCAGGTCAGGTGTTTGAGGGAGTAAGGGGGCTGCTACTGATGCACAGTAAGGGGTAGATGCTGCTTTTCGAGCTTCTGAGTCAGTTTGGGAGTTTCCTAAGGCCACTGAGGTGGAGGCTCGCTGGTGTCCCCTGCAGTGCATGACTGCCACCTTCTGAGGTTTCCACACTGCCTCTAATAATTGTAGAATTTCTTGTTGATATTTTATGTCCTTTCCCCTAGAGTTTAACAGGCCCTTTTCCTTATATAATGCTCCATGCACTTGGAGGGTTAGAAAGGCATATCAAGAGTCAGTGTAGATGTTTACAGTCTTACCTTCACTGAGTTCTAGAGCCCGAGTTAAAGCAATGAGCTCAGCCTTCTGGGCTGAAGTGCCCTGTGGCAATGGTTTGGCTTCAATGACAGCGTTCAAAGTTACCACCGCATATCCTGCACATCTTTCTCCATGTGGATTGATGAAGTTGCTCCCGTCCATGTATAACTCCCAGTCTGCTGATGCCCATGGCTGGTCCCGAAGGTCAGGTCTGCTAGAATAAACTGAGTCCAACATGTCTACACAGTTATGCTTGACCAGGCTCTCTGATACTGGGAGCAGGGTGGCGGGATTTAGGGTGTTACAGACGTCAGTGATTATGCGGGGATTTTCACATAGCAAGCTTTGGTACTTGGTTAATCTAGCATTTGTTAGCCAATGATGTCCTTTGGTATTCATCAAAGTTACCACAGTATGGAAGGCCTTTATATTCAGGTTTTGCCCAAGGGTTAGTTTATCTGCTTCTTGTGCTAACAGGGCCATTGCTGCCAGGGCCCTTAGACATGGGGGCCAGCCTTTGGAAACCCCATCTAGTTGTTTTGAGAGATAGGCCACTGGCCTTGGCCAGAGCCGCACAGTCTGGGTTAAAACTCCAACTGCCATTTTTTATCTTTCTGACACATAGAGTGTAAAGGGGTTTGTCAAATCTGGTAGTCCTAGGGCTGGGGCCAACATAAGTTTTTCCTTTAACTCATGGGGGCCTGCCATGCGCTGCTGTGGTGAGGCGTTCGACCGGGGCAATTACCTACCCGGAAGTGCTCTCAGGATCCGCATTGCTCAAGCTGGCCGGAGTCCCCCACAGGGATGTGCCACAGGGCAGGCCTAAGCCACCTAAGGGGCTGCCTTGACCATCCGTTAATCACCTCACTTCCCGGTCGGGGAACCAAGAAATGTAGCAGGACGAGCCTCAGACAAGAACCCCTCAGACACCGAGTTGTAGAAGGAAAGGGCTTTATTCAGCTGGGAGCATCGGCAGACTTGCGTCTCCAAAAACTGAGCTCCCCGAGTGAGCAATTCCTGTCCCTTTTAAGGGCTTACAACTCCAAGGGGGTCCGCGTGATAGGGTCATGATCAATTGAGCAAGCAGGGGGTATGTGACTGGGGGCTGCATGCACCAGTAATCAGAACAGAACAGGACAGGGATTTTCATGATGCTTTTCCATACAGGCCTGAAATCTATAGGTAACACAAACAGTTAGGTCAGGGGTTGATTTTTAACCACCAGGCCCAGGGCGCAGTGCTGGGCTATCTGCTTGTGGCTTCCATTTCTGCCTTTTAGTTTTTACTTCTTCTTTCTTTGGAGGCAGAAATTGGGCATAAGACAATATGTGGGGTGGTGTCCTCCCTTAAAAGTAATAAAAATAGGAAAGAGAAAACCCATAATAATTCCCATAAAGAAAAATATATTATGTATCTATAAGATTCACTTTCAAATAGAAGGATAAACTTTTTTTTCCTTGGTGATAGTTTAGAATCTTCATCTTTAGGGCTGTTTTTTTTTTGGGTTAAGTCCTGTGGTTATTGACTTTTCTTTTGTTTCTATGTCATCTGACTTTTGAAACACTTCTTAAAGCTTATGACCACAAAATTTGGGAAGAATTTATTAAATTTTTTTTTTTTTTTAGGTAAAAGGATCAGTGGCCATCTGGTATGGTGCCTGGTGATCACCAGACTTGAATCTTTGGGCACCACATTACCTTTTCAGGCCTCAGCACCTCATTGAGAATAAGATATCAGGCTAGATGTTTCCAGAATCCCATTTACAGTTCCAAATGTCTCATATAGCTCAAAGATCAGGCAGAATTCCCTTATTCATGTAGTTAGTTTAATCAAATGTCAAACAAGTGGTATTGAAGCAGGATATTTCCCTGACTGCTTCGCAGGTGGGAACTGGAGTGCATGGGCACTGGCGGGGCGAACTCTGCTCACTTGACCCACTGCACTCCACCCCTGTAGGAGGGGGAGTTCTGGTAAGTGAGTGCAGGAGCTGGGGTGAGCGCTTTTGGGCACCGGCAAGAGCGAACTTTGTACCAGGCCCGTGGCAGTGTCTAGGGGAGGGTGCCTCCAACCCCTGAAGCCCCACAGAAAGTGTTACAGTGCTGTTTTAGCTCTGCTGCCTGCAGATGGCTTAAGTGTTAACAGCTTAGTGGGGGGTCAGTGCGACAGCCTTATGCTCCCACACTCATGGCACCCGAGTTCTTATCTGGTGTCCAGGAGGAATGAGGTCACATGAACGAATTGAAGATGGTAAATATGGGGTATTTTATTGCCGATGAAAATGGCTCTTGGCAGGAAGGGGAGCTGAAAAGGGGACAGAGCAATAAGATAATCTTCCCCTGAAATCCAGCCATCCCATGGCCAGACTCCTCTCCAAAACTGTGCTGCCAAGCTGTCCCTTTGAAGTCAAGCTGCTTCTCTCTGACATCCAGCTGCCTCTCCTCTCTCTGCCAGCTGAGCCTGGGGTTTTTATGGGCACAGGATTGGGGGCAAGGCAGGCCATGGGTGGTTTTGGAAAAAGCAACATTCGAGCGAGAAAACAGGGATATAAGTTCTCATTTGGGGCTGTGGTAACAGACTTTTTGGCTTGAGGGTGGGACCCAGCAAAGGGACCCACCCACTTCTGCCCAGAATTTCCCTGTCTCCTGTCCCTATGGGTATGAAAAATGCTATGTCTCAGGTTATTTTTCTAAGCTTTGTTCCATTCAGCTAGAAGTGTTCATCAGACGCATACAGATTTCTTCTGAGAGCATCCAGCATGTAATAGACATTTAATGGATGACTGTCTGAATGAAAACAGAACTTGTTGCTGTTTGGGAATAACTTACTTTGTATATGTTTATTTTAGGTTTTTAGAGGATTTTTAGAAGGAAAGGTAACCTTTGCTCCGACATATAAGTATGACTTGTTTTCTGACGACTATGACACCAGTGAAAAGTGCCGCACCCCTGCCTGGACAGACCGTGTCCTTTGGAGAAGGAGGAAATGGCCTTTTGATAGATCAGGTTGGGAAATGGGCTTCTTTATTTAAATGAACTAATGTAAACTTATGAGGAAGCAGGGAATGACATAATATCAAATGAGGAGAATATTGTTTTTCAAGAAACATTAACTGGAATAGAATAAATAAAATTTAAATATGTCAGATTTTTAGAAATATCAGATCTGTTTATAATAACTTATTTAATTTTTCAGCCTATTTTCATATAATTTCATGTAAAGAGAAGCAAGGAAATATTTTTGTGAAATTTTTAATTGAAGCTAATTTAGGTTTTTAAGCTAACTTTAGTGGTTTGCATATGTTTTGAACTGCCACTTGTCTCTTGAATTGTTTATGAAACACCATTTAGTCCCAGTCCTTTAAGTAATCTTGGAAATAAAGCCAGATCTTAATTTTTACTAAATAAAGCATAAAATGATAACTTTACCAAAACCTTTCGAATTTAAAGGTATTTAGACTGCCTGCCTATTACCAAGTGTTTCTGGCATTCCAGCCTCAAACCACTGAAGCTCATGAAAGGAAGGAGAATGCCTCTTTGCTCTACACGATCTGTCCTGCTTATACAGCTTCTCTTGTGTTTTCATTTCTTCTGACTGCAGCTGAAGATCTAGATCTTCTAAATGCTAGTTTTCAAGATGAAAGCAAAATTCTGTACACGTGGACTCCAGGCACTTTGCTGCACTATGGAAGAGCTGAGCTGAAGACTTCTGACCACAGGTTTAAGCAGTCTCAGTTTTTCTAATAGTGTTTGAAATTTGTTTGAAATACACCCTTTTAAAAACATTTCTAATACATCTATCTTCCTTTATGCCTTAAGGCCTGTCGTTGCCCTGATTGATATAGATATATTTGAAGTTGAAGCTGAAGAGAGGCAAAACATTTATAAAGAAGTAATTGCAGTTCAGGGTCCACCAGATGGTACAGTATTGGTCTCAATCAAAAGTTCTTTACCAGAAAATAATTTTTTTGATGATGCCTTGATTGATGAGCTTCTGCAGCAGTTTGCAAGTTTTGGTGAAGTTATACTTATAAGGTAAGATGTTTATTATGCAAAAGTAGCTTGTGATTCATAAACAATCATTTCTATATAGAAATCACCTTATTTGGGGAAGGAGAGAATTTTAAAAAAGAAAGATACCACCTTATTTAGTGTTTAGTATATGAGTATTTTTATTTCCAAACTAAAGCAAGATCATACTGTGGATATTATTCTGTAGGTTTTTATAACTGAATTCTCAACTTAGAAAGTTTAAATGAATAGTGAAACTTTTTTTTTAAGACAGGGTCTCACCCAGTCACCCAGGCTGGAATGCAGTCATGTGTTCATGTCTCACTGCAGCCCCAACCACCCAGGCTCAAGCAATTCTCCCACCTCAGCCTCCCAAATAGCTGGGTCTGCAAGTGCACACCACCACACCTGGCTAAGTTTTGTTTTGTTTTGTTTTGTTTTTGTAGAGGCAGGGTTTCACCATGTTGCCCAGGCTGGTCTCAAACCCCTGGCCTTAAGCGATCTGCCCAGCTCAGCCCCACAAAGTGCTGGGATTACAGGCGTGAGCCACCATACCCAGCTAAACAGTGAAACTTTATGTGAACAATTGAAAACAAAAATAGGTGCAAGTTCAGATATGAACTCTCACGATTCCTATACAATAGAACATGTAACAAAACCCTATAACAAAATGAAGCTGTGATTGCTATTTTTTTTTAAGGAGAGATAAGAATGACTCCCTCCCTGCCTCAGTTAAAGAAATTTGAGTAATTTTAAGTATGTTTAATTTCTAACAGAGATGTGATGACTAGTCAAGAGTCATTCCTTCTAGTCTTGGTTTCCCTCATTGATCTAGCCATCTGCCTTTTGCAGAACCAGATGCCTGTTTCCTTGTTTTAAAAATGTTCTCTTCCAACTATACAGCAGTTTTGAGAGACTGAATGATGTGCATGTGTGCATGTGTTTGGATTTCATAGGGAAAGAGGTACCATTAAATCCCTTTAAATACCATTCATTTGCTTAGTTAGGTATGTTTGATAGATATTTGGTGGGCAGATCTCTATACTAGTTGCTGTAGAAGAGCAGAGGAGAAATGGAAGATACAACTCCTGCTTGTAATCTAGTAGGGAAAGTCAGCATGTGTGTAATGACACCCCCAGATCCTAAAGGGCGTAGTCCACAGAATTAAGATGGTATGGCTTCTACAGAGTGAAAATCAAAGACACCTCAAGTCCTTTCAGAGAGTAAATGAACAAATGGAGAAGAAATTGTGTTTAGACTTTCCTCAAATCTTTTGACAAAGGTCTATCCCAAAGCTTTCAAATTAAACAAAACAAAACATTTCAAAAATCTTAAGGTTCTTGAAAGTACACAGTGAAATCTGCAAGTGTACAGATGACAGTATACTTTGCCAAGTACAGAAATGCCAAACCACCAGAAGCATCATGTAGACTGTGTGAGTGGGCAGCAGAGTAGCAGATAAATGTCTTCCTGAGCAAATGTAAAATACTGCACTGAGCTACAAAGAATCCAAACTGTATAAGGGATGAAAGACTCTGATACAGGAAAGGGACCTGTCTTTATAACCCAACCTCTAAAGAACTTGTTAAATTGAAGCCAGAAGGTTTCCCACAAATGTTTGTCATCATTAGGAAAAGTATTGGTAAGAAACTAAGGCATTAACCTAACATTATAAAACCATGGGGTGTCTCCAACCTGGAATATTGGTTGTTAAACCCCAAGATGACTAAGTTGGAAGAGAAAAAGCAAACACTGAAAGTCAACAAGGAGAGGATCTCTATAAGTAGTGAGAAGAAACTGATTATTACCTTTTAGTCTAGATTAAGACAGCCATTAAGGAGTGAGTAAACCCTGTGAACCCCTTTATTTTTAAATAAGAGGTTCCCTGGAAATGTGTATGGGATAAATTTAAATACATATAGATGCTTACATTAATTGAAGGAAGAGTCTAGAAGCTTTTACTGTAGTGAGTGAAAGCAGGAAGAAAATATAGCTTCCAAAAGAACTTACATAAATCAATAGATATAAGAACCAGAATCCCTTGTTAAAGTTAGAAATGTGTAAGGGGCACATTGCTGATTGAGAATAAGGACAAAGATATTAGCCCTAACCCAGGACCACAAAAGTGTTGGTACCTATCAAAGAACAAATAATGTTTGGGGTCTTAGGGGACTGGTGCAGCATAAATGTATGCTTACAGTGGTGATTATAACCTTTGGAGGAGGGATAGTCTCCATTGCCAACAATCTGAAAAAGATACCTTCGTGTAGTTAGGTAAGAATGGTCTCCCTGTGTATTTCAAAGGATAGCATCCTGCAATTTAGTTTTATGCCAAAGAAATTGAGTCAGTTGCCTTGGTCATATCTGTGGGATTGTAGAAATCGGTTCCCTCCAGGCCCTTGATTTTACCAGGGTGAAGTACTTATGCACACTTTTGTTTTGGCCTTTTCCTCTTAATATTCATAATTCATACTTTGGAATCCTAGTTTAAGTAGGGGGTTAGGGGGAGAGTGATACTCTGTGTGTGTGTGTGTGTTTGTGTGTACATGTTTTCCTCTCATTGTGGAAAAATCTGTAAAGATTTCTGAACTTGTGGTTTAACTCGCCAAATTTTCTGTAATAAGACTGATAACATCATAATTTGTTCTTTTTTGAATAATAACTTCATTACATACCTGCGACCCTCTTCAGAACTTCTTCTGTCCTTTTTATTTTTTTTTTCCTCTTGATAGTTTTTTTATTTCAAAAGTAAAAACTTGGAATCCTATCAAAGACCATTGAAGTCCCAAAAGAGTAAATGTTTGTCAATGATGAAAGACAAGGAGCATAACTTATCTAAGGCTTCTTGGGGCCAGTCTGGTTTTGTTTTCTTTCACTGGCAACTCTCATCTTTTTTGATCATAGGAAATTTTCTTCAGGGAAGTCACTGAGACAGTGAAAATACATAGTACTGGGTTGTGGGGTCCGGAGACTTGGATCCCAGCCCTGTAACATATTCTCCTTATAGAGTCACTTTGAACAAGTCACTTAACCTCTGTCCCTTTTTGCCTTGTCAATGAAATGGAGGATTGGATGGGACTGGATTAGCAGTGATCACAAATGGAGGTGCACAGACTCATTTCTTGTGGCTGTTCCATTAACATAGTATTTGAAATTGGAGTTAGAGTGTTTTTAGGGGAAGAGTGCCCTCTCCAGGTCACCACCAGCCCTACCTGCGCTCCCTCCTTTACTTTTTACTTCCTGGCCTCTTGTGGCCCTTGTTAATGATCAATAATCATGGGAGTAGTCACTGAGCTTGTTATGTCTATGGTATTAATTATGGTTTTTTATTGTTTTTCTTAAAGATTTGTAGAAGATAAAATGTGGGTTACATTTTTGGAGGGAAGCTCTGCCTTGAATGTTCTGAGCCTAAATGGTAAAGAGGTAAGGTAGCATTTGTTGATTCTAAACCATTCTGAAATTAAATGTCTGAAGATGGTATGATATTTTTATAGACATGCAGCAAGATTATCTAAATGGGAGGGGAAAAGACCTTATGGTATGTTCGAGGAGTTATTTAATGTTTTTTATTTAGACTGGATTTCTGACTAGCCTAGGCTTATTTTGGCCCCTCCCCAGAGATATTAACTGTTGATATAGACTAAGAAGGAAACATGTTTAGCACCTAATTTGATTTATTACATTTTATGATGCAAAAAGTTTTAAAGTTTTAATTGGGGGTAGTCTGGCTTATCTGTATAGTAGAAAAACATTCTATCAAGTGAAGAAAATGCATTATGTACCAGAAAACAAGGGAGAGAGGTGCTCATTATTCCTAGGAATTTGTTTCATTGGCTTGGCTTACCTAGTTATCTTCTTCAAACATAACTAAATTAATTTCCAGAGATAACAGATCCATCCCATTGAAGTATTTTAGAAATTTTTAACAAATGGAGATATTCCTAACCTGTGATTTGAAAAGTCATTGATGACGGAAACTTACATTGTTGGCCTGGAATAGTTTTACTTCTCTGAAGTGCTTCATCTGTCATTTTTTTCTGAACTCCTTTAGACCCAAATCCTAAATTTCTAAGTATATAGTCAGTGCACAAGATGGATTGTACTCTAGGCCTGATTCCTGCAGCACTGAGCAACTCTGTGAGCACTGTCCTGAGCTGCTTCTTCTGTCACATCAACTTCTTTGGAGAAAAAAAATTCTTTGTATGTATTAGGCTGGGTGCGGTGGCTCACGCCTGTAATCCCAGCACTTTGGGAGGCCGAGACAGGTGGATCACCTGAGGTCAGGAGTTTGAGACCAGCCTGGCCAACATGGCAAAAACCTGTCTCTACTAAAAATACAAGAAGTAGCCAGGCGTGGTGGTGGGCGCCTGTAATCCCAGCTGCTTGGGAGACTGAGGCAGCAGAATCACTTGAACCTGGGTGGCAGAGGTTGCAGCGAGCCGAGATTGCACCAGTGCACTCCAGCCTGGGCAACAGAGCGAGACTCTGTCTCAAAAAAAAAAAAAAAATTCTTTGTGTGTATTGCTTTTGAAATAGGTTTTGTAGAGTTTTGTTTGTTTTCCTAAATGTAATACTAGTATACTCATGTAAAATCATGTATCAGGAAACATGGAAAAGAATTAAAAATAAGACCACTCACATAATGCTACCATTCTGAAGTAATTTCTCTTAACCTTAATATTAGCATATACATATGTAAATACAAATGGGATTTTATATACACACAAACACATTAACACAAATGGGATATGCATATACGCAAACACAAATTGAAACCGTGTTATAAAGCTATTTTCTTACTACCTCTTATGACTGTGTCAGGGACATCTTAAACAAATATGTCATTTTTAATGGCTTCATTAATTTCATTTTGTGAATAAATATATACATTTATTAAACCAAACTCCTATAGACATCTAGATTATTTCCTATTCTTAATTATTAAAGCCAATATTCCAGTGAACCTCTATGTATCTTTTTGAATATTTTTTTGGTCTTCTAAATTTCTTCCTTTTCATTTGGCCCTGGTCTCTACCAAGGGGATAGTCCTAAGGAATTACATCTTAATTGGCCATTATGGTGATAGGTATTTAAGAATGCTTGTTAGTATTTTTTGATGAATATAAAAGAATTTTGTTGACTTTGAAAAGTAATATATGACTTGTAAAGCGTGTTAAGTTCTGAAATTGGATTGATTTTAGTACTCATATCTACTTGGCAAGTAAAGGATTATGAATTCTTAGGATTCTGACTTTAAAGCTCAGTGTGGATGCTAAATTACTAATAAACACAGCTGTGCCACTCAGTTCAGCAACTTTCAACCTCTCCATTATTATGCCTTCAAGGAATTCTAATATCAGTAACACTTTGAGCCAAGGAAGATCTGTACCCACAAAGGTGCCAACTGTCAGCACAGCATATTGATCACAGCTACACAGTTCATTTGCAAATACCAAAAATATTCACATCTTGTTCACATTAAGAAACTCTTCAAACAAAGGAAATTGAAACTATGTGGGAGAGAGATTAAATTTAGAAAGCAAGTTTGTTATAAGAATATGGGTTTTAAATGAGAACTCCTTTCTAGTGCACATTTTGTCCTTGACCAAAGAGTCTTGCTGTTATCAGCAAGTTTTTTTGAGAGTATTTTTTAAATACATTGACACGATCTGCTATAATTTGATTATAATGTCTTGGTTGTCTTAGATTATACTTTAGTCTAAAAGTCACCCAAATTTATAGAGAAGGCAGAGTGCCAGTTTCACAGGTAGAAGTCATTCTGTTTTTAGAATGATTAATTTTTGTTGAAGATTTAAAATGGTGTTCAGTTCTCTTAATATTCTTCTGACATTTGAAATGCTAAAACTGTATAGGTTAGCACTTAGCAGCTGACAATATAGCAGCTCTTAGGACCATATGCCAAGTTAGGAAAGACCAAATGAACAGGAACAGGAAATGCATTTTAAAGATTTTCTGCTGTCTCTTTTGTAGTTGTTTCACGTGGGAACAATTACTTAATCTGTGAATCAAAATTAAGAAAGTATAAAGTTATGTAGCAGAGTTGTTGGTGAATTTACATCTGGCCAGGAAAACATAGTGGTTGTAGCAAAGGAAACTTGCATCTCTGGGCATCCTAGAAAAGATCTTTATTTATCACCACAGGTGTTTAAAGGGAGAACTGGGAACAACCTTTAAACTAGTTTGAAATTTAGTATATGTGAAAGAACTATTTCTTTAGTTAGCTGAATTGTCTAACTAAATTAACTGTCTATACCATTGCATAGTTTAACGAAGTCAGCCTCTTTATTCCAAATTAGTTAGCTTTCATGTTAATCTTTATTTTATATCTCTTTTACTCCGCTAGTTATTGAATCGGACTATAACTATTGCTTTAAAAAGTCCAGACTGGATCAAAAATTTGGAAGAAGAAATGAGTTTAGAGAAAATTAGCATTGCATTGCCATCATCAACAAGCTCTACCCTGCTTGGTGAAGATGCAGAGGTTGCAGCAGATTTTGATATGGAAGGTTTGTTTCTTAAACACATTTACTTCTTGTAGTTCTAGATATGTTTTCTTCCAATCTGTAAAGTCTTATTTTCCAAGTTCATCTTTCTTCTTCTTCTTGGGACGTACATAGCACTATTAATTAGAATGTATTTTGGCCAGGTGCGGCAGCTCATGCCTGCAATCACAGCACTTTGGGAGGCTGAGGAGGGTGGATTGCCTGAGGCCAGGAGTTCAAGACCAGCCTGTCCAACATGGCGAAACCCTGTCTCTACTAAAAGTACAAAATTTAGCTGGGCGTGGTGGTGCATGCCTGTAATCCCAGCTACTCAGGAGGCTGAGGCAGGAGAATCGCATGAACCCAGGAGGCAGAGGTTGCAGTGAGCCGAGATTGTGCCACTGCACTCCAGCCTGGGCAACAGAGCGAGGCTGTCTCAAAACAAAACAAAACAAAACAAATTTATTTCACATCATATTGTGTTTATTTTGCGTATACTTTAAATGTATTTACCATTCTTCCATTCAAATATTAAGACCTTTACAAATGTTAATTTATATTCTTATTGGATAAATACCCAAATTAGTATTGTTGGTGTATGGTTTAGTCCCAATAATTAAAGTTGAGGTAAAAAAGTAGAAGTTCCAAAAGGGTATTCTAAGAACAGAAATGAATTTAAGTAATTACGCCGAAAATTTCCTTAAACATGATTTAAAAATGCATTTGTTTGATGGCAACATTATCAAAAGAAAAAATTTTTAAATGCATTTGTTTTCTAACACAATATGCTATTCTAGCCAGTTTTTCATTAAAATGCATACCTTAGATTATAATAATATTGTAATGCCCTGTATAGCTAGGTACCACATTTAAGAGTTGAACGTCTTACAAGGTTATCTCATTTTCACATTATCTGTTCATTTGTTTACTCAGTCCACACATATTTATGTAGTACCTTTATGCCAGATACAGCTGGGTGCTGGAGATTCGACAGCTGTGGTTCTTGCCTTTCCAGAACTCATAGCTTATTGGGTGTTACGTGTAAGTAAGCAGGCAATTATAATAAAGTGACATAAATGTGATAATGAATGGTTTTGTGGTAGCTCATGGGAAAGTTGCTTAACCTGGATTTGGGAAATTGGGCAAGCTTTCCCAGAGGAATTGAAATTTAAGTTGAGAATCCAAAGACTCAGGGAGAATGGAATTAATGCTATAGAGGAGTGATCCAAGAAGAAAGCATGTGCACAGTCTAAGTGGGGATAAAGAGGATCCAAATGGATTATGGAGGGATGTTTGTGAGGGAGTAAATGAAGAAAAGAAATGCAGAGAGAGAAGTAGGTGTGGGATGGAAGATGAATTTTGTTTCGGATATGTTGAATTTGAGATGTTCATGGAGTCAGTCAAACATGAGTCTGGTGCTCAGGAAAGAGCTCTGGAGTCAAGGCAGCTCTAATAGCCTGCAAAGCATGGGCATTTGTTAATATAACTTTGGCCAATAGGATTATGACGAGACAGAAGAGAATGAATCGAATATGGAGAAATACAGACCTGGGATTGAGTATGTGGAAACACAGAGTTTAAATATAGACAGAAGAAGGCTGCCCGTGAAAAGAAAATGAGAAGAAACAATGGCAATTGTTTCTAGAAATGTCAAAGAGCCAAGAGAAATTCATGGCTTAAAAATCAAGGAAAGAAAGTGGAGCATGGAAGGGGAGTAGTCAGTGGTGTCTTGTAACACAGAAAGATGAGAAGAAATGAGGACAGAAATGTGTCCTTCTGATTTAATAACAGGAAGGGAAGCTGTTGTTGACATTTCATGAGAGTGATCTCAGAAGTGATGAAGTCAGATAGTGGTAAATTGATATGGATGGAAGGTGAAGAAGTGGAGAAAAGTGTCTGTAGACAACTCTTTAAGAAAGTTTGGGGGGAAAGAGAAGAGGGCAATTGCTCTAGGAAGATTGGAGGTCCTAGGGTGGTGGTTTTGGATGGGACAGGCTTGAGAATGCACAGTGCTAATGGAAAAGTAGAGGAGAAAGGGCTGATGGTTTGGGGGAAGGGCAAGGCAGAATAGTAGAGCAGTGTCACTGAGAAAATTAGGCTGGGTGGGGCCCATTTGTTCCATCCTCAGATACCCAAGTGACAACCATGTAATGAGACTCCAGCTTGGGGGCAGGCTGTTGAAGTAGGGGTTCCCATCTTAAGACTTCCCTCTTCTCTGTGAAGTGTTGAAGTGATCTGCAGGAGTGGGACAGCTCACAGTTTCAGGAGGGTTAAGGAGTTTTGCAGTAAAGCTCCTGAAGAGCAAAGGGTGAGGGGAAGAGCAAACCAGCAAATCATGGAATTGCCAGGCACTTTAGGCCAGAAGAGACTGAAAAGCATAATTTCAAATGTGACTGCAGTTGTCAGGACTGGGTGGTTTTCTTTAGCAGAGGCAGTCAGCAATCCAAGTGTTATCACAGAAAGATTAAACAGGGGAATCAGTGCAGGGATGGGGTTATGTCAAGCACGTGCAATGGAAGAAGAGTGAAGTAGGGTAATGTTTGAGATGAAGAACCATAGAATCTGAAGGTAGGTACAGAAGAAAGCAGAATCAGATGGAGGTAAAAGTTAGAGGGATCAAACCCTGGCTTCTGAAGAAATCAAAAGAGAAGGAGTAGCCAAGGGAGAGAACTGAAAAGCTGGGAGGCCAAAGTCAGAGTGAAGCTTTTGAGTTTATTATTTCAGAAGAGTGCAGTTCTGAGGGGTGAGGGTTAGGAGTGAAGGCGAATGTCCATAAGGATAGGACCAAGGCATTTTGCTATTGAACGAGTTGTCCACATGGACTTTGATGCCACGCAGAAAGATGGTGCGGGACCTGACTTACAGTCTTGCTCTCTGCTTAGTCCTCAGTGAGTGGGTTCAGGAAATGGAAGAATGGACGTTGGAGATGACTGTAGCAAGTGGGGGTAGAGGATGTTACATAAATTCCTGATGGCATAGCCTCAGAGCAGTAGGACTTTTTGTTCAGGGTTGGAAGACTAATGTTCTGGAATGGCAGTTAGGTTGCAAGGGTTACCTTGTGCCCACTTTCCTACCCAGAAGTAAGTGGAGATGAGGAGACCCTGGGGGAGAACCAGTGTTTACTTAATTAAAGCAAAGCGGGTCTTTGTGGGGTGAGGGTTGCAGGGAGGAGCCTTCTGGGGGAAGACTGTGTGGCTCCTGAGAGCTTGTTGACTCTGAGGCTGGACCTGGGTTAGGCAAGGGAGTGGGGCAGTTCCACAGAGCACAGTGGACAGGTTTGGAAGGAGAGCAGGAAACTTGAGTTGGCTTGCACTGGAGAAGCTGCTCTGGGGCATATTGAAAGCCCATTGGGTCACCCCAGCTCCAAGTGGTTGGTCACCTGACATCTTATTGCTCAGAGACAATAGATACCTTTACATCTTCTGAAACAAGCATTTCTACTAATTGTGGTTTTATACATGCCTTCATGCTTAATCCATGTGTGTTTGCAATGACATAATGTTCATATTTGTTTTGTGTATTTTAACTTTTTAAAACCTAAGGTGAAAAAAATCTCTGAGCAAGTTAAAATGGAGTTATCTCTGATCAAGCCTGCTTTTCCTTAGGTGATGTTGATGACTATAGTGCTGAAGTGGAGGAACTTCTTCCTCAGCATCTCCAGCCATCTTCAAGTTCCGGCCTTGGTACTTCCCCCAGCTCTTCACCCCGAACTAGTCCCTGCCAGTCACCTACAATATCAGAGGGTCCTGTACCTTCCCTTCCCATCAGACCAAGCCGAGCACCGTCAAGAACTCCTGGGCCTCCCAGTGCACAGAGTATGCATTTTATTTGAAAGTTTTGTATGGCTTCCTGTGGCCAATGTGCTTGATGTTGGAGAGTCATCGTTTAAGTTTCATACCTAGGTGATAAAGTGCACCCTGTTTTCTCCGGTACAGAATAGGAAAACTTGTAGATGATAAGCTCTCAATGGAAAGGAAACTTGCTATAACTGTCACTAGATGACAATTGTTCTTAATCTTTTTTCTATGTGGTTAGGTTTGTCTATGTCTTATAACTGATGATTTTCTATGGTATGAACCCGTTAACTATTTGAGCTTTTTCTTCTCTCTACTGGCCAGACTACAAAATGGCTTAACTCAAACAATACTTTGTGCATATCAATAGGGCCACTTAGTAAATTAGCTTTCAGCACCTGAGGCCTAGGTAAGAAGTCAGCACAGAGGTAGCATTATTGCTGCCATGGTACCAAAGGGCAGTTTAATAGTAGACTGCTTTTGTTATTCATACTGAAAATACATGCCCTTTCTTTACACCATTGTGCACATTTTATAGAACATTACACATATATATGAAGGACTGTTCCCTTCTGTCAACAGCTACTTAGAAGCTGATCTTCTTACCTCCTGTGCGCTTTTTAGGTTCTCCTATTGACGCGCAGCCAGCAACGCCGCTGCCGCAGAAAGACCCCGCCCAGCCCTTGGAGCCCAAGCGGCCGCCGCCGCCCCGCCCGGTCGCCCCTCCCACACGCCCGGCTCCCCCACAGAGACCTCCTCCGCCTTCAGGTGACAACCTTTTATTTCCATTTCTGCTAGATGTAAAATTCTTCACTCTATTTTAAAATGTTTTGCATGTTTTCCAATCTCTAGCTTCTGGATTTTACAGTTTTTTCTATCATTATTGCTATTTCTTAGCTTTTCTCTAAAGAACATGGTAGGCGCAACAGACAAGGTAGAGTGTTTGCAGAGTAGATTCCTCTAAGGTGTTTTCACAGCTGCCTTTAGCTGCCTTCTCACCAGCCAGCCAGAGAGGTTTATTTTGTTTTTGCTAATTTGATCTAGTTAGGCATGTAAACTGTTCTTAGGTAAAATTAGGTTTAATTTTTTTCAAAATCCTCATTTCTGGATGATTTATAAGCATAAAATAATTAAAATGTACTAATTTCTGTAAAAGTATAATAAAACTGGAGAGCATACGTATTAATGTACAATTGTATGTATTTGTTTAATGTTCTTTTAAATTAAATATAGTGCTGTTACTTCAATTATAAGCATATGCATTGAATAATAGTTTTTGTAGTACGTAGATAATATGTAATTCCTGCATGATACTTGATGTCATGGATACTATAGCAATCTTTGACATTTCACTTCTGTATTTAATGTCATTTCCTTTCTGCTGCCTATTTTCTTATGAACTATAAGGGGCTAGGAGTCCTGCACCCACTAGAAAGGAATTTGGAGGTAACCATTTACATTTGTTAGCATGTGTGAATCGTGGTTCATTAATGTTTTACACCTGAAAGACATTTTAGATTTGTTTGATAAAAGTCAAAATGAATGACATTCTAGTTTAAAACTAATCCACAAATAAAACTAATAAAGGCTTTCATTTCCCAGGTAGGCTGGGATTGTTCATCAGGCCTAATTTTTTTTTTAATAAATGTGGTCGATTCATTTACAAAGATTTAATACCCAAAAGTTATATTAATTTTAAAAGTCATTCAGGTACAGTAAATACAGAACATTTCCCAAGTATCTGATTAGTGATACATTTATTTTCTAGTGGAAAAGCTTTTGGATTAGCAAAGAACTGTATGATTTTCTTTTCCTTTCTTCATAAGGAAATTTTTATTCACAAAGGGTCACTTTTTGTTTGAAGTATAGTTTATTTGGTTTACATGAAAACTCACAGAGCTCAGTTGGAGTTATACATTTGACAAGTTTATTTAATCTAAATCTCAAGAAAAGATGAGATGAGTTTTCACAATTCCTCAGAAGAACTTTTACAAATCCAGTGTTACTAAGGCTCACTGTGCATGTGTAGCCTGGTCTGTTTCTATTGTAGCTTGCCTAGTGACATGGCTGAGCAATTCAGGTCTTACTACAGACTGACTTTGCCTGTGTGTAGATCTTAATGACTGCGTGTGATAAGAATAGCTAAATTATTTCAGCATTACAGCTTCTGCCGAATACAGCTAAGTGATCATTTCTCCATTGACCTACAGAAAACATTTAATTTTTCCCTTTTCAAGCTCCTGCTTTTATAGAAAACATTTAATTTTTCCCTTTTCAAGCTCCTGCTTTTATTTAAATTTCCATGATAATTTTTGCTTATCTTCTGCTTTAATTAGGAAAACATCCTGTAGAAAATAAATTTAAAATGAATCTGTCAAAAGTTAGGCAAGCCAGTGGATTACAGTGAAATCTGTCTTAATTTTAAAAATTGCTCCCCTTCATAATTCTTTTGTAAGTAGTGTTTGCAACATGTTTTTTCATCCTATAAACAATAATTCCTTTACGTCATTATAGTACATTAGAGTTTTTAAAATTAATGCATCAAAAACTAACTTCAAAAGACTTACGTAGTCTCATAGAAATTTATGATTTCTTTCCTTTTGACTATCAAATATCAGAGTTTTTACTTGCTCTGGATATAAGGAGTAAGATGATTTTTAAAGCAAAGGTCTTCATTAAACATATTTTTTAAATTCCCTACTGGTAGTAATTGCATACATAAAAAGAAAACTGTCATCCTGTTTCTACTCTTCTGTTTGAGTAAAGGGAGGATTCAGATTTGGGCCAAGCATCTAAAGTCACTTTGGTTTGTATTGATATCTTTGAAGAAATTTAAAGCAATAAAAGAGCCTTTTTGCAAAAGTGAGTTTACTATGGAAATTGTCTTGTGTGCCTGCCTTTCATTCTGTGCTGTGGGCCCTGAACAATATATAGTTTCTGTTCTTTCTCTAAAAAGGTATTGGAGCCCCTCCCAGTCCTGGGGTAGCTAGGAGAGAGATGGAAGGTAACAAGACTCTTGCATTATAGAAGTGGTTCTCTCATTTTATTTCTCAGTGTCAGCGCCCCACCTCCCCACCCCGCAGTGTTTGCAGGCATACTAAATCTTTTCTTGGTCCAGCTGTAAACTTCTCTTTCCCCTCCTTATGTATACCTTGTATTTTTTCCTCTCTTCATTCTATGTCACCTATAGTTTCTAATGGATATCCATTTAATTTCCCTGAGATCCTTAATGTTGTTTGTACTCTGTTTCATATATAGTTTATATATGCCCAGGTTGTGAAATTACTGTTTAAGAATGTCTTCAAAATTCTTTTCAGAATAAGTAAAATATTTAGAAATGTACTTTACTAATCTGAAGTTTTAAAAATTAATGATTATAATTAAACCCTATTAATTCAGATCCAAGAATATAGTATTTTGTAGTTGATTTCAGATAACATAGCTATTTTATAGATTAGCACTGAGCCAGATTTGTTTAAAAGACCTTTAAGACTAGAGGCCATTTGTTATGATTTTAGTTATTAAAAGGCTGATGTATTTCTTATAACAATTGTACTTGAATTTCTTTACAAAAAGGAGAGTTTATTTAAGATGCTGCCCTTGATAGTCACTCCTACTCCTTTTGGCTCCAAGAGTAATTTATTTCATTTTATCCTTCAGCTACCTTTCTAATGAGTTTGAACATATTTTTAACACTGTCTTCCATAAGGCAGATATTTGGTAATAACATATGCCTGTCTTCTGTCTTAATGATGGGATTTTGTTATAGAAATCCGAAAGATCTCATCATAAGATAACCTTATCCACAGTGACATCTACAGCGTGAAGCCCTAAAGTATTGCTACTAGGAGCCTCTTGTGTAATTTGACAAATGCAGTCCTGTCTGTTGCTCAGAAGCCACTTGTCTGCCAGACTCTAAGGGGCAGCAGTGCCGCATCTTGTGACCATTCACACAGCTGACTGTATGTTTTCAAGGTTCACGAGAGAGTTCTATGGGGAATGCCACCCTAAAAGTGGTCCCATGAGTGAGATATCAAACTAAAGTCACCACTTGTCTCCCATAAAGGTCTATCTAAATATTGTAATTTTTCTCTCTTTTGGAGTATTTCATTCAGGACTGATAATACCCTTCATCATTATACAAAGCAAAGTGCTTTGTTTTGTTACCATCTCATGCCCCCATTTCTGCTGGTAATGAAGCAGAACAGCAAGCTGATGTTATGCAATATTGCTTAATTGTTAACTTACAACTAATTTTTTTTTCCCTTCTTGCTTCAAAGCACCCAAAAGCCCTGGAACAACAAGGAAAGATAATATAGGTAAAAACACTTGAATGTAGCTATTCACCCTTAAAACTGGACCGTGAAATAGACACTTGGAATATAAGTACATGGTTTCTTGTTTATTTTTTTAAACTTAAATATATGATATGATGTCTTTGTTCCAGGACGCAGTCAGCCTTCACCTCAAGCAGGACTTGCAGGCCCAGGACCTGCTGGATACAGTACAGCCAGACCGGTAGGTAAAACCTCGCCTGGGGCCAAGGGGTCTCGGTTCTAAGTCCTGTTTACTACTAGTCAGTTTTGTTACCTTGGAGAAATCATGTGACCCTTCAAGGCCTCAATTTCCTCATCTCTAAAATGAGGGAATTGCACTTGATGATCTTCCGACTCTAACATTATTTTAACATACTCTTCAAAAATAACAAACTTCATTATTTGGATAAAAGTGATACACTTAAAACAATTATGGTCACTAAATAAATATCTTAAGAGTCTCAGTATATGAGGAAATGATGGATTTGGGCAGCTTTTTATCATTTTACCTGAGTAATTAATGAAGATATAAAGTAATCCTTCATTAAAAAGGATTTTAATTACATTTCAGAAAAAAAAATGATAAATTCAGTATAGTAAAACTGGTTCTAAAGGTTTTTTTCTCTTTTTGGTTTTTTTCTTGATCAGGTTCATCATATTCCGTAAAGGTATTAGAAATAGGAGAGTAGATGTTGTTACAGGATTTTTCCCTACCTGATGAATGTGTCTTTTCTGTATGTTTATATGTTCTCTTATACACATAGGTTTTTTATTATTTGAAAACTTTCTCTGGACTATAACAGGTAATCAAGAACAGAGAGAAAGAGCAAATAGAAACCAGTAATCAGTGACTTAGGCTAGTCCAGTAGGAGCTGGGACTACTGAGAGGCCCATATCTGAAGAGTAGGAAACTGAGAGCTATTACTGTACCTAGAAATTAAGATTATTAAGATTGTGAGAACTGAGGAAACCACTTCCTATGAAGATAGAAGCTTTTTGTCTTTTCTGTTGTAGCTGTCCACTTAACAATCTGAAGGTTCTTTTTTATATGTAATATTACTCTTCAAATATTTATCCTCCTTTTTTCAAAAAAAGGGAAATTTGCCATTCACTGATCCCATGACCACACTTGGCACAAGAACTTTCTTGATTCTGTTGAATACCATAAGTATAGGAAAAGAAAGTCAGGATTTTTGTGAGTTTAAAAGTTCATATTTTGCTTAAAATAAATATTGTTAGCTTAGATCCTTCAGCAAACATATGAAAATAGAAAAAATATTTTTCACTGATGAGTCTTTCAGTGTATTTAATTCGGAATATTGAGTTAGTCATTCAAAAGTTGTACTTCTGTGTTTAAAAGCAATATATATGGCTGGGTGGCAGTGGCATGCACCTGTAGTCCCAGCTACGCAGGGGACTACATTGGAAAGATCGCTTGAACCCAGGAGTTCAAGTCTAGCTGGAGCAACATAGCAAGACCCCATCTCTTAAAAAACAAATCTTGACCAGGTACGGTGGCTCACGCCTGTGGTCCCAGCACTTTGGGAGGCCGAGGCGGGTGGATCATGATGTCAGGAGATCGAGACCATCCTGGCCAACATGGTGAAACCCCATCTGTACTAAAAATACAAAAAATTAGCCGCGTGTGGTGGCGGGCGCCTGTAGTCCCAGCTACTCGGAAGGCTGAGGCAGGAAAGTGCCAGAACCCAGGAGGCAGAGGTTGCAGTGAGCAGAGATTGTGCCACTGCACTCCCGTCTGGCCACAGAGTGAGACTCCATCTCAAAAAAAAACCAAAAAAAAAACAAATCTCAGGGTGTTTTTTCCCCAAAGTCTCCTAGTTGCTCAGGTATGTATCTCTCTATCTCCTTGTATATTTTAAAATCATCCCAGTTTTCCCCATAAAGACAGCATTGCACATGGTTAAGAACCCTAGCCCTGCAGCCAGTCAGACCTGAGTTTGGATCCTGGCTCTGCTTTCTGTGTGGCTTTGGGCAAGTTGTATATATTTCTTCATCTTAATTTAAAATAGAGATGATAAAATAATACCTACTTCTGAGGGATATTTTGAAGATGAAATGGAAATGCCTGTACAGTACTTAATTAACATAATGTCTGGCACATAGTAAATAGTCAGAAGTAAACAGGAAGATTTTAAAATTCATCATTATAATGGCTTCAAGTAGAGAGCACTTAAAATGACAAATTAGGGACTAATACCATAGAAGAAAGTAAATGAGATGCAAAAGCAAATGTTTTCACAGAATTTTACCTGTGGAAGGTAAGTAAATGTCTCAAGTGTTATGTTTCCTATCTGTAGACGATTCCTCCTCGTGCTGGAGTTATCAGTGCCCCACAGAGCCACGCGCGGGCATCTGCTGGAAGACTGACTCCTGAAAGCCAAAGCAAAACATCAGAAACGTCGAAAGGTAGGTCCTCTTTGGGAGGCTGAGGCAGGAGGATCACTTGAGCCCAGAAATTTGAGACCAGCTTGGGCAACATAGTGAGACCCGCCTGTAAAAAAATTAAAAACTCTTAAAATTAGCCAGGGGTGATGGCACATGCCTGTGGTCCCAGCTACTCGGGCGGCTAAGGTGGGAGGATCACTTGAGCCTGGGAGGTTGAGACTGTGGTAAGCCGTGATCACACCACTGCACTCCAGCCTGGGCAAAAGAACAAGACCCTGTCTCAAAAATCAAAAATTTTTAAAAATTGAGAGAAAAGAAAGGTAGATACTATATTAGAAATACTGTACTGGTTTTGTTGTATATTTTTCTCTTTTTCCTTCTGTCATCTCCCACCTTCTACAACATATATTCAGATAGCTATATCCTTCCTTCATTATACCACAAGAAATGAGGCTACTTATTGGGGGAAGAAATAACTAGAATGTTCTCCTAACATTTCACTAAAGAAGGAAAAAAACATGGTTTTCTAGAATATACCTAACATCTGACAACCACTGGTTTTTTAGGTTCAACTTTCCTTCCTGAACCACTGAAGCCTCAGGCTGCTTTTCCTCCGCAGTCTTCTTTGCCCCCGCCTGCTCAAAGGTTGCAAGAGCCTCTTGTCCCTGTGGCAGCACCTATGCCTCAGTCTGGCCCCCAGCCAAATTTGGAAACCCCACCACAACCACCACCTCGAAGCAGGTCATCCCATAGCTTGCCTTCAGAAGCTTCCTCACAACCGCAAGTAAGTCTCATTTGTTACACAAAATATTATCTTTGATGCATATGATTTAGTCTTTGAACATACCTATTTTAATTATTGCCTGTTATAAGAAGTAAAAATAAATACGAGTTTTAATTTTCTTTTTATATTTGTTATTATACATATATATGTGTATATATATATATATGTTTGGGTTTTTTGTTGTTGTTTGTGTGTTTGTTTTTTCCTTTTTAAGACGAAGTCTTGCTCTGTCTCCCAGGCTGGAGTGAAGTGGCATGATCTCCGCTCACTGCAACCTCCGCCTCCCGGGTTCAAGCGATTCTCCTGCCTCAGCCTCCTGAGTAGCTGGGATTACAGGTGCCTGCCACCATGCCCGGCTAATTTTTATATTTTTGGTAGAGACAGGGTTTCACCATGTTAGCCAGGCTGGTCTTGAACTCCTGACCTCAGGCAATCTGCCCACCTCAGTCTCCCAAAGTGCTGGGATTACAGGCGTGAGCCACCATGCCCAGCCTACTCTGAATTTTCAAAGTGATCTTTCCTTAAAAGTATCTCATTAAACTCTTTTGAAAAAACTGTGAGATGAGTGAACCCTAACACTTTGGAAGGCTGAGGTGGGCAGATCCCTTGAGCCTGCAAGTTCAAGACCAGCCTGGGCAACATAGAGAAACCTTGTCTCTACAAATTAAAGAACTATCCAGGTGTTGTGCCATGCACCTGTGGTCCTGGCTACTTGGGAGTCTGAGGTGGGAGGATTACTTGAGCCCAGGACATCAAGGCTGCAGTGAGCCATGATCGCTCCACTGCATTCCAGCCTGGTGACACAGTGAGACCCTGTACCTCCAAAAATAATAATAAATAAATAAAAAGTCTTCTTTTACACTTTGGAAAGATCTGAAATACAGAAATAATACGTATTGGCAATGTCCCTTTAACACATTTATAAGTAATAGTTTACATTTATTTTTACAGATATATAGGTATGTCCAGCTAGTTGGCAGAAGTGAGCAGTTTCTTAAGTGTCTACAGGGTGAAAACAGATATTAAAGTAAATATGATTCAATACAATATGAATAAAGTTAGCAGTTAGCATTTATTAAGTCACATTTGTAAAAGTTGAAGGATATATAATACAGAAAAATAAATGTTCCCTTAAGCTGGTTAATACCAAAAAGAATTCTATATTTTTTTAGTTTAGAAAATTGAGGATGAAGTCTGGGAGCGGTGGCTCATGCCTGTAATCCCAGCACTTTGGGAGGCCATGGCGGGTCGATCGCCTGAGGTCAGGAATTCAAGACCAGCCTGACCAATATGGTGAAACCCTGTCTCTTTTGTTTTGTAAAAATACAAAAATTACCCAGGCATGGTGGTGTGCGCCTGTAGTCCCAGCTACTCAGGAGGCTGAGACAGGAGAATTGGTTGAACCTGCGAGGTGGAGGTTGCAGTGAGCTGAGATCGCACCACTGCACTCCAGCCTGGGTGACAGAGCGAGACTCCATCTCAAAAAAAAAAAAAAAAAAAAGAAAAAAGAAAAATTGAGGATGGTGAAAATATATAATAATGGTAGAACTCTTTCAAATAATGATTTTTTTTTTCTGCTAATCCATTTTTAGTGAATCGTGAATTTTTCTTATTTTCTTGTATACTCTTTTGTAGTTTTTAAAATGTAATTGAAGGGCAAAAAACTTTTTCAACTAGCCACTCTGAGCTTTCTAGGACTGTTTTAGGGCATCCATCTCATTGTAGTTGCGTGCCATAATTACTAAAACTCTGATGGTTTAAGTGTCCTTAGACCAATACAAAAGTAGATAAAGTACTCTGAAAAACTTCCGGAGGTGCAAACTGTTAGCTGAGATTGTAGTTATCATTATAAAATCATTCTAAGACACATATCATTTTCTCAGAAAACTTTCCATTGTTTTATGTTTTTCATTGAAGTGAGTATAGCGATTTGGTGGCCGACGGGCACATGCTTTGTGTGTGCCCCCTTAGATTGTGTTCTTGAATCTCATGGTTGTCAGTTCATCAAAAAGACAAAGATATTTGTTTCAAATCCTGAAGTATCTTTTTGCCTCAGTCATTGATATCAAACTCCTTAATATTAGATACACAGACACACTTTTCTTTCTTGGAGGGTGGGGTCTTGTTTACATGCAGAGTGTCATTGTGAGGGATCACAAAGTGGTTACAGTTTCCTCCAGGGAATGCCCAATGCTGGGGGCCAGGAGGCAGGTGAGGAGGAGTCTTTCTATCTTTTTGTACCTTTTGAATTTTGAACCGTAAAATAATGCCTATTTTAAAAATAATAAAAAAAATTTTAAATTATTGGAAGTAGCTGTTAAGTTGAACAATTTACAAGATTTTCAAACCTGATGGTGAGATTTTTAAATATGACAAGTTTGATATTTTGTAATGACATGAAATAGTTTTAGAATTGAACATTTGTAATTTTTACAAGTCTTTACTTATCCTATTCCAAATCTACAAGGTATTTAAAACATAATGTATATGACCCAGTTTTACTTTTTATTATTTATCCTTTGACTTTATAATTTTGTATAGAAGAGATTCATTTAATTCGAGTGATTATATAACATGTTATACGTCCTTTACAAAGTATAAAAAATCCTCACTTATCTATCTGACTTCTAGCATCTTAGTCATCTTTATCAGCTGAGAGCCAGAAATAAGGAAATGCAACTGGAAGTAAAGGAACCGAACTCACTGCTATACTGTTACTGTGAGACCTGGTAGAAAAATCACAGCATTCTAGACCCATTTAATGGAGGATACAGCAACCTTGTACCTCTCAGTATAAACCTATTCCTGATCTCCTGTCCACTGCCAGAGCTGATACATAAAACTCTGAGTGTTAAATAAGAGTCTCATGTTTACTAGGCAGGAAATTCTAAAGTACTTAATATATTTCTGGGTGATGTCTCTGAATTGTCAAAATTAGTTTTGCTATTTAGTAATAGGTTTAGATATTGGAGAAGATTTACCTCAAAACTTGCTTGAGGATACTAGATTTTAAAAAATAATGGTATATTATAGAGGGATTATGATTTCATTTTTAAACAAAGGTAAATTCCAAATTTCTTGTAAGGTACAAGTTTCTTGTACCTTCCAACTAATACATTATGAAGTAAATTAATGATATTAAGAGTATCATCCTTCAGAAAATTTGAGTAAGATAAAACAAGCTGGATGAGTACTAATTTTCAGTAGGGTAGTCTTTTTGCAAAATAGTATGTACCAAAAATGGTACCATTTTGTACCATTACATTGCCATTTTCTCTAATAATGACATCCCTAGGCTATCCTAAGGCTGTGTCTTAGTCTGCTTGGGTTGACATATGAAATACCATAGACTGGGTGGCTTACACAACAGAAATTTATTTTCTCACAGTTTTGGAGGCTGGAAGTCTGAGATCAGGGTGCCAGCATGGTTGAGTTCTGGTGAGGGCACTCTTTGTGGTGTGCTGACAGCCACCTTCTCACTGTGTGTTCACACAGCCTCATTGCATGTGGTGCCTGGAATGAGAGCATGCACACACCCTTGCACACGCTCTCTGGTGTCTCTTCTCATAAGGACACTGATTCCATCATGGGGTCCCACCTTCATGACCTCATCTAACTCTAATTACCTCCTAGTGGCCCCACCTCCAAATACCATCACACAGGGGCTTATGGAATCAACATATGAATTTGGGAGGGGAGAGCACACAAATATTCAGTCCATAACAGGTTGCTTAAAATATTTTAGAACTCTGAAATCATTTGGAGTATTATTTTTGGAATAACAAAACTGAACTGGTTAGTAATCAACCTCAGACAAAACTAAAGTCTGGACCCTAATTCAACAAAATTATAAAAGGAATTGGAATTGTCTTTTGAATTTATGTTACAACCTGCAAATATTGCTGCTCTTGGGTTCTGTCTGTAACTTAGAAAGCATTTTGTTGACTGAATTGTTAGGGTTGCTGGTTGATCTCGGATTGTCCTCCTAACTCTTTCCTTTGATGTCTGTTTCCTTTCTCAAAGCAGGAGCAACCATCAGGGTAACAGGTATCTGACAATTTATCAATCTTACATGTGTTTTCATCCGTCTCAACACATTAGATGTATGAATCTCTGCTTCATACATCTAAAGTTTCACCCATTTTTAAAACCACCTGTCTCCATTAATAAATTCTATCATACCATAAAACCTGCTTTTTCTTTTTCTTAGTATTTTGGATTTTAGGAACCATGTAGTTGTTCTTGCTAATGCTTTACCACTTTTTGCTTCATTTTTTTATGAAAATTAACAAAACTAAAAAGTGTAACTTCAAGAAAGTAAGATTTAGGTATATGAAGGCCTTTTTGGCAAAACCAGATCGGTTCTTGGTTTTAACAATGGCATTTATGTAATTACATAAACACAAAATTCAGTATGTTTTTTAGGAAAAAATATTTGGGGGAAATATTTTTTCAAATGGTTTTAGTAGCAAGATTGTTATTGGTAAGGAAGAATTGATGGTTTAGAAAGATGAAAGTTACCAGTATAACAAGATTATCTAAAGGTCCTTCCAACACCTTTCTCTGTAAAAATAGCACCAATTTTAATATTGTCATCACAAATCCTGCTTAGATTACAAATTAATTCTAATGTGATGAATGGTGATGTGGTTGTCATTGTAATTTCAAGTCTGGGAAAAATGATCCTGATTCTATCAAATTAACTTATTTTGAAATAAAAATTTTCTTATATATGCAAATAAAGGTGTTTAAATGTATAGCACTGATGCAGCAGGTGACTTCTGTTCTAAGCTGGCAGAGCACAAAATTCTCCTTTCCTATAATGTCTGTGTTGCAGACGATTCTATCTGCCATAGGAGAATTTTGTCTCAGACAGAAGTATTTCATTTTGTATTAACTATAAATAGTCCAGAGATTTTTGGTAATATAGAGTTAATTTTATAATATCTATATAAATTTCCTTTTAAGTACATTTCCACATATAGGTCTACTTACCTAAGACATTTAGAGTACAGTTTAAAGTCTGTGACATGTTTTCTCTTTAGTTTTGTACAAATTTATCACACTAAGTTTGAAGAAAAATATACTGTTTCAACCAATTATAAAGCATATTCTAGGATAGTTGAATAAAACAGATACTTGAAAGTTATTCACTTAAGTCATCCATTTCCTTTTACAAGTGAACATCCTTCCATATTCTTAAGCAGTAACTAAGTGTTTCATAGTATGCAGTTACATTTTATTGAGACTGCTGCTGTTTTTTTCCAATATATTTCATGAAAGTATAGTTATGTTGCTTTAACAACTATCCAAATTCCTTTTGGGCAGTGCTCATTTTATTACATTGCCAGTCTTGAACTGAATTTTTTTTTGCCCTATCGTATCCAACCCTGAAGTTTTCTTAAGTTAGCATAAGTGTCCAAGTCATCTACCCTAGTTTTAAGAATTATATACATTTTTTTCAAAATTAATAATGTATGCCTGATAAGCTAATTTGCTTATGAGGCAAGAATCATAGTTCTTTTCCTTCATCCGATCATTTGTCTTTGCTCAGTCCCTTGGCTGTGCTCCACTCCAACCACCTTCTTTATGGAGTAGGGACCAAGGGATTTAGGGCAGGAGTGAAGGAATTCCAAGCACTCTTCCTACTGATAACAGTTCACAGCCAACTCTGTCACATAGAAGGGACCAGGCACCACTCTAGGCACATCATTGTGGTTGTAGACTTCATAAACCAAATAGAAAATGGAACTTTTTTTCCTCTGGTTTTAAGCAATGGTTGCATTTGGTTACTAATAGTGTATCTGTTTTGGAATATTTTTACAAGACAGGAGGGTCAATTTTTTTATGGAAAGTTGTCACATTACTCAGTTTTTGTTTTTTGTTTTTTGAGGCGGAGTTTTGCTCTTGCCCAAGCTGGAGTGCGGTGGTGCGATCTCAGCTCACTGCAACCTCTGCCTCCCAGGTTCAAGCAATTCTCCTTCCTCAGCCTCCTGAGTAGCTGGGATTATAGGCGCGCACCACCATGCCCAGCTAATTTTTTGTATTTTTAGTAGAGACAGGTTTCATTATGTTGGCCAGGCTGGTCTGGAACTCCTGACCTCAGGTGATCCACCTGCCTCAGCCTTACAAAGTGCAGGGATTATAGGCTTGAGCCACCGCGCCCAGCCTCACATTACTCAGTTTATTCAACAAAGGAGAGCTTACATTAAAAGTCAGCTGTGCCGGGCATGGTGGCTCACGCCTGTAATCCTGACACTTTGGGAGGCTAAGGTGGGCAGATTGCCTGCACTCAGGAGTTTGTGACCAGCCTGGGCAACATAGTGAAACCCCATCTGTACTAAAATACAAAAAATTAGCTAGACCTGGTGGCACACGCCTGTAGTCCCAGCTACTCAAGAGGCTGAGGCACAAGAATCACTTGAACCCGGGAGGTGGAGGTTGCAGTGAGCCAAAATCGTGCCATTGCACTCCAGCCTGGGTGACAGCACAAGACTTGGTCTCCAAAAAAAAAAAAAAGAGGGGGTGGGCAAAGAACTCTCAAAATTTATTTTTCCAAGTAGAAGACAGAAAGATGGAGTCTTCGTCTTAGGAATAAAATATGCTAATAGAATTAATTTTATCTATAAAATTGAATTTCCATAGTAACATTAATTTTAGAAAACACACTTAAAAGAACAATGAAACCACATCATCATCATAGATGGGTGTTAGAATTTTATTTATATAGATTTAGCATAAGTTATAAGTATGGATTTCTTAAGTTCATGCTGAAATGTGATAGAACTGGGCATGAACAAATTTGTTAATTCTGTACAATTCTCCTTCTTACCATTTCAAAACTTGCATGAATGAAATAAGCTCTTTGATTTTGAGGGATTTAAAAATGGATTTAATTAGAAAGGATTTATTTAGAAAGAAGTTTTTAAAGACTGTAGGTGTTTCATGTTATTTAAACCACCGGAGTAACAAACTACACAAAGCTACTTTTTAGTTTCTAAATTTACATGCTTGCCCCTAAAAGGGAAGAATAATTGAGACAGGAAGAATAGGGGGTATTAAGAGTAAATATAAACTGATTTTTCAGTGCTCCCTTTCTTTTGCAGGTAAAAACAAATGGAATCTCTGATGGCAAAAGAGAATCACCATTAAAGATTGACCCATTTGAAGATCTGTCATTTAATCTGCTTGCTGTATCAAAGGCTCAGCTATCTGTTCAAACGTCACCTGTTCCCACCCCAGACCCAAAGAGGTTGATTCAGTTGCCTTCTGCAACGCAAAGTAATGTTTTGAGTTCTGTAAGTTGCATGCCAACAATGCCTCCAATTCCAGCTCGGAGTCAATCCCAGGAAAATATGCGAAGTTCTCCAAACCCATTTATTACTGGCTTGACCAGGACAAATCCTTTCAGTGACAGGACTGCTGCTCCTGGAAACCCATTTAGAGCCAAGTCTGAAGAATCAGAGGCAACTTCATGGTTCTCCAAAGAAGAGCCCGTTACTATCAGTCCTTTCCCTTCTCTGCAGCCTCTTGGTCATAACAAAAGCAGGGCTTCATCTTCACTTGATGGCTTTAAGGACAGTTTTGATCTACAGGGCCAGTCTACATTAAAAATTAGCAACCCGAAAGGATGGGTAACCTTCGAGGAAGAAGAGGATTTTGGTGTGAAAGGGAAGTCAAAGTCAGCTTGTTCAGACTTACTGGGTAATCAGCCAAGTTCATTTTCTGGCTCCAACCTGACATTGAATGATGACTGGAATAAAGGTACAAATGTCTCCTTCTGTGTGTTGCCGTCAAGAAGACCTCCTCCACCTCCTGTCCCTCTGCTCCCGCCCGGCACCAGCCCTCCAGTAGATCCTTTCACGACCTTGGCCTCTAAGGCTTCACCCACACTGGACTTTACAGAAAGATAACGCCATGCAATAGAAAACAGTGGGTACTTGCTTTTGGCAGGATAGAGCTAAGAGAATTGGGCATTAGTATTTCATTATGTGCAATAAGTCATTGTAAGTGCACTGATATCTTCACAAAACACCACTATTTGATGTGTACAGAGTTGGACTATGTGTATATTGGAAATAAGGAAAAACCCTTCTCATTGTTAACTGGAGTTTTGATGTATTTCTCTTTGGATGAATAGGAGACAGTAGTAGCCATAAAAAGTACTTATACTTTAGAAAACAGTCCTTATTCAGAAACTTTTCGGTCAGTCTTCTGAAGAATCTCAAAAAGCCCACCCAACTTTCAGCTGACATTTCCACCAGCCCTCTCATACTTGTTAACAATTGGTATCTTTGAGTATTTACCAAAGAGCTGCCAAGGTTACAGTGAACAGAGTTTTGAAAGGCATTGCTTTAAAGGAAAAAAGTATAGGTATGTGTACATATATAATACATACAAACACATGTACTTCTGTATACATTTACATATTTTTACAATTCATACTTTAATTTCTAGGCTATAACTCAGACCAAATTATACCTAAAAGTTCCAACAAAGTCCCTTTTTCAATATCACATTACCAAAAAGATGGCTGCAAATGTAATTTGGACCTTTCATTAATTTTGTTTTCAAAACTAGAATAATCTCACCACAGAATCAGAATTTTCTACCGTTCCACACCCAACCCCTTCAAATACACACAACCTTGTTACTTTTCACTCCAGCACCTTCATACGCTTTTCTCCAGGAGGAGGTTCTTGCAGCTGGAAACAGCCTATTTTGTGGTCACTGTCAAGTGGATGGATATTCTAGCGCTCCCAAAAAAGCACTATGGCCTTATATGCAGGGAAGGCACATACCACCAAGTTCAATGAGAAATATTAGAGCTAACCGTACTCTCTTCTCTGCGTACGTTCGAGTATACGTTGCCCATATCCCTCCCATATTTTCTTTTTGCTGCTTTTGCTCTGGAACTTTGCTTTTAGCAGGGAAAGCAGCTGTCCCCTGAGTGCTTTGAATTGGGAATATACCCAGTGTGTGTTCTCCCCCCTCTTACGAGGCTACATAACACATCTATGATGCTGCTTTAAGTTTTTAGAGGCTATACCTCAAAGTAGCTGCGGATTTTGTCTCCTGCACTGCCAATATGCAACTGATCCCGCTTTTATTAATTTTTTGAAGAAGTACACAGAATTTTTACAGAATGTAGTATTTTGATATCATTAAGTAAACCAATCAGAAAACTCCTTGAGCAATAGTTGTTTCTTTGTCAGTTTCAGTTACAATCATCTTTACCCATTAAGACTTACATTAACATTCCTTTTATATAAAGAGTTGTATATGTCCACCTAAATTCCTATGTCCACACTTAACCTTTAAAGATGTACATTGAGGGAATATCAAAAAATAGCGTTCATGGCTACGAATATGTAGAATGTTAAAAGCACAGCAAACTGCACTGCACTTATAAAGCAAATCTATTAGAAAAAAAGCATTTTTCTAAATGCTCAAATGTTATCAAAATACTATATTTATAGAAGTAATCTTCTCTGTTAACAGCCAAGATTTGCTGTTAGAAATAACTCTTGTGAGTTTTATATTGTGCTTTTTGGAGGTTCTAATCATTTCAGCAGTAGCGTCTTAAACAGCAGTATTACTATAAGCAGTTGCTTCAAAATGTGAATTAACTTGTTGAAACTGTGGCTTTAACATCCATGTGACTAGTGTATATGGTATTTGCTCTCCATTAGCAAAATAATTCATTGTTAGGTAAACTTCACTAGTGCAAATTGCAGATCTGTGAGCAATGTTTCCTATTGAATATAAACTACTGTCTAAAATATACATATCAGCAGCCCAGCCTTTATCAGGAAAATTATACTTGGCAAGTTGCTGAAAATGCACAAAGTTATGAAAGTTAAAGGTATGCTGCAAATAACTAGCCATTATTCTATGTATTATTAAATATTTACTAGTTCTGTTAAAAGCAGAGCAGAAGTTAGACACTAAGGATCTCTTTGTGAACTCTGTGTTCTCTATATTAGATTGCTGTTTATATGTAAGAATTTTATTGCTTATGTGGCATACAATATTTATAACTATAAACTTTATAGAAGTACAGTATTAAAGTCAGTGGTACACAGACATTCTGTACATATCCTGTGAAACGTGCTGTCATATGAAATAAATATATCTGTCTTTACCATGCTGACTTCTTTGTTAGAAAGGGAAGAATTTTTCTCAGCCATTTTCCTTGTACTTTACATACACAAGTTTGGTGACGTTCAAACAAAATAAGCTTAACCCTTATTGCCGAATCAGATATTTTAATTCAAGACCTTATTTTCATTTCTCCAGATAGTGCTTCCTCTAAAACTAAGAAGATTTTCCGAGATTACTAATCATTATTAAAAAGTCCATGCCCAGCCTGGCCCACATGGTGAAACCCCATCTCTACTAAAAATATGAAAAAAAAATTAGTTGGGCGTGGTGGTGCAGGCCTGTAATCCCAGCTACTGGGGAGGCTGAGGCAGGAGAATCACTAGAACCTGGGAGGGAGAGGTTGCAGTGAGCCGAGATTGTGCCATTGCACTCCAGCCTGGGCGAGAAGAGCGAAACTCTGTTTCAAAAAAAAAAAAAAGTCCATGCACTTATTCCATAAGAGAGGCCCTCACGCAAAAACATGCTGACTTGAAAATAATACAAGAAATATGAATGATTTTTCTTACCCAAAGTAGAAGGAACAAGTGGGGGGCAAAGAGGAATTGGGACAAAAATAGCCAATCAGAAAAAGGGACTGCCTAAAGAGACCCAAATTAAAAGGCCAGGGCCGGGCGTGGTGGCTCACGCCTGTAATCCCAGCGCTTTGGGAGGCCGAGATGGGTGGATCATGAGGTCAGGAGTTCGAGACCAGCCTGACCAACATGGTGAAACCCTGTCTCTACTAAAAATACAAAAATTAGACGGGCGTGGTGGCAGGCGTCTGTAATCCCAACTACTCAGGAGGCTGAGGCAGGAGAATAGCTTGAATTTGGGAGGCAGAGGTTGCAGTGAGCCGAGATCACGCCATTGCACTTCATCCTGGGGGACAGAGCAAGACTGTCTCAAAAAAAAGAAAAAGAGGCCAAGGCTAGGCAAGGTGCAATGGCTCATGCCTATACTCCCAGCATTTTGGGAGGCTAAGGCAGGAGGATTGATTGAGCCCAGGAGTTCGACACTAGCCTGGACAACATAGACTTTATCTCTGGTAAAAATCAAAAAAATTAGCTGGGCATGGTGGTGCGTCCCTGTAGTCCCAGCTACTCAGAAGTTTGAGGTGGGGCATCACTTGAGCCCAGGAGATCGAGGCTGCAGTGAGTGAGCTATGATCACACAACCACACTCCAGCCTGGGCATCGGACCAAGACCCTATCTCACCAAAAAAAAAAAAAAAAAAAAAAAAGCCAAGGCTAGTATTGCCTTTTTTCAGACCTGTCTGATTGATATTTGAAATTCTTACTTTAATTCTTAATGTTCATTAACCTTTTATTAAGAAGTTACAGAATTATTGGCTTACAAAAACCATTTTAAGATACTTGTAGGTTAATATGGAGTTATAAGAAATAATACAGAGACCCCGTGTACCCCTTTACCCACTTGCCCCCATGGGTAACAGCTTGCAAAACTACAGTACCAGAGCATGACCGAGACATGAACAATACAGAGCATTTCCATCACCATAAGGAGCCCTCATGTTGCCCTTTTCCCACTGCCCTTTCATCCCATCTCCTTTTCCCCTGCCCTTAACCTCTGGCAACCACTAATCTGATCTCCGCATGTATAATTTTCTCACTTCAAGAATGTTACATAAATTGAATCATGGTATGTAACCTTTTGGGGTTGGCTTTTTTCACTCAGCATAATTCTCTGGAGATTCATCTAGTTTGCATGTACTCTGTTCCTTTTTATTGCTGAATAGTATTCCATGGTATGGATGTACCACCGTTTATTTAACCATTCATCCACTGAAGGACACTTGGGTTGTTTCCAGTTTGGTGGCTATTACAAATAAAGCTGCTATGAAGATAAGTTTTCATGTCTCTGGGATAAATGCCCAGGAGTGCAATTGCTTGGTTATGTGGTAATGGCATGCTTCAGTTTTTTAAAAACTGAAACTCTTCCGGAGTGCCTACCCTTTTACATTCCCATCAGCAATGCATGAGTAATCCAGCTTCTCCACATCCTTTTCCTCATTTGGTGGTGTCACTATTTTTTATTTTAGCCATTATAGTAGTGGATGTTTCATTGTAGTTTCAATTTGCATTTCCCTAACAGCTAATGATAAAAATCTTTTGTTTTTGTTTTGTTTTCTGAGACAGAGTCTTGCTCTGTCAACCAGGCTGGAGTACAGTGGCACAATCTTGGTTCACTGCAACCTCCGCCTCCAGGGTTCCGACGATTCTCCTGCCTCAGTCTCCCAAGTAGTGGAGCTTATAGGCGCCTGCCACCATGCCCAGCTAACTTTTTGTGTTTTTAATAGAGATGGGTTTCACCATTTTGGCCAGGCTGGTCTCGAACTCCTGACCTTAGGTGATCCACCCACCTCGGCCTCCCAAAGTGTTGGGATTATAGGCGTGAGCTACTGTGCCCAGCCTGAAGATCTTTTCAAGTGCTTATTTGCCATCTTATATTCAGTGAAGTGTCTGTGGTATTTTACCCATCATCTAAATGGATTTTGTTTTTACAGTTGAGGGCTATGTACATATTCCAGATTCTACTCATCTTTCATTGGATATATGGTTTGCAGATACTTCTCCAGTCTGTAGCTTAGTCTTCATCGTTTTTACATGACCCACAGCCAGATTCTGAGCTCTGCAGGACCAGAAACTATAGCAAGGGTGATAGGCATGTAATAAACAAACTCACAAGAAACTGATGTATAAATTAAAACACCAATTTATTAATGTTAGAAAAATGTCTGACTGTATCAAGGATTACCAATTATATGGAGAGGGGGGAACTCTTAACATGGTTGGTGAAAGGGTAAACTGGCACATCAGCTCAAGAAAACAATTTAACAATGTTAGGTAAAATTCATATACCCTATCAATAAGAAATCCGACTTCTAGAGAAACTAGGACCTGTGGAGCATGAGAGGCATTGTTTGTAATGGTGAAAACCACAAATAAACATCAACAGGGGAGTGGAGTGGCATAGTCATACAGTGGAATCGTAGACAGCAGTGAAAATAAGTGAGTGAAAAGAACATACGAGAAAACCTCACGGTGTAGCCATAAAGCAAGATACAAAATAGTAAGACACCATTTATATAACATTTAAAAGGCCAGGCGCGGTGGCTTATGCCTGTAATCCTAGTACTTTGGGAGGCCAAGGCGGGCGGATCACGAGGTCAGGAGTTCGAGGCCAACATAGTGAAACTCCATCTCTACTAAAAATACAAAAAAATCAGCTGGGCTTGGTGGCGGGCGCCTGTAATGCCAGCCACTTGGGAAGCTGAGGCAAGGAGAATCGCTTGAACCTGAGAGGCGGAGGTTGCAGTGAGCCGAGGTTGCACCACTGCACTCCAGCCTGGGTGACAGTGTGAGACTCCGTCTCAATAAATAAATAAATAAAATAAAAAAATTTAAAATACACGAGGATATATTTTTAGGGGTACATACACGTTAATGGTATAAAAAACATGCAATGGAAATGATAAACACCAAATTTAGAATAGCAATTTACCTCTGGAGAAGAAGACGAGAATGGGATTAGAAAGAGGTATGTGGGGGCTTTAACTGTATCTGTAGTGTATTAGGACAAAAAAAAAGTAGTCAATAGAGTTAAATTTTCTCTTTTTCTTTCTGGCTGCCTGACATCCAGCAGCCATCATGAATGACTCATAAATTATCCAGACCAGGACGTTAATCACTGATGAATTGCTTAACAGATACAAATGGTCATAAGATGCTCTTCATCCTAGAACAGAAACAGCACCTAAAACACTAAGAGAAAACCAGCCAAAACTCACAAGACCACACACCAGGTGTCATCTTGGTCTTCAGATTCAGAAGTCACTTGGGTGCCTGAGGGCAAGACAACAGGCTTTGCATGATTTATGATTGCTGAAACCACACCAAGAAAGAGCTAACCACAGATATTTAAGACAAGACCTGTATGAGAAGAAAAGGACCTTAAGAAAATGCTGAACAGGGCCAGGTGGTGGCTCACGCCTATAATTCCAGCACTTTGGGAGGCTGAAGCGGGCGGATCACCTGAGGTAACGAGACCAGCCTGGCCAACATGGCAAAACCCCGTCTCTACTAAAAATACAAAAATTAGCTGGGCGTGGTGGCAGGCGCCTGTAATCCCAGCTACTCAGGAAGCTGAGGCAGGAGAATTGCTTGAACCCAGGAGGCAGCAGTTGCAATGAGCCACTGCATTCCAGCCTGGGCGACAAGAGTGAGACTCTGTCTCAAAAAAAGAGAAAAAAGAAAAAAAAGAAAATGCTGAACAGAATGCAGTTATAATAAAGTCATGAGGACAACGAATACCAGGGCTGACAAATTTAAAGATACTGCACAGGCTTGATCTGTGGTGATTTTAATAATCACTAGATGATTACTAACCTACATATTTAAACAAAACTGGATGGTCAGTACATGGGTTCTTATGCAACGATTTTCTACATTTCTCAATATTATTAAAAATTATATTGAGACCCTGTAAAATATGTAAGTTTGTGGACATGTAGCTCTCTATCTGGAAGGCTATACTGTAAAATTTTAAGAAGTTGATGGGTACAGAATTGGATTCAAGAGAAAGGGCATGACCTTATGGCGGGCAGTCAGGAGCTAAGAAAACATAGTAGCCCATTTCTCCTTCCGGCGAGATAGACATTTGCCAATCAGACCAGTACTGCCTGTTCCAGCGTTTGGGTGATCCCTGTCTCAACAGTACTAGAAATAATAACACATCTTCCCCCTAAGGCTCCATCCCCCTTCTATCCACTATCAGTTATCAGTCTTCCTATGAAGCCGGGATTGGCTTTGGGCATTTCCAGGCCTTCAGTCATACACTTTCTCCCCACAGGCCCCCTTCCCCAATACACACTCCCCAGTGATATTATTCGGAATATCCACAAGAGATGTTATTTTTGATGTCACAGACGGGGTCCACCCTTTGATATTTTTTGTCATATCTTAGGGAGATATTACTTCAAATATCACAGTGGGTGTACACCCACTGTGATGTTATTCGCAATACCCTAGGGAGACATAACTTTTAATACCACAGTAGGTGTACACACTATTTGTGTATATCTGCTGTGATATTATCCCTAATATCCTAAAAATAAATAGAACTCCTAATATCACAGTTGGTGTACACACTGTGATATTATTCATAATATTCCAGCGGGATGTTACTCCTCAGGTCACAGGGGGTTAATACCCTGGGACAGTATTCCTCATATTCCAGGGCGGTGATACTCCTGAAGTCACAGGGTGTGTACCCCCTGCAATATTATTCATCATATTCTAGGGGGATGTTACTCCTAATGTCACAGGGATGTACCCCCTGTGATATTATTCATAGTATATGAGAGGGATATTATTACTAATGTCACAATGCGTGTACACCTTGTGATATTATTTGTAATATCCTAATGTCACAGGGGGTGTGTTCCCTGTGATATTATTCCTAATATCCTAGACGGATGTTGCTTCTAACATCACAGGGTGTGTACACCTTGTCATATCATTCATAATATCCTAAAACTACGTTATTCCTCATGTCACAGAGGGTGTTCACCCTGTGATATTATTCGTAATAGTTTTGTGGGATGTTACTCCCAATGTCACATGGGGTGTACACAGAGTCACACAGTGATATGACTTGTAATATTCTATAGAAATGTTACTCGTGAATCACAGGGGCTGTACCTCCTGTGATATTATTCGTAATATTCTAGGGGAATGTTACTACAATTGTGACACGTGGTGTACACCCTGTGATATTACTCGTCATATCATAGCGGGCTGTTACTACTAATGTCACAATGCGTGTACACCCTCTGATATTATTCGTTATATCCTCGGGGGATGTTACTCCTAATGTCACATGGGGTGTACTCCCTGTGATATTCTTGTTAATATCCTAGGGGGATGTTACTTTTAATGTCACCGGGGGTGTATATCATGCGTATTCAACGCCTGTGATACTATTCCTAATACCCTAGGGGCATGTTCCTCCTAATGTCACATGGGGTGTACACCATGTGTGTTCACCTGCTGTGATATTATTCGTAATATCCTAGGGGAATGTTACCCCTGATGGCACAGGAGGTGTACACCATGTGTGTAAACCGCCCGTGTCATTATTCGTAATATCCTAGGGGGTTGTTTCTTTTAATGTCACAAAGGGTGCACAAAATGTCACAGAAGGTGTACACCTTGTGACGTTATCTGTAATACCCTAGAAGGATGTTACTCCTAATATGTCACAGGGGTGTACACACTTTGATATTATTTGTAATCTCATAGAGAGATATTACTTCAAATATTACAGTGGATGTACACACATAGTGTATACCCTGTGATATTATTCATAATATCCCAGGGAGATACAACTCCTGATATCACAGTAAGTTTACCCCGTGTGTGTACACCCTTGATATTAGTCGTAATAACCAGGGCAAATATGACTCCTAATATCACACAGTCTGCACACCCTGTGATATTTTTCATAATATTTTAGGGAGATATTGCTTCTAATATCACAGTGGGTGTACCCCATGTGTATACTCTGTGACAGTGTTTTTTATATCCTAGGGAGGTATTACTCGTAATATCACAGTGGGTGTTCACCCTGGGATGTCATTCTTATTTGACCTTGCTGCCTTTTTTAACCCATCCTGCAAAAGGAATGGAACAGATAAGATATTGAGATGAGACTGTGCTGCCGTGCGGCTGCACGGCTGCCACAGGACACCTTTAATATCCCTGTTTCTCAGGCTGTAGATCAAGGGATTCAGCATGGGGGTGACCACTGTGTACATCACTGAGGCCACTGCACGCTTTCTCAGGGAAGACGACACATCTGAACTGAGGTACCCTCCAACGCCTGTTCCATAAAATCAGCAAACAACTGACAGGTGAGATCCACAGGTGGCGAAGGCTTTATAGCTCCCACCTGATGATGAAACCCTCAGAATGGAGGAAACAATTTTATAGTAAGAGAAAAGGGTCCCCGAGATGGGAAGAAAACCAAATATGGCAGCAGGGAAATACATGATAATGTTATTGGTGAAGGTGTCACAACATGCAAGATGGGGGAGTTGAGAAGGGTCACAGAAGAAATTAGGAATTTCCACATCCTTGAAGCAGGTGATTTGTAAGGCGATCAAGTTTTGCAGCTGGGAGTCTAAAAGACTGAGAAAAAAAAAGACAACAAAACCAGGAAGCCACAGAAACACGGGTTCATGATGGCTGAATGATACAGAGGGTGACAGATGGCTACAAACTGGTCATAGGCCATCACACTCAGGAGCATGTCTCTCTTCCATGCCTCCAAAAATGGCAGAGAGAGACATCTGAGTCAGGCAGCCTGCATAGGAGATGACTCTGCTGTGAGATTGGATGTCCACGATCATCTTGGGGACCGTGGTGGAGGTGAAACCGATGTCAGGCAAGGACAGGTTGCAGAGGAAGAAGTGCATGGGGGTGTGGAGGTGGGAGTCAGGGCTGACGGCCAGGATGCTGAGCAGGTTCCACAGCACCGTGACCAGGCACACAGGCACAGCCCAGTGACGACCAGCTGCAGTGCTGGATCCTCTGAGAGTTCTAGGAGGAGGAATATAAAGACATCTGTTAGATTCTGTGGGTCTGTATAGTTTGGACATCTTTTGCTTAGAAAAGAGGGTTGAAAAACCGGAAACAAGTAAACCAACACCCAGCATTGTGTCTGCATTTTGGATATAAGCAATTCACAAGTCATGTTTTCAGATTTCAGAGCAATCCACACTCAGCAATATTTTACAGTTCTGACAAACTCAATTGTCTTCTAATGCTTTCATCATTGATTTCTGTGTTATTCACTTCTTGCTCTACACACCTGCCTTAGAGACACTAGATTCAAGAATGTTCCAAGAACCAGATCATCATATATAACAAATTCGTAATTGCTAGAAAATATAGCCTATCTTTTCCGAAGAAAAATATGTAATAAAACCATTCTCTTCACTTTAAGAAAAAGGTTATCCTAATTAAAGGAAATTAAGAACTCAAATATTTTATTTTATTCTAATAGATTGATACAAATTCCCTTGATTTAGAACATTTATAAACACTGTATAACAGCTGAAACCATGCCATCTGGAAATGAAATTAAAGTTGATAGTTCATAAGCAGAAAATAGTTCCACATGCCAGTTAGGTCCTAGTGATTTCATTATGCTTTCTGACTTTTCTCCTTCAAGAGAGTAATTGCTTACTCAAATCGGTGCATCTTGTTTTAAAATTCATGTAAGCTATAACTCCTGTCCTTAGCTTAGGTGGACTTAGAATTTTCATAAGAACGTTTGGCCAGATGCGGTGGCTCACGCCTGTAATCCCAGCACTTTGGGGGGCCGAGGAGGGTGGATCACGAGGTCAGGAGATCAAGACCATCCTGGCCAACATGGTGAAACCCCACCTCTACTAAAACTGCAAAAACTTTGCCCGGTATGGCGGCGCGCACCTGTAGTCCCAGCTACTCGGGAGGCTGACGCAGGAGAATGGCTTGAACCTGGGAGGCAGAGGCTACAGTCAGCCGAGATCACACCACTGCACTCCAGCCTGGGCAACAAGAGCAAAACTCCGTCTCAAAAAACAAAAAACGAAAAGAATCAAGTAAGTCGAAGTCACGCTGATGACAGCCAATGTTTGTGAACCAAGGAAGTGTCGATTCAGTAATTGACATAGATGTTTCCTTTTGCTATCTCCTATGTGCCAAGCAAGATATAGACTCTGGGGAATCAGAAACAGAAGACACTCACTTGTTCCTCTCACAATACTCAGTACTTACCGAGACAAAGACAAAACAAAATGTCCTGTTTGGAATGCAGGGAAACCAGAACTTCAGGTCAGGGGATATTTCCGGTGAATTGTATGGACTTTAAGCTTAAAATATTAATGAATGTATCTAAAATTCACTTTGCCTTTACTTTATGCATCCATCACATAGAGATCACGCAGCGGGCACCCACGATCGGTTTCATCATCGCTCACTTCCATTGGATCAACTAGATCAACTCAGATGAGAGTGCTGAGTCTCAGAGGATGGACGTCTCACCCTTTGCCATACAGATAAGTAGAAAGGGTGGTATTCCAAATTCATGGCCAGACTCTAAGTCCCGGGTACTATACTTCATGGTCTTCCAACTCTCAAAAAGTTGTGGTTTTGTTTTTGTTTTTGTTTGAGACAGAGTCTCATTCTGTTGCCCAGGCTGGAGTGCAGTGGAGTGACGTTGGCTCACTGCAACCTCCGCATCCCAGGTTCAAGCTATTCTCCTGCCTCAGCCTGCCAAGTAGCTGAGATTACAGGCACACGCCACTACGCCTGGCTAATTTTTTTCTATTTTTAGTAGAGATGGGGTTTCACCATGTTGGCCAGGCTGGTTTCAAACTCCTGACCTTGTGATTCGCCTGCCTCAGCCTCCCAAAGGGCTGGGATTACAGGTGTGAGCCACCACACCCAGCTTCAAAAAGTTTTAAGCAGAGCTCAGAGGTCTTAACCACAGGCACATCTGAGGAGCATTTTTGAAACGGTTTCCAGCTTCCTCAATAGGAATGGAAGCCAATCTCCGAACTGATGACTCCTTTGAGGAAGTCGAGAGCTGTAAGGAAAGCCAGGAACAGGGGCAAGGGAGAGATGCATCCCGAATGATCCTGTACTAATTCTTTCTGGAATCCTTGATGTGATCTCAGCTGCCCTTTCTATACTTGACACAGTGATTGTGGCACCCACTGGTCTAGCTGTGGTCTACAAGGAACCCCCAAAGGGAAGGGCACAGTGAGCAGGGGCATCGGCCTGAGTGACAAGGATTTGAGAGGGCAGGTTGGATGCAGGGAGAGGACTGGCCAAATGCCATGTGTCTGGACTTAGACTGCCTGGTTCAAATTGGACTTCACCCTTTTTGACTTCATGATCTGGTACAAGTTATATGAAAATGCGTTGCTCCTTTTCTAGTCTGTAAAATAATAATGAAATGTGCACTAATAACTGGGAGACTACGCAGATGAAATGAAACAAGCTGCATAGAGCACAGAGCTCAGAGTCTGGCCTTTAGGAAGCCCTCAGTAAGGGTTCATGGTGCCATGGTGTCTGTCATCATCCTCTTTATCCTCATCATCACCTTCATAATCTTTTTGTTGTTCTTAGGGAATAGTTTAGAGAGACTCATTCCCTGCTATCATGGATGAGATGTCTATGAAAAGGACAACCAGTGGGGGAGGAAAGCAAAATTTTGAATAAGATTTCTGAGACCCCCCACCACAACCAAGAACAGAAACTCCACAGTCTGCTGAGTGGACAGTTTGCACATTGGTCTCCTCCCATCTGCCCACCGCACTCTCTTGTTTGTCTTGAGGATGAGGAAACAAAACAAGCCTCCCAGCGGTCCCTCAGCACTCACTGAACTGCCCTTCCCCTCTGCTAGGCCGTGACCACGGAGAACAGGTCCACTGTCCTCCCTGCGTGGTGCATGATGGAGGCTCAGACTCCGTCCTCAAGGCTGGCAAGAAGACAGGGTGAGACATGAGCCTCCTGATACAGGTGACGGGTGTGGAGCCCACAGGACTGGAACCTCACACTGCAGGGCTGGAGGCACAGACTGAGTATTTACTATTCTGTGGCCTGGGGGCCTCAAGGCACAGAGCTCCTCATTAGCCAAAGTCACCCAAGTTCCCCAACCTCTAAGGATTTCCTCATAATAATGCAAGAAGAAGAGAAAAGTGAGTGTCCATAGAAGCTTTGGGGCTCTTCCTCTAATCAGGAGAAAGCTGGTACGTATTATTCGCTTCTTTCCTTTTTAAAGATCCAACTGCTTTCATTTTCATCTTTGATTATGGGAAAATATACCACATATAAATATTAAAAATTATAAATATATATTATTTCCTATAGAATGGCCAGTATAAACATTTACAATTTCCACTGTTTTTCAGTTTACAGTTTAATGACATTAAGTACATTCACATTGTTTAGCAACCATCACCGCCATCATCTCCAGAACAGTTTTATCTTTCAAAATGGAAATTGCACCCATTCACCAAACTCTCCATTCCTCTCTCTCGCCCACCCCTGGGGGCCACCATTCTAGTTCACAACTCTATGAGTTTAACTACTCTAGACACTTGATAGAAGTGGAATCATACCGCATTTCTTTTTTTTTTTTTTTTTTTTTTTTTGCAGACCGAGTCTTTCTCTGTCGCCCAGGCAGGAGTGCAGTGGTGTGATCTCGGCTCACTGCAACCTCCACATCATGGGTTCAAGCGATTCTTGTGTCTCAGTCTCCCAAATAGCTGGGATTACAGGCGTGTGCCACCACGCCCAGCTAATTTTTGTATTTTTAATAGAGACGAGCTTTCACCGTATTGGCCAGGCTGGTCTCGAACTCCTGACCTTAAGTGATCCGCCTGCCTCAGCCTCCCAAATTGCTGGGGTTACAGGTGCAAGCCACTGAGCCTGGTCATGTTTATCCTTCTGGGATTTATTTATTTCACTGACGATAATGTCTTCAAGGTTCATCCACGTTGCAGCCTGTGTCAGAAGTGCCTGTCTGGTTTTTTTGTTTGTTTTGTTTTGTTTTGTTTTATTTTGTTTTGTTTTGTGTTTACATGGAGTCTCACTCTGTCGCACAGGCTGGAGTGCAGTGGCACAATCTGGGCTCGCTGCAACCTCTGCCTCCTGGGTTCAAGCGATTCTTGTGCCTCAGCCTCCCAAGTAGCTGGGAATATAGGCACACGCCACCATGCTCATCTAATTTTTTGCATTTTCAGTAGAGACAGGGTTTCACCAAGATGGCCAGGCTGGTCTTGAATTCCTGACCTCAGGTGATCCGCCCACCTCGGTCTTCCAAAATGCCGGGATTACAGGCGGAGCCACTGCACCAGCCAGAAGTGCCTGCCTTTTGAAGGCTGAATAGTCTTCCACTGTATGAATGAACTGCAGTGTGCTTTTTCATTCATCTGTCCACGAACCCTCGGGTTGCTTCCACATTTTGGCTGTTGTGAATAATGCTGCTATGAATATGGGTGTACAAATATCTCTTCCACTCCTGGCTTCTAATTCTTTTTGGTAGGTACCCACAAATGCAACTGCAGGAACATCTGATAATTCTGTTTCTAATTTTTCCAGTACACGCCATACTATTTTCACTGTTGCTTCACGGTTTTACATTCCCTGCAATCATATTCGAGCATTCCTACTTCCCTCTAGTCTCACCAATGCTTGTTTATCATATCCATCCTAATGTGTGGTATCACATTATTGGTTTGATTTGCGCTTCCCTATGATGAGTGATTTTGAACATCATCTTAGATGCTTATTGGCCATTGCTGTATCTTCTTTAGGGACACGTCTACTCGAGTCTTCTGACCATTGTCAATGGGATGCTTTGGGTTTCTTGTTGCTTAGTTCTAGCTGTTCTTTATACATGATGGATATCAGCCTCTTTTCAGATATATGATTTGCAAATATTTTTCCGAATCCATGGGTTATCTTTTCACTCAGTTCACAGTGTTTTTTGATGCACAAAAGTGTCTGTCATTTAGATGTAATCCAAGGAATCTAATTTTCTTTCGTTGCCTATGCTTTTGGTGTCATATCCCAGAAAGCATTGCCCAATCTGATGTCATGAAAGTGTGGCCAATGTTTTCTTTGAGGCATATTATACTTTTAGCACTTGGGGTTAGGTCTTTGATCCAGTTTGTGTTAATTTTTGCACCTGGTGTGACATAGGGTCCACCTTCATTCTTCTGCATGTGGAAATCAAGTTTCTCCAACACCATTTCTTGAAAAGGCTGCTTTTCCACCAATGAGCTTTCTTAGCACTCATGTTAAAAATCATTTGAACACATAGGTGAGAAGTTATTTCTGGGCTCAAAAACAAACAAACCACAACAAACAACAGATAAGGATACAGCATGGGCCGGGCGTGGTCGCTCACGCCTGTAATCCCAGCACTTTGGGAGGCCAAGGCGGGCGGATCACCTGAAGTCAGGAGATCAAGACCAGCCTGACCGACAGGGAGAAACCCCCGTCTCTACTAAAAATACAACATTAGCTGGGCATGCTGGCGCATGCCTGTAATCCCAGCTACTCAGGAGGTGGAGGCAGGAGAATCACTTGAACCCAGGAGGCAGAGGTTGTGGTGAGCCAAGATTGCACTGTTACACTCCAGTCTGGGCAAGAAGAGCAAAACTCCATCTCAAAACAAAAAACAAAAAACCAGCATGATTTCAAGAGCAGAAGACAAGAGCTTAAAAACCAGCATAATGAGAAAGTTAGGAAGCTTCTTACCAAAGCATCTGGAAATATGCAAGAAATTCTTGTGAACTAAAATTTTCATACTGTACTATCAAACACTAGAACTCACTTACTCCATCTTTCTGTATTTTGGGACCCAATTATCCACTTCTCCTCATTCCCCATCCACCCCTTTTCTTCCTAGCGTCTGCTAACCCCCTTTATACTCTCCACCTTCCTGAGATTCCTTTTGTTTGTAGGTGTGTGATGGAGTCTCTTTCCATTGCCCAGATTGGAGCATACAGGCACAGTCCAGGCTCACTGCAACCTCCACCTCCCGAGTTCAAGCGCTTCTTGGGCCTCAGCCTTCCGAGTAGCTGAGACTACAGGCACGCATCACCACGCCTGGCTAATTGTTTGTGTTTTTAGTAGAGACGGGGTTTCACCATGTTAGCCAGGCAGCTCTCAAACTCCTGGCCTCAAGTAATCCGTGCAACTCGGCCTCCCAAAGTGCTGGGATTACAGGCCTGAGCCACCTGGCCAAGATTTTCTTTTTTGTTCCTACGTATAAGTGAGGACATGTAATATTTGTCATTCTGTGCCTGGCTTATTTCACTTAACATACAGACCTGCAATCTCATCCATTTTTTCTGCAGCGGAGAGGATTTTATTCCTTTTTAGGCTGAATAATACTTCATTGTGTGTGTATACCGCAGTTTCTTAATTGAAACAAATTTCTAAAAAGCAAATATTTAAAAAATGTTTCGGAATGTGAAACTTTAGGGATATTGTGCCCATTTTATTCTTTTCTATTTCCCATTTTATGTATATGCAAGTGTATAATAAAGCAGCAATCAATGTGTGTATAAATCTGTAACTTCAACAAATGTAAAATGAAAATGCTAAGTGGTGGCTGGGCGCGATCGCTCACGCCTGTAATCTCAGCACTTTGGGAGGCTGAATCAGGCGGATCACCTGAGGTCGGGAGTTCAAGACCAGCCTGACCAATATGGAGAAACACTGTCTCTACTAAAAATACAAAAAAAAAAAAAAAAAAAAAAAATTGCCGGGCATGGTAGCGCATGCCTGTAATCCCAGCTACTTGGAAGGCTGAAACAGGAGAATCGCTTGAATACGGGAGGCAGAGGCTGCAGTGAGCCGAGATCATGCCATTACACTCCAGCCTGGGCAGCAAGAGTGAAACTCTGTTAAAAAAAAAAAAAAAAAAAAAAGAAAAGAAAAAAAGAGAAAATATTACTTCCATTATCGCAGGGGGTGCTCACCCCTGATGATATTGTTTTCTAATATCCAGGGAAGGAGAGTATGATATTACTCCCAATATCGCAGGGGGTGTACACTTTTTTGTGATATTGTGTCTAATATCCGGGGAAACAGAGGATGATATTACTCCCAATATCGCAGAGGGTGGACACCCCCCTGGGATATTGTTCCTAGTATCCCAACGGGGAGAGGATGATATTACTCCCCATATCGAAGGAAATGTACACCACCCCTGTGATATTGTTCCTGATATCCAGAGAGGAAAAGAATGATATTACTCCCAACAGCGAAGGAAATGTATACCCGCGCTGTGATATTTTTCCCAGTATCCGGGGGGGAGAGGATCATATTACTTCCAATATCGCAGGGTGTGTACACCCCCTCTGTTATCTTGTTGCTAACATCCAGGTTTGGGGAGGAAAACATTACTCCCAATATCACAGGGGGAGTACACCCCTCCGTGACCTTGTTAGTAATTTCCTGGGTGGAGAGGATGACATTACTCTCAATATCGCAGGGGTGTACACCCCACTGTGATATTTTTCTAAATATTCAGGGCGGGAGACGATAATATTACTCCCAATATCGCAGAAGGTGTACATTCCCTGACCATCAAACATAAGAAGTCCATCAACCTGTTTAGTTTTCTTTAGATCTGTATTTGAATTTGTGTTGTCCGTTTGTTTATTTATTATTTTTGAGACACAGTCTCACTCTGTCGCCAAGGCTGGAGGGTAGTGGCGCGATCTAGGCTCACTGCAACCTCCGCCTCCCGGGTTCAAGCAATTCTCCCACCTCAGGCTCCCTAGTAGCTGGAATTACTGGCACGCGCCACTACGTTCGGCTAATTTTTGTATTTTTAGTAGAGAAGGGGTTTCACCATGTTGGCCAGGCTGCTTTCGAACTCCTGACCTCAGGTGATCCGCCCTCCTCGGCCTCCCTAAGTGTTGGGATTACACGCGTGAGCCACCGCTCCTGGCCTGTCCATTTATTTTTGTTTTCTTTTTGTCACACTAAAATATAAGCTCCATGAGAGCAGTGACTCTGGATCTGTGGGGCCCGGAATAAACAGCGACTGACGCCGACTGCCTTCAGCAAGAGTCCGCTGGAGGATGGCTGGATATTTCTGGGAGGGTCGCTCTGGCAGGGGCCGCTGGAGCTACCCCAGCAACGCCATCCAAATCAACCTGAACGAAGAAGTGCGGACACTCGCCCTGGCCCCTCCGTCCTGAAAAGCTGACCCGCGCAAACAGCAGCGAACAGCAAGACTCAGTTCTGGGTCGCTGCCGCCGAACTTTCCCAGGCCGGAAACAGCGTGGAAACGTTGCCGGAAGTGGAGACTGAAAGCGGCGGAAGGGACGCTGGAATGTGGAGCGGTTGTGGGGCGGCAGCTGCGGAACTGCGCGATTGTGGTTCCCGCCGTATTTCCCGTTCCCCATCTAGTAACTCCCATCTCAGCCCACGTATCTCCCTGAGTGGAAATCTCGGGCCCCAGACCAGTCGATTGGGAGGTCCGCCCTCCCCTTCAGCGACTTGGTCTGTGTTTTGGCAGTTGCCGCGACAACAGTCACTTCCGGGAAGGGGCTCTGCGAATCTCCTTCCGTCGGTCCGCTCAGAATCAGCTGTCCTCTCAGACTGTGTGGGTGGTTTCCCCGGCCGCAGCTCCGTACGGGCTTGGATTGCTGGGCCTCGGTGCACCCCAGCCTCCCCCACTCGGGTTCTGAGCTTGAGCTGGCGGCTCTTTAACTCTGCTTCACTGTTGCTCTTGGCAACATCCACTTCCGGGAGCGAGTGCCGTTTCCCCCGCTCACCGCGGGCTAGGGAGCGTGGGATTCCGGACTGTGAGCGGCTGTTAGTGCGTCGCAGCTGCTGGCGATCCGGCGACCCTCGGCCGGCAGGACCCGCGGGCCACGCAGCCGGGGCCTTCTCAACGCCTCAGTACCTCGGCGGGACCGCCATGGTTCTGCTGCACGTGAAGCGGGGCGACGAGAGCCAGTTCCTGCTGCAGGCGCCTGGGAGTACCGAGCTGGAGGAGCTCACGGTGCAGGTGGCCCGGGTCTATAATGGGCGGCTCAAGGTGCAGCGCCTCTGCTCAGGTGCGGCTCGCGGGTGGGCCCATCCCGGACAGATCGAGAGACCGGCGTGGGATGGAGAAAGAGGGGCAGGGTGGGCCGAGGGGTCAGGTTTGTGAAGATTATTGAAGAGATTTGCAGCAGCCGGGGTTGAAACGGGACACTAGGGTTAACCGGAGATGAATAAGGAACCGGAGAAGATCCGGCCTGTCTGACACCCCGGGCTGGGAGGTGGGCCCAGGTGCCTCTCGGAGCCAGGATTTGGGGTGCTGCGAATAAGTGGAAATGGGCTGGGGAGGGAGGAGGGAGCCGAAAGGCCGGGCTGAACAGCAGACTTAGTGCAATTAATCACGTGTGAGGGGTGAGATGAGAACTAGGTGGGCTTTTAAAAGCTGAATTTACTATTTTTAGTCGCCCAATGTAAAGCAGCGAGCCACCTGGCTTTGGGACGGCCCCTTACAGTTGAGGAAGCCTTGGTGATCTTTCCCCGCCCTGGAAACGGCCTGTTGCGTTGCGGCGCCGTCTCCCTACCCCGCGCAGGTTCCAGGGCACCCGCTTTGCCGCAGAACTTTCCGGCGGTGGAAGGGCCCCCATCTGTGCTGTCCATTGGGCAGCTGCCGGCCACTTGTGGCCGTAGAGCATTTGGAATGTGGCTAGTGCGGCCAGGCAACCGAATTTTACATTTGCATTTTAATTAATTAAATATATATAAATATAAATAAATACCATATATATAGTATATATGAATATAAATAAATTATATATATGTATATATAAATATAAATAAATTATATATATATATATATATATGGTATGTGTGTGTGTGAGAGACAGGGTCTTACTGTTGCCCAGGCTGGAGTGCAGTGGCGCGATCTCTGCTCACTGCAACCTTCGCCTCCCGGGTTCAAGCTATTCTCCTGCCTCAGCCTCCCAAGTATCTGAGATTACAGGCGCCCACCACCACGCCCAGCTAATATTTGTATCTTTAGTGGACACGGGGTTTCATCATGTTGGCCAGGCTGGTCTCGAACGCCTGACCTCAGGTGATCCGCCTGCCTCCGCCTCCCAAAGTGCTAGGATTACAAGTGTGATCCATCGCGTCTGGGTCATTTTAATTTAAATAAATTTAAATCGCCAAGTGGAGCGAGTAGCTGCCGCATTAGACAGCATAGTTTTTGAACTTGACGGGATGATACTTCCTGATGTGGTCTAGGATATTACTGTTTATATAACTATCGTGTATATATAGAATATACAAACGTAACTATTTGCAATAAATAGTATATTCATTTATGTGATTTATTAAATTGCATGAATATGTGATTTATTATGAAATGTATTGATTACATTATATGAATATGTGAGTTTTGCACCGTGGAGAAATTCCTGAGGGTCATGGTTCTTTTCATGAAACTTATGTGTAGTTTCTTAATTGAGGTTCCAACACAAACTCAATATTAAATGTTATTTTTAAGTTAAAGCATTTGAGGAGAAAAGGAATTCATCTTCTTTTCCTATAACGTTATAAATTGGAAATGTGCTGAATGCTAAGAGTCACATTAGTGAACTGAAAATTCATGTATTTATTCTGCACCAGTGCTCAGCCTTCAGAAGACAAGGATGGGGCCGGGCGTGGTGGCTCACACGGGTAATCCTGACACTTTGAGAGGCTGAGGCGGGCGGATCACTTGAGCCTAGGAGTTCTAGACTAGCCTGGGCAACATGGTGAAACCCAGTCTCTACTAAAAATACAAAACGTGGTGACACATGCCTGTTGTCCCAGCTACTCGGGAGGCTGAGGCGTGAGAATCGCTTGAACCCGGGAGGCAATGCTGCAGTGAGCTGAGATCGCTGCAGTGAGCTGAGATCGCGCCACTGCACTCCTGCCTGGGTGACAGAGGGAGACCCTGTCTCAAAGAAAAAAAAGACAAGGATGAATAAGACCAGTACCATGCCCCCGTGTCAAAGGCCCAGGCCAGGTCTGGCACATAGCAAGTGGCATATAAATGTTTGTTCCATAAAATAGTGAGCCAGATGGGCAAGACCCCTGACTCTTTGGAGCTTACATTCCAATGGGGTATGAGGTGTTATGATTGTGATACTGTCTTTCACTTATTTTTAAGAAATGGAAGAATTAGCCGAACATGGCATATTTCTCCCTCCTAATATGCAAGGACTGACCGATGATCAGATTGAAGAATTGAAATTGAAGGATGAATGGGGTGAAAAATGCGTACCCAGCGGAGGTGCAGTGTTTAAAAAGGATGATATTGGACGAAGGAATGGGCAAGGTAAGTGAGGATTTCTCTTCTATGTGCATGCTTGATACAGGCATAAGTATGAAAACAGTTCCTTTTTTTTTTTTTGAGACGGATTCTTGCTCTAGCCCAGGCTGGAGTGCAGTGGCACAATCTCAGCTCACTGCCACCTCTGTCTTCCAGGTTCAAGCGATTCTCCTGCCTCCGCCTCTTGAGTAGCTGGGACTACAGGCATGTGCCACCACACCTGACTAATTTTTGTATTTTTAGTAGAGACGGGGTTTTGCCATGTTGGCCAGGCTGGTCTCGAACTCGTGACCTCAGATGATCTGCCGGTCTCGGCCTCCCAAAGTGCTGGGATTACAGGTGTGAGAAAGCAGTTCTTTACGTTTAAAAATTGACCTCGTCATTTCTCTACAGACTTACAAAATACTGTACTCTGTAGCTCCTTTGGTAAAACTCTAATCTAGGATGAATTAGGTAGATAAAGGAAGCTTTTGTCTTGCTCTTTAATAAGTTGCAGCTTGCTTTTATATGTATTCGACGAACCAGATGAAATGACCCTTTCCCTTCTGTAGCTCAAAAATGGTTGAGTATTGGCAATTTCATGTGTTTCCACCTAATAATTGTTGGCAGGTCCTCACCGCAATGTATTCAGAGTTGTGTTTTGTTACTGTTCGCAAATGTTGGGGGATCTTTCGAGATGGACTGTGTGAAAGAGGAAAGGGAAAGCATGTCAGCACATGGACTTCCCTGATCAAGGACATGCTTCTCTCTGGGGCAGAGCACTTCAGTACACGGCAAAACACTGAGGAAATTCCTCTCCTTTCAGTGTTTGGCTGATCATGTGGAATTGATGATAATCCTTTTTGATAGCTTATTCTTTTTAACCTGCATTAAAAGCGCCATTTAAAACACTGTAATTGAACAGCCCTAAAACACTGTTAGGAGTAAAAGAACAGTATTCCTGCAAGGCCTTTAGCAGCTCAAAAATACATTTTTTTAAATATCAGGGATAGTAAGAATTCCTAGTATTTTTTCCTTTCAATGTTAACCTGAAAAATGGTTGTCTTCCACAGCTTTCTTACGTAAGAAGATGTGGTAAGATGAGGAAAAAAAATATGAGAACCAGTTAACAGTTCATTATTCATCATTAAACCAATATGTAATATGTTCTTAAATTAACCACCTTTTTTTTTTTTTTTTTTTTTTTTGAGACAGAGTCTTACTCTGTCACCCAGGTTGGAGTGCAGTGGCACAATCTCGGCTCACTGCAACCTCTGCCTCCCGGATTCCAGTGATTCTCCTGCCTCAGCCTCCAGAGTAGCTGGGATTACACATGCCTGCTACCATGCCCGGCTAATTTTTGTATTTTTCATAGAGACAGGGTTTCAGCATGTTGCCCAGGCTGGTCTCGAACTCCTGACCTCAGGTGATCCACCCATCTTGGCCTTCCGAAGTGCTGGGATTACAGGCGTGAGCCACTACGCCCAGCCTAACCACTTCTATTATAATACAATCTTGTGTTTCTAATATTTTCAATGTCTAATTAATACTGTTATTTACTAGGAATGTATGGTTTCAACTTGCCCCATTTTCCCTAGGTTTGGGCATTCCATCTTCTTCTTTTTTTTTTTTTTTTTTTTGGCTTCTAAGCTTTCAAGTTATTATTTTTTCCTGATCTAGGGGTCACCAAATTATGGGCTACAGGTCAAATTTAGCCAGCTGCCTATTGTAAATAAAATTGTAAGGAGACGCAGCTACCCCAGTTATTTAAGTATTGTCTGCTCTTGTGCTACGTGGCAGAGCTGAGTTATCCCACCCAACAAGACTGTGTGGCCTGCAAAGCCTCAAATTTTACTCTCTGGCCCTTTCCAGAAAAAGTTCACCGGCCCTGTTTACCCAACGACATGCATTTCTGTTTTTTGTAGCCTTTGCCACTTTGCGTAAAGCACACTCCAGGTCTCTGCTGTTGGGAAGAGGTCTTCACCTAACTTCCGGCAGCCAGGTTTCTTGCTTCTCTTCCCTAAATTCCACACTCGCACTCTCTCTCAGTTCATTTACCCCCTGACTCAGACAGAGGGGATTGAGGTATTTCAGAAGAGGCTTTGTATTTGACAGCTCTTTCTCCCTCTCTCCTTTTTATTTTTATAGCTCCAAATGAGAAGATGAAGCAAGTGTTAAAGAAGACTATAGAAGAAGCCAAAGCAATAATATCTAAGGTTGGCTTTTTTAAATGATGCACTAAAACTTGTTGGGTTTTTTTTTTTTTTTTTGGAGATGGAATTTTGCTTTTGTTGCCCAGGCTGGAGTGCAATGGTGCGATCTCGGCTCACCACAACCTCCACCTCCTGGGTTCAAGCAATTCTCCTGCCTCAGCCTCCCGAGTAGCTGGGATTACAGGCATGCACCACCATGCCGAGCTAATTTTGTATTTTTAGTAGAGACGGGGTTTCTCCATGTTGGTCAGGCTGGTCTCGAACTCCTGACCTCAGGTGATCCGCCTGTCTTGGCCTCCCAAAGTGCTGGGATTACAGGCATGAGCCACCGCGCCCGGCCTAAAACTTGTCTTTTGAGATAAAACTCCAACTCTGGCTTCCAGAGTTGCCTCTCAGCCAGCCTTCTCTTTCAGCCTTCCGGAGGCAAAGGAAACAAGCGTATTTGGGGTAGGCTGTAGCTTTTCCTTTCATAATCCTGACGGTTGCCCAGAGGCCTCTCCGTTCCTCCAGGCAGACACAAATTTTTGTTGGCTTATGTAAATATAGGTTCACGTATAATACAAATATGTATAATACAAATGTTGATTTCATTTCTTTTACCTTTTTGAAGAACTTAACAAAGTTAAGTAGGGGAGATTTGAATATTGTGGCCATCGAGTAGCTCTCCAGACACTTGATTGACTTAATATGTATTTGATATAAATGGTTTTTTGTAATTGTCTTCAGCATTTTATACAAAGGCTAGTTTATAGAGGGAGGAGCGTAAATTTATACCATTGATATACAGATAATGTGTATCTGGAGGAAGAGAATTTAAGGCTATTGAAAGAAGTGGTATCTGTATCTGTTGCTTGTATTTGTGTGTTGGTGATATTAGTTGCTACCGCTCTCAACTGCAAGTCTCTTGACTGATCACCACTTTTTCTTCTGCTTCTCCTGGTTTGCTCAGCAGAACTGTTATTTTTAAACCAATATTTCTCAAACTTACCAAGCTTTTGACTAATCTTTGAAGAGCCTCAGCAAAGGCTGCCCTGAAGCTCTGTGCCTGTTAATATAGGAAAGGCTTTATGAAGCTCTACAGGAGAGGCCCTGGTTGAGCCCGTCGTTTGCGTGGTGATGGCATCTAGGCATGTGAGCACGTCTCAGGCCATGGCAAGAAAACAGTGGTCTGGCTGTTGTTCTGCACCCTTCTCCCCACACTTTGCTGTGGAACTCCTCTCTCGGTCGCCTCACTTCTCCCCTTTGCCTGTGTACTTCTGAAAGTACTTTTTATCCTTGGTCTTCTTCCTCTCTCAGTATCTTATCTACTCTGCCAAATGCAAATTCCACCCTCTGCAGATAACTCTGAAGCTTCCATCCTTTCCCCCTGACATCTTGCTTCACTTCCAACCTGAATTTCCAGCTGGTTGTGAGATGGTTCTATCTGAACACCCAGTCAGCACTTTGAAGTCCAGTTTTCTAGAAATGAGCTCTTTGCTTCCTCACTCCTCTCCCTCTCTGTTCTGTCCCTGAGAATCAGCACCTCCTATGAGCTTCTCTGTTTCCAGTAACAGAACCACAGTGTCTTGGTTTTATAGGGCAAATCCTCAGTGTCATCTTCAACACTTCTCCCTTCTGTCACCTCTAGGTTTGAAGTGGGGTTCTGTACCGTCTGCTCCCATGATGCCTCTTAAGTCCACCTCTTCCTTTCACTTCCACAGCTGTGGCTTTCTTTAAGGCTCTCCTGTAGCCTTTTGCATTCTGATGCCCACTGGGGGTCCTGCCAGTCAATTCAATTCCGTTCTGACACTAACTACTCAGAGACAGCACAGACCCCACAGGTCAAGGGCAGATCCTTCAATTCTGACACTAACTGCCTGGAGTTAGCATCAGACCTAAAAGTTAAAGGGTGAGATCACCAACAAGACTCCTCTTATTTCAGACACCAGCTGCACGTGAGGTCCCCAGGCCACCCATACTTGTGTCCAGCTTGACTACAAATTTGGAGCTTCCCACAACGCCCCCACTGATGTGTGTCACCCGGCACATCAACGTCTTCACCAATCAGGAAGCTTCACTGAGCCATGATGTCTGGGATTTTTATAGCGTTTTTGTTCAGTAGGCATGATGGCTTAAACCACTGGCCACGTGTTTGATCCCAACCTCTAGCGCCTGGAGGTGGAGGAAGGGAGTGAGGCCGAAAGCTCCAACCCTCTAATTATGTGCTTGGTCTCCCAGGCACGGCCAGCCCCTTCCTTGAAACCCAGCGCGGACTACAGGTTACTGTATTAGCACAAGCTCAGGTATGGTGAGAAGGGGCTCGTTATAAATAACAAGACACTCCTGTCACTCAGGAAATTCCAAGAGTTTTGGAGCTCTGTGCCTGGAACTGAGTAGCAAAGACCAGATATATTTGTTATTTCATCACACCTTCCTCTGTACTCTTCAGAGCCTGCTACCTGGTCTCCCTCCAACTAGGTCTGTTCTTTTTTTTGAGGCAGAGTCTTATTCTGTTGCCCAAGCTGGAGTGCAGTGGCACGATTTTGGCTTACTCCAACCTCTGCCTCCCAGGCTCAAGCAATTGTCCTGCCTCAGCCTGCTGAGTAGCTGGGACTACAGGCACCTGCCACCACGCCCAGCTAATTTTTGTATTTTTAGTAGAGACAGGGCTTTGCCATGTTGGCCAGGCTGGTCTCGAACTGCTGACCTCAGGTGATTTGCCCACCTCGGCCTCCCAAAGTGCTGGGATTACATAAGGTGTGAGCCACCACATCTGGCCAACTAGGTCTGTTCTATATCAGCTACAAGATAAATCTCTCAACATTACCACTCCTTCCCAGAAAAGGCAGTCGCTTCCCGTGGCCTAACAGAGGAAAGGTGAACTCTTCAGCCTGGCTTTTGTGGCCATTCAAAAACAAACTTCAGCTGATCCAGCTAGAGCTGGCCTCATCTTCTCTCCTTCCTGCCCCATGCTGAGGGGGCTGGCGCCTGCTTTTCTTTGTTTCAGCTTGTCCTGAAGCACCTGCTGCCATCTGTACCTTTTCAGCCCATCTGCATTTCGAGGCCCACCTGCGGTGCCTGCTCCCCCTGCCGTATCTCCCGATCCTCACTGCCATCTGTGCTGCCAGCATTGGGCTCTTTCTCCTTTGAGAATTCTTTGCACTTCATTGTACTCCATGCTCAGTGCTGCTCACCGTCTGCTTTATAATACAGGCCACGGTGTGCTTCGCTCAGCCCCTGAAATAGATGGTAGTCACTCTGGGAGCAAGAACTGTTTGATTTCTTTTTGTTGCTCTGGCAGTATCTGGCAAGGGTCTTGTACAAGATCTTGATCGAATTTATGGAAGTGATTAGCCACACTGTAGATAACGATGGCTTTCTGCTTGCAGAAACAAGTGGAAGCCGGTGTCTGTGTTACCATGGAGATGGTGAAAGATGCCTTGGACCAGCTTCGAGGCGCGGTGATGATTGTTTACCCCATGGGGTTGCCACCGTATGATCCCATCCGCATGGAGTTTGAAAATAAGGAAGACTTGTCGGGAACACAGGTACGTAGTTTGTGAGTGGGTACTCTGGAGGTTGAGTTCCTGGCCCCCAAAGCCCTTAAGATTTGATGCCCCTCTTCTGGATGTAGTGTTTTGCTCCCTACACAGCTTTCAGGTTTGCTATGCCCTGCTTCAGAGCAGAGTTCTGAATTCAGGAGCAGCCCCTGAGAGTGGGTACTCATGAGTGAGGGGTTTGGCCCCACACACAGGAGGCAGTGGACGCAGTTTGTGAGGCCGCTCATCAGGAGTGACTGCAAACATTTCCACTGTCTTTGGCTGCTAGGAAGCCAGCTACCTAATTTCTTCCTATTTCTACCCAAATGCGTCAGTCCCTTTGCATGGAAATTTGTGTTTCTAGTCTTACCTGTTGCTTCATGTTATTTTCTGACCCTCATGTTCCATTTTCCTTGGGTTTTCTCACTTCTTATCCTATTGGACAATATTCTTTGTCTAAGCCATGTTAAATAAATGAAATATGCAGAAGTAAACAGGCAGCCCCTTTATACCTCGATTTAAACACCCAGCACGATGCCAGTGCCCTTCCCTGGCAGTGGCCTACAGATCTGTCTAAGACGAACTATATGGATCAAGGTGCAAATGAGATAGGATCTCCCTGTTGTCCAGAGGAGGAAGTTAACTGAGTCAGGGCATGAGTGGAAACTTAACAGGGAAGGTACTAAAGTCAGCAAGGACTTAGAGTGAGGTGCGGGAGTCAGGCCTCCCATGGTGAGCACGGGGAGAAATCTGTCCCCTGCCCCCTGCTGGGAGGGGCTCAGCTGGGCTCTGCCCCCTGGGTGGGAACACACAGTCAAGCCATTCTTACGACTGGCCCCAGGCAGGGCTCAACGTCATTAAAGAGGCAGAGGCGCAGCTGTGGTGGGCAGCCAAGGAGCTGAGAAGAACGAAGAAGCTTTCAGACTACGTGGGGAAGAATGAAAAAACCAAAATTATCGCCAAGATTCAGCAAGTAAGTACTTTTTGCTTTAATGTGTCAGTAGTTTTTGTTATTTCCCTTCAAACTGATAAAAATGTACAGTGAATCCGAAAGATTTAAACTACTGGTACAAATATTTTAATCTTATTGGCTCGGGTTTAAACTAAAAATATCCTCTTCCTGCACACCAACAAAAACTGGAAGAAAATATGGATTGAGTACCAATATCTAGAGTTTGTTTTAATATGTGGGGGAGAGGAAATATACTATGTTAATTTCAAGCGTAAAAATAGGGCTGCAAGTAAACAGATATGTTCCTTGAAATGTAAAATTTCGCCCGTCACTGATTTCAGGCTTTTTCAAACTGCTGATGCTGTGTACAGGAGGGGGAGGAGGAAAGGTTCGAGACCTTTGAAGGACATCGTGTAGCGCTGTAACCTGAGGGGCCGCCTTGGTTTTGTGGGTGCTCCTACGTCACTAGGCTGTGATTTTGGGGAAATGGGGCCCTCCACCTTATGTAGATCCAGAGTCCGTGGCTCTGAGCATCCTCCCTTTCCCACTGGACCTGCCTGCAGTGTCTGCCTTGGGAATGGTCAAGACAGAGATGGTATCGTGCAGCCTCTGGTCTCCACACAGTGAGAGTCCAGGGCTCAGGGCTGCTCAAGACCAAGGCTTCCCTTGATGCTTCACTTCGGGTGATCAGACATGGGGGACCTGTTTATCTTTAGTAGCCGGCAAAGGCAATCGTAAAACATTTGTTGTAACTTCAGGATTGTCACTCTAAGAACACCTTAATCCACAATTTGCTCTGCTCTCCTCTTTGCAGAGGGGACAGGGAGCTCCAGCCCGAGAGCCTATTATTAGCAGTGAGGAGCAGAAGCAGCTGATGCTGTACTATCACAGAAGACAAGAGGAGCTCAAGGTAGCAGGGGACAGATGGGCTTTCTGCAGTGCTGGCGCCCACACATAGCCTGTGTGCCTTACCTGGGGCTGCTGGGGAGCAGTGAGCTCTGCAGAATGCCGGGGAGGGGTCTTTCTAGAGCTTCTGTCTGCAGGTCTGTCGGGGTCCTGCCAGGTGTCCCCTGGTGTTAGACATGGCAGTATCCTGCTCCTAGAGGGCAGGGAGAGGGGGAGGTCAGTCATGGACTCTTTCTTCAGTCTCTTTATGTGCAAAACACTTTCCTGAAATGCCTGCCTGAATAAAACATACTTATTTCCAGAGATTGGAAGAAAATGATGATGATGCCTATTTAAACTCACCATGGGCGGATAACACTGCTTTGAAAAGACATTTTCATGGAGTGAAAGACATAAAGTGGAGACCAAGATGAAGTTCACCAGCTGATGACACTTCCAAAGAGATTAGCTCACCTTTCTCCTAGGCAATTATAATTTAAAAAAAAAAAAAAGGCCACTTACTGCCCTCTGTAAAAGATGTTAACATTTCTAGTTTTCTTTTAGTGTGAATTTTTAAAATAGCAGTTATTCAAGGTTTTAGAACTTAATAAATACCTAGTCAGAAGAAAATGTGTAAATCGTTTTTGTTTCAGGACTATTTAGTATGTCATGGTTTTCTTTGATAAAATACTAAACTTTTGGCCGGGCGCGGTGGCTCACGCCTGTAATCCCAGCACTTTGGGAGGCCGAGGCAGGCAGATCACGAGGTCAGGAGATCAAGACCATCCAGGCTAACACGGTGAAACCCCGTCTCTACTAAAAATACAAAAAATTAGCCGGGCATGGTGGCAGGCGCCTGTAGTCCCAGCTACTCGGGAGGCTGAGGCAGGAGAATGGCGTGAACCCGGGAGGTGGAGCTTACAGTGAGCCAAGATCACTGCCACTGCACTCTATCCTGGGCAACAGAGCGAAACTCTTGTCTCAAAAAAAAAAAAAAAAAAAAAAAAAGCTACACTTTTTTTTCTTCCTGATTGTTTTATATTCTCATGATAACTGGTTTATTGGAGGAAAGCTGATGACTGGCAGTGACCACTAGTGACCACTAGATGCCGCCAGGCACTCAGCATGCTTTTTCTCCTGGCCCTCTAGATCTATTGGAAGCTGAACTCCCAGCCTTGCTGGAGAGACTTCTCTAACCCTGCTGCGGGGTCTAACTGTAGCCTTCTTTAACCCTGCTGCGGGGTCTAACTGTAGCCTTCTTTAACCCTGCTGCGGGGTCTAACTGTAGCCAGGCGTTGCCTGGCCTTGAAGGTGAAGTTTGCCTCCTGGTTGGTGCCTCTCTGGCCTTGTATTCTGGGAGCGAAAGCTACAACCATGATGAAGGTTGAGTAGCAAACTCATCTGACTTTGAAACTTAAATTCTTCTGGAGTTTCTCAGCTTCTCAAGTCTCCTTCATGAGAATAGATCCTGAAAACAAATCCAGATCCCGGTAGAGGGTGATGATTTCTCCCTATGGATGCGGGGTCTGATTCTAGGCCAGCTTCGTACGCAGCTCAGTGACCAACCACGGGATGGATGGGATCACTATCATCCTAACTGAGTATCTAGGACACCATTGAGTTTAAAGACTCCAACTCATCATCACTGTAAACCATCCAAGTATCCTGCAAACCCTGGCACTTTAGCATCTGAAAGACACCTGCCAGACTGCCTGTGGCAGTCCCTCATGCTTGACTTTTGGTGCCTAGGGTCCTGTTCTCCTGGTTAGAGGGAACTTGGTGTGCTCACACTGAGGGAAAGTGAAGGACGCGGGGCATCTTCCTGCCCTGGCCTTCCTGCCTTGGTGCCTGCGCTCCCCACCATCCTGCAAAGAGGAACCCTGGGAGTGAGTGGAGGTGGCAGGGGTTTGGTTCCTGCCTGCTGCCAGGCGGCCTTGCCCAGGGGGTGGGTCCCAGACCTGAGAGCAAAGCGCTGTTCTCTGAAGTGCTTTGTAGCTGACTGCATCTTGTGCCTTACTCTTTTGGTTGATTTTCAAATTTTGTAAAAGCAAATTTGCATCTATTTTCTCTTTTACTTGGTTATAGTTTTAAATGTCTCTATGAAAGGGTTTTGACCTTGGATGATGTAGTATATGCAATAAGATGCTGTGATTTTATTTCAGGAGCATCCTGTCTTTGTCAGTGTATAGTTCGTGTGTGTTAAATTCATGCTCAGACTTGTAAGAAACAGTTAACCAAGCCATGTGATCATAGTAGCTCTTTTCAGGGAACTACTACTTCAATATCATTAGAAAGTCTTACTGAGCCTGCAGTAGGAATACTCTTTTGGCCGTGATAGTTATCCCATTGCTTCATGTAATCAGCAGAACTTACTAACCAAAAAGTCACTCACGCATGACACTACACTCCTTAAATACCCATGCGAGAAGAACCATCCTCTCTCCCTGCCCTTGTCTGCCTCAAAAGCCTCTCTGAGCTTGGTGTGTTTGGGTGCAGCAGATCTCAGGAAGTACGTGAGTAGCTTATTTGCAAGCCATCTGTGACGGCGGGGGGCAGGTGGTGCCCGCTGTGGCACCGTGCTGTGTGTGTTCCCTTTGCATCCACTTGCTGACTCACCCAAGGTCACAGGTAGCTAGTGGTGGTAGGACCACAGGGTCACGTCCAGGAACTTTCCCAGGATTTCCCAAGAAATCAATTTATCAACAAAAGTAATCTTGCCAGTGTTAGACCACTGATCAGCTTAAGTCTGTGGTCTTGTTGTTATTTTCTTCTTTTTTTAATCCAGTCCCTGTTTGAGTCAATATCAAAAGGAAACCAAGTGTCTGCTGTATGCACGGTGCCCATCTAGGTCTGTGGTTTTGTCCTTTGACATAACTTGTCTTCTTATGTGGTTCTTTCATGGAGACCAGGAATGCTAGTAATAAAATTTGATACCACCTAAAACCTTTTCGACCATCAAACTGACAGCATCAGGCAGTATTTCTGTCACAAGATTACCTCGTTCCTTGGCAACTGCTCTGCAAAGAGTGTGCCATCAAGCTTGAAATGAACTGCCACATACTTGGAGCACAGTAGCCTTGAGAGGGTCTGAGCTCACTAAATTCCCTTCCAAAGCCTCAGCAACCACCCCCTTGAAGAAGTGACCAGAGAGAGCTGCTTGCCCCGACCTCTTGCCGTTCCTTGCAAGATAGGAGTTGCCCCTCTACACTACCAAAAACCCACTGGCCCTGGACAGGGCTCAAGGAGAGAGGTGGCTGATTTCCAGGAGAAGTTCGATACTAGACATAACAGTAACGGCAGCTGGCATTATGGGGACTTTGCTATTTCCCAGACGGTTGTACTAAGCACTTTACCTATATATTCTTTTCGTTTATACCTAAAAACAGCCAAATTAGAAAGAAACTACTATTGTCATCTCACGAGTTAGGAAACCAAAGTCCAGAGGGATTAAATTGCCCAAGGTGAGGAGACTGTAATCCCAGCACTTTGGGAGGCCAAGGCGAGTGGATCACCTGAGGCCAGGAGTTCGAGACCAGCCTGGCCAACATGGTGCATGGTCTCTACTGAAAATATAAAAGTTAGCTGTGCATGGTGGTGTGTGCCTGTAATCTCAGCTACTCGGGAGGCTGAGGCAGGAGAATTGCTTGAACCCAGGAAGCAGAGGTTGTGGTAAGCCGAGATCATGCCATTGCTCTCCTGGGTGACACAGCGAGACTCCATCTCAACAAAAAAAAAAAAAAGAAAAAAAAAAGAAGAAGAAGAGACACCAGGGATCTATGTACACAGAGGAAAGGGACAGGGAGAAGGCCGCCATCTGCAACACAAGTAGTGGGGCCTTGGGAAGAACCAGCCCTGCCAATGCTGTGATATTGGACCTCCGGCCTCCAGAACTGTAAGAAAATCAATGTCTGTTGTTTAAGCCACCCAGTCCATGGTATTTCGTTATGGCAGCTCTTACAAACTAAGACACAAATGGGTATTCTATAGGAATAGATATATATACAAGGAAGATAGACATTCTTCCTTTTATCAAAGTGGACTTTACTTCTTAAAATGCTCAGAATATACTAACATTGTAAAATATAATTTTAATTTTTTTTTGCAAATGGGAAACCACACAGTTCCAGTATCATCTACATAATCTGTTTCTGATTCTTGCCCAACTCCCGCAGCCCATGTTAAGGTTGAGAGCCCACTCCCTCCTCAGTTCCCAGGTTTCCGAACACACCTCCTTCTTCATCTCCCATTGAGCTGGTTGTAATCATGGCATTCGGTTACAAGTCTGTCTCCCTGGATGGACTGTGAGATCATGGGAACGAGGGCACTGTTGTTAGATTTTTAATTTTATTGTATTTATTTGTTTGTTTATTTTGAGACAGGGTCTCACTCTGTTACCCAGGCTGGAGTGCAGTGGCATGATCTTGGCTCACTGCAACCTCCACCTCCCGGGTTCAAGCTGTTCTCCTGCCTCAGCCTCCTGAGTAGCTGGGATTGCAGGCACGCACCACTGTGCCCGACTAATTTTAGTATTTTTAGTGAAGGCAGGGTTTCACCGTATTGGCCAGGCTGGTCTCACTCCCAACCTCAGGTGATCTGCCTGCCTCAGCCTCCCAAAGTGTTGGGATTACAGGCGTGAGCCACCGCGTCCAGCCTCTACCATGGCATAGCACATATGCTCACATACTCTTAGAAAGATCACAAGAAACTGGTGACCATGGCTGCTTGTGGTTAAAACTCTAGGGGGCCTGGAGGATGGGCTGGGAGGGAGTCACGGTTCACAGGATGGTCTTTTGTACCTTTGAAATCCACCTATTCAAATAAATGCAAAACCAGTTGCAGTACAGCCACGTCCACGGCAGCATGATTCACAATAACTCAAACGTGGAGGCAACCCAAGTGCCCATCCACAGATGAATGAGTCAACAAGAGGATGAATGAGTCAACAAGAGGTGGTGTATCCGTACAATGGAATATTATTCAGCCTTACAACGGAAGGGAATCCTGACACATGCTCCAACAGGGATGAACCTTGATGACATTACACTGAGTGAAATAAGCCAGATACCAAATGACAAATACTGTAAGATTCCACTTATACGAGGTTCCTAGAGTAGTCAGATCCAGAGACAAAGCAGAATGATGGTTGTTAGGGGCTGGGGACAGCAGGGAAGGATGGAGAGTTACTGTTTAATGGGTATAGAGTTTAAGTTTGAGAAGATAAAAACATTCTGGAGATGGATGGTGCTGATGGTTGCACAAGAATGTGAGTATCACTGAACTCTACACTTAAGAGTTTTTAGTTTTTAGTTTTAGCTGGGTTTGGGGTCCCAGGCCTCAGGCCTCACCTGCTGCCTCAGGATCTCCAGGGCCCTCCCAGATCACAGACCTAACAGATCTTAGGACAATTGGCCCAGGGTCATCAGCGCAATTGATGCAGCTCCCTCCCTCTCTTGTAGGACATTTTCATGGATGTTGGCATTTGGTATCAGAGCAGCTGAAGTTATTATGCATTTTCAGTGTATGTATTTATGTAGATAGTGGTACGCTCTTTTAATTTTTTTTTTTTTTTTTTTTTTTTGAGACAGAGTCTCAATCTGTCACCCCCCAGGCTGGAGTGCAGTGGTGCGATCTCGGCTCACTGCAATCTCTGCCTCCCGGGTTCAAGCAATTCTCTGCCTCAGCCTCTCAAGTAACTGGGATTACAAGCACCCCCCACCATACCTGGCTAATTTTTGTATTTTTAGTAGAGATGGGGTTTCACCATCTTGGCCAGGCTGGTCTTGAACTCCTGACCTCATGATCCACCCACCTCAGCCTCCCAAAGTGCTGGGATTACAGGCGTGAGCCACCGTGCCTGGCCATGATAGTGGTACACTCTTAAATGTTTAACAATAGCTTTCCCAAAATACATGTGCATATAAATACAGATGTAAGTTTGTTATAAATTTTGCTGATATCAAGGATATGTAGCATACAGCTTACAAGTAATAAGATATGCTGCACTCTCTATCATGAACTCCACATAACCAATTGATGCTCACAGAATGTTTTTGCTGATTTTTGTTGAAACACGATTTGACTAATCTAATTATATAGCAACCTGCTAACTCTTTTCCCTATACATTTATTTTCCTTAATCTGATTTGTGATGTAAACTATTTTCACCCTTGTATATATTACATACAAAACTGAAACCTCTTTCAGTTTCAGCACCGGACACCACCCACATGTGAGACTCCATAGTGAACATTTTCTCCATCACTTTCTTTTTCTTTTTTTTCTTTTTGAGACGGAGTCTCACTCTGTTGCCCAGGCTGGAGTGCAGTGGCGCGATCTCGGCTCACTGCAAGCTCCGCCTCCCGGGTTCACGCCGTTCACCTGCCTCAGCCTCCCGAGTAGCTGGGACTACAGGCACCTGCCACCAGGCCCGGCTAATTTTTTTGTATTTTTAGTAGAGACAGGGTTTCACTATGTTAGCTAGGATGGTCTTGATCTCCTGACCTCATGATCCGTCTGTGCTTCTGGAGCCTCTGGAGCATGTCTCCTGACGCCTGGAAAACAGCTACCCAGGGGCAGCGTCTGCAGGCACTGAGTCCAGCACAGGTTTCTGAGCTCCAGGCCACACAGAGTACGTCAGAGCACCCTGCGTGGAGCAGACGAATCCGCATCTGCAACGGGCTCCAAATACAACCCGCATCCCGACCCCGGGCACAGAGTTAGGGCCCAATAGAGCTGGGCCAGAACAGTTATTCATGGTCTTCAGAATTCATGTTTGTGAAATGCAGGGCCCATGTCTTGTAGGGGTAACAGGAGCAGTGTTTAGAGCAGAGCACAGGGCCTGTACCCATCAGGTGTTATTACTATGAGCTGCCTTTATTCGTGCTCAAGTTATTGAATGTGAACAAGTTTAGTGTCCAACACCGTGGAACAAGAAGTCCAACACCGTGATGCAGGATTCATCGAATGTGGGCGTCCCTCCTACCTCTCCACTGGCCCCTGTGACAGTCGATGCCTGACCTTACCTGTCAGTTCAATGTGTAAAAGCACAAAAGTAGATTCCTTGATTGTGCCAATGCCACAGAACAGAAGGGGGTGGTGCTGCAGGTTATTCCTGTGTTTCTAGGAAGGCAACAACTAGATAGAATCGAGCAGAATGGATTTCATCTAGTGCTTGATGGAAATAACAACCCCCACATGGCTTGTCATACACACAAAATGCAGAGAAATATGCAGCGTTCTGGAGTTTCCTGCACGCTGTCCCATGGGTTCCCCCATTTACTCTTCATACCAACTGGCTGATGGGTCATGGTCCCTGCAGATACAGGAACTGAGCTCAGAGAGAGGCCGTGTCTTCTGCAAGACCCCCGGCCAATGAGAGGGACTCAGGCCTGAGCACAGGTTTCTGAACCAGAGTCTCGCCTCTCACCTCCTCAAACCTCCCTGCTTCCCTTCCCACCAAGTTATAATTGAGTGATTGTGCATCCCGATTGTGGTCTTCCAAAGGCACTTAACGTGATCGCACTTTCCCCTTCAATTTCTCACCAGTTAGCTTGTAAATGACAAAGTCTGCCCCATGGAGAGAGCCTTCTTCAGATTTTAAGATAAAGACATCAGTAGTGCAATTAAAAAGATGAAGACAATGAAAATAATTATTTAGTAGGATAATAAACGGAATCTGGGCAGAGTCGTGCTGAGCAGCTATGAATTGCATCAGCACATAACGTACTGGCCGCAACTCACTGTGCAGAATGGCCAGGCCACAGGCTCGGGCTCCCCCGACACTCCACTTCCCATGGGCATTTTCCCCACTGGCCACTAACATCAGATGGGTTCACACTCATGAAAGACACTTGGTGCCAAGAAACAGGTGCCTGCAGGGCTGGTATGACATAGGGACTCTGTGGTGCAGTGTGTGTGGCTGGTTGGCGTATTAGCAAGGATGAGGACACAGGTGTCCAGTAAGGACTGCTTGAACGAAGGTCCTTGATTCACAGAACAGGAACTGTGCTGACCGCCTGCCCTCCTTTATCCCAAGAAGAACTCCAACTGACATCATTACACACAGCATGAAATCCAAACCTTGTCATCCTCATCACAACGTAAATAACATGTTTGTACCGCACTTTGTAATTTTTAAGTCACCTTGGCATATAAACATACATTGCTTTTACATAAACACCTGTGCATAAGGGGAGGATATATGTGTGTGTTGACAAAAGTCAGGTCTACAGGACATGGGGCTGGTTTTGGTAAACCCCCCTGGAGAAGGGCCTAGGTGTGAGCCCTGGCTCAACCCCCAGGTCAGCTACTTGTCTTCAGGTCTGATCCTGAAGCCAGCTTCCCACATCCCACCCTAAATGGTGTCAGGCATCCTGAGAGGAAAAGGCAGTGTGGGGCTCTCCCCGGCGGCGGGGGGCGGTGGGGGGGGAATCTGTTCCTAATCCAGAGCTCTGTGCACAGGGCCTTTGGGAGTCTGTGTGCCTGCTGTGGATGGGAGATCCTGCCCCTGTATCTTCCGTGGAGAGGGCACGTAGCTTTCGGCAGATGACAGACGCTGGAAGTGAATAACACCCCTCCTTTATTCAGTCTGAAAGTACTGTTTGCCTCACTAGAATTCTGTGTCATAAGAACCCCCAGACTTGCATGGCCTCACTGTGACAGCTGGATCTCAGCTCCCTGTGACCCCTCTGAGGCAGTCAAGGCAGGTGTCCTTATCCCCTTTGTGTCTGACGCCCCCAACAACCCTCAGGGTCAATGATTCACTAGAAGGATTCACAGAACGTTACTGTTTATTATAGCAAAAGGACACAGATTAAAATAAGCAAAGGAAAAAGGTGCTTGGGACACAGTCCAGGAGAGGCCAGCTGTGAGCTGCCCGCCGTCCTGACCTGAAGGAGACACCAGTGCACTTAATTCTGTCGGCAACAACTGTGCCAGTGTGCACATAACACCACCTGCCAGGGAAGCCCCCGAGCCTTAGGGTCCAGGGCTTCTCCTGGGAGCCGGTCACATAGGCCTGAATCATTCCGCTGGCTAATCCTAGTCACCCAGTCCAGCTATCCCAGAGGTCAAATTGATGTAGTGTGGCTCTAGGGTCCACATAAATCACTGTTAACATGAACTCCATGAACTCTTGGCCATGGCTGGAGGCCGCAGGTAAACGTAAACACTCTTATCAAGCAAGATAATCCAAGGGCTCAAAGGGTATCCTCTGGGAAGAAGGACAGGGCCAGACCTTTCTCTGAATGTGCAGGGTTTGGACACCCCAAGCCTGCTGAGTTAACCCTTTACCACACATCCTTGTGCAAATGAGGAGGCACACTAGGAAGTTTTTAATAGGCTTGCCCGAGGCTGGGCGCAATGGCTCACGCCTGTAATCCCAGCACTTTGGGAGGCCGAGGCAGGCAGATCACGAGGTCAGGAGATCGAGACCATCCTGCTTAACATGGTGAAACCTCGTCTCTACTAAAAATACAAAAAATTAGCCGGGCGTAGTGGCGGGCGCCTGTAGTCAGTCCCAGCTACTCAGGAGTCTGAGGCAGGAGAATTGCTTTAACCTGGGAGGCAGAGCTTGCAGTGAGCCAAGATAGCGCCGCTGTACTCCAGCCTGGGCAATAGAGTGAGACTCCTCAAAAAAAAAAAAAAAAAAAAAAAAAAAAGAGATAACAGCACAAACTGACCTCAGCATGGGCTGGGACGATCTCACGGCATCCGGGCGGGAAGTCTCAGCCAGGGAGTCGGGCTGGGGTGGTCTCTGGGCTTCGGGGCTGTAAGAGCCAGGGAGTCGGGCTGGGCCTCCGGACATGAGGCTCTGGACACAGCGTTTGCTCTTGAGACCAGGTGCCCCTTGGGCCCACTCAGATTTTATTTTTTTACAGATTTTTGCCACTTTCCAGGTGGTCGTTCTTTGTCCTCCTGAGCTTGGGCCTCGCTCCTTGGGACCCCTGGACCAGAACCCCAATCAGCTCAGGAACAGGCTTCTGGCAGATGAGCCCGGCGGCAGTGGAGCGAGAGATGCAGTGAGCAATGTGGCTCCATAAGCACAGTACAATGCATATCCTTTCAGCCACGTCTTTGTTTATTTCATTAGCTTTGCTTTATGAAATATTTCAAGAACTGGCATTGTGTGCAAGGCTCTAGAAGAATTTTTTGCATGTGTTTGATTTTAATTTTCTCTGTTTGCTTTTTAGTAATTAAGAGTAAAGTCAACCAAGAACATTTTACATTCTTTTTGTTTTCTTTCTAGACTTGCTAGGCCAGGAATTGAGGAAAGGAAACAGTACTTGGGAAGAATTTGCTAAGGAACAACTTAAAGTGGATTTTCCAATAATAGAAAATTGCATCTGGCTACACAGGGCACAGGTGCAGCTCCTTGGTGTAGATGGGCTACGGGGTCGTTTTGTCCACCCATAGGGAATATGTTTGTATCCTGTACAAAATGTGATCCTGTCACCTTGTCAGTGGCCTGAAGAGTTGCAGCAGGAAGAGGGTTGTTTTAAATTCTGATCGAAACAGACTTTCTGTGAGCCTGGATTCTGTGAGGTGCTGCCTGATTTCTCTCCAGCTCCAGGCCCTTGGATCCTGCATTTTAGGGACAGCCCCTCGTTTTTGTTTCTCTGGCTCGCGGCTGGCGTTTCTTCCCCAAGCTGTAATGCTCGATGAGTTGGGCCCTTGTGTGGTTAAGTGGTGGGTTCCTACAGGGGTCGGGAGGAGGGAGGTCAGGACAATTTTTAAATATTCCTTTTTCATGTATCTATAATCATACAACAACTGAAATGACACTGACACGTAAGTCCCCACAGTTTGGGAGGCTTAGGGAGAAAGAGACTGACTTGATACTCAGAAGGCAGAGAGGTGACATCTAGGGGAGGTGGGCCTGCCCCTCATATGCCCAAATCCCACAATAGAGAGCTTCACTATGGCAGAGGGAAGGAGAGAAGAGGAGCTGGTGGTCACAGAGGACCTCATTCAGGACTAGCTGGGCCCCTCAACCTGAGACCTTCCATGGGGTGGAGGAGTCAAGGGAGCATTTTAAATTATGCCCTAAACTAAAATATCTTGGCTACAGTAAACCAGACATTCTCCAGTACTGGAATCCTTGCCCCGTTCCGCTCTCCTCATAACTCCAATTACCCGATCTAACTTTTCCCCCTTGACTATCAACCTTGTGCAGCGAACTCTTCCTCTGTATCTTCAGTGCGCCGCTTATAGCTTGGCTTCGAGCCCACAGTTTCCGATGCCTCCTGCATTAGGGCACCTGGTCAGCCATGCCATAGACCCAGTGCATCCGAGAGGAGACTCTCCCCTCTGCGGGCTTCCCCACTGTGCAGCCACTCAGCCTCCTCCTTCCTCTCTGGCTGGAAATGTGAGACCCATCCTGGCTCAGATGCCCCTTCATCATCAGAGCCTCATCAATCTCTGGAACCTGCATTTCTGTCTGTGCAGAGTTAGTAGTGCTGGTTATTTCTTCATATTTCTGCTGCTTACTGTCAGCCATGTTTTCTTAAAGTGTTATTCTCGGCACCTCATCAGAGTAACTTGGGGCGCTTGTTAAAAATTCACATTCTCAGCCCGGGACTATTGAATCCGAATTTATACGGGTGAGGCCTAGAAATGCACATTTAAGAAGAGTTTCTGCCGTAACAAATTACCGACACGTAGTGGTTTAAAACAACAATCGTGTTCTCATACAGTTCTGTATGTCAGAATCCTGGCTGAGTCTCGTGGAGCTACAGCCCAGGCCTTGGCAGGCTCATTCGTTCTGGAGGCTGGAGGTGGGCTCTGCTTCCTTGCCCTTTCTGGGGCTGAGAGCGCCTCGGCTCCTGGTCCCTTCCTGTCTTCAGGCAGAGTGAGCCTCTTCAAACCTCTCCCCTCCCTCCCTCCCTCCCTTCTTTCCTTCCTTCTTTCCTTCTTTCTCTCTCTCTCTTTCTTTCCTCTTTCTTTCTTTTTCTTTCTCTTTCTCCTTCCTTCCTCCCTCTCTCCCTCCCTACCTCTCTCTTTCTTTCTTTCTTTCTTCTTTCTCTTTCTTTCTTTCTTTATTTCTTTTTCCTTCTTTTTCAGACATTGTCTCACTCACTCACCCAGGCTGGAGTCCAGTGCCACAATCTCAGCTCACTGCGGCCTCTGCCTCCTGGGCTCAAGTGATCCTCCCACTCCAGTCTCCCGACTAGCTGATTTTGTCCCATGATTTTGTAGTATTTCAAGACCAGTATTATGAATATTAGTTTTCATTTTTCTGGCAACTATTTAGTTCTGGCTAACAGAGCACTGACTGGATAAGTATCAGGTCACAAAATATTTACCATGGGTTCATATGATGTGGTAAACTTGTGTCTTTCATGGGGGCTTTTAGCTAAAGCAGTAATTAGAGGTATTGTAAGATGAACCCCTTAGCTAATTGCAAGCTGTACCTGACGTCTCCCATGAAGACAAGCAGCCAGATCCTGAAATTCATGACTGATGACTTGTGAAAGTCTAACGCATATTCTGCAATGATGTGCCATGGGCCTCTGCCATTTCACCTCACCATCACGCCACAAATTAGTACTCACAGCTGAGAGTTTAGACCTAAAAGGGGCAATAAAATTGAGTTCAAATACTGTATTAAGGGACTTGCCCAAAATTACATAATTATTTTGTGTAAAGTCCAAATTATACAAATCCTCAGATTCCGAGGTCGGGGTTTCTTTTCCTGTAACATGTTCCTTCAAATATGGCTGTATCCATGTTTCATATCAAGCAGATCCGAGAAAAATTATGAATAATCAGATAGCATAATGTGGACACAGGGTCACGAGCAATAAAGGGTTCTTATAGAGCTATTAGGAAGAGCATGGTGCCTGCGAGCAGTAGGAAGATTGTTTTATGTATTTATTGGCCTTATAACTATGGTTTAGAAGTGGCAGGAACCCACAGAGGTATACCTACAGAAAGACTTAAAAGAAATAAAACTCCCAGCCTCAATGGGGTATCATGCCACCCTCAGTACCACTATCTCAATCTTAGGCTTCATACACATACCAAGAAACTTCCCACTTCTTTTAATACAAGAACTTTCAGATTTTAAAAATCTTCTCAGGATTCTCTCTCCTCTGTGACCTCTTCAGCAATGGTATTGGAAGTCATGGGTTGATGTTATCTGGCTGAGGGGTTTATCTAGAAATGTCTCCTGACTTCAGGTCTCTTTAGATGTAAGTTAGCTTCTTCCTCTGTCCGTACTCAGTCTCAGCTGGTCACTGACTATGTAATTTCCTTTCTAATCAGTTGGGTCCTACTGCAGAAACAAAATAACACAACGTAGAGTAAATACATTATTGGGATGGCTAGCAGTCATTGGGCATTTTTCTCTGTTCATTATCTTGAAGAGCATACTGTACTCCCTCAATTCATTTTAAACAAAAAAACTTTAGAATGTAATTAACGGAAATTCTCACTATTGTGGATTGAGTCGTTTTTATATGTTGCCTTACCACTTTGCTTAAAGGGGCAATGTCTTTCCTTATTCTCAACCTTTACGAAATATTGTACAGAGAACATTTTTAAAGAGTGTGTAATCCCAGCACTTTAAGAGGTTGAGACAGGTGGATCACTTGAGTCCAGAAGTTCGAGACCAGCCAGTGCAATATAGCGAGACCTGTCTCTACCAAAAATTCAAAAATTAGCTGGGTGTGGTGGTGTGAACCTGTAGTTCTAGCTACTAGGGAGGCTGAGGTGGGAGGATTGCTTGAGCCTAAGAGGTCAAGGTTGCAGTGAACCGAGATGGTGCCACTGCACTCCAGCCTAGGCAACAGAGCAAAACCTTGTCTCACAAGAAGAAGAAAAAAAAAAAAAGGAGTGTGTCACTTATAACATTCAGACTCAGCTCATAAAATCCAAAAGAAACATGGAGTTTTGAGTGTGCTGAAATGCACCACTGACGGGACAACTAGAAAATGAGTAGAAAATCTTTATCTGTTTTGTTTTTTTTTGAGATGGAGTCTCACTCTGCCGCCAGACTGGAGTGCAGTGGTGCCATCTTGGCTCACTGCAGCCTCCACCTCCCAGGTTCAACCAATTCTCCTGCCTCAGCCTCCCAAGTAGCTGGGACTACAGACGCGTGCCACCACACCCAGCTAATTTTTTTTATTTTTTTATTTTTAGCAGAGACAGGGTTTCACCATGTTGGCCAGGATGGTCTTGATCTCTTGACCTTGTGATCTGCCCACCTCAGCCTCCCAAAGTGCTGGGATTACAGGCGTGAGCCACCATGCCCGGCCGAAAATCTTTATCTTTTGGTTCTATCATTGTACACTACAGCTACTGGTAATAGTATTAAGGCATATTTTACAATTCATATTTGGATTCGATCACAGGGCTCACACTCTCTTATCTTCACCTCTCACAAGTTTTGCCATAAGAATTTTGTGGTAGTTTGAGGAACTCAACACAGCTGCAAGTATTTCGCTGGAATCTACTATGATCTGTGTCACTTGAGGCACAGAGTGAGCTCATGTCATTCTTTGGATGACATGCACCCCTCCCTAACTTATTCCGACATTTAGTCATCCAAGAATTCACTCAGCTCTGGTGGGGTGGGCTCCAATCTCAATGGCATCTCACCAGTTCCCAGGTCATATTGCCCATTTGCAGTGATGATATTTAGAAAAGGTGATTTCTTTTGTCAGGGTCTGTACCACTATAGAAGTAGTCCTTTGAACCAGAAATTTAAACACATAAGCTACTTTAAAAAGTGTATCTGCTGCTACTCCAAGCAGCCAGCTCAGGAACTGGCTTCTGATTTTAAAAGATGAGTGAAAGGTGTGCCGTGGTTTCCTCTACAGAATGTTCAGACCAGAGGGCCCTGGAAGACCATGCCTGAAATGCGGCTAAGGCACCGCGAGGCTGAACAGAAAACCGGGGCCTTATCAGAGAGAAGAGAAGGGCCCCACAGTCCAAACGCCCAGGAGCCTCCGCCCTGACCTGCTGCCGCACGTGGTTGCTGCAGGGTGAGAATCTGGGGAAGACTCAATGAAGAAAATGTCCTGGCCAGGCCGGGAAGAGCAACACACAGAGAGCCGCAGCAGAGACAGGGATGGGGGGACCCTGCCCTGGGAGCCGCCCGGCTGAGGCTCAGGAGGGGAGCTGCAAAGCCTGAAACCTACACAACCTCTCACACACTTCAGGACACACACAACCCCTCACGCACCTCAGGGACTCACACAACCTCTCACACACCTCAGGAAGCTACACAAACTCTCACACACCTCAGAAACCTACACAAACTCTCACACACCCCAGGGACTCACACAACCTCTCACACACCTCAGGACACACACAACCCCTCACATACCTCAGGAACCTACGCAAACTCTCACACACCTCAGGACACACACACAACCTCTCACACACCTCAGGACAAACACCCACTCACACACCCCAGGACCCAAGCACAACCCCTCACACACCTCAGGACACACACACAACCCCTCACACACCTCAGGAACCCATATAAGGAACCCACACACCTCAGGCTCATACACACAAGCCCTCACACACCTCAGGAATCCACACACAACCCCTCACACACCTCAGGGTCTCACACACAATGTTGACACACCTCAGGGTCTCATACACAAACCCTCACACACCTCAGGACCCACACAATTCATCACACTTCTCAGGACACACATAAAACCCCTCACACACCTCAGGGGCCCATACATAACCCCTCACACACCTCAGGACTCACACACAATCCTCTCACACACCTCAGGACTCACACAACCTCTCACACACCTTAGGACCCACACACAACCACTCACACACCTTAGGACCCACACACAACCTCTCACACACCTTAGGACCCACACACAACCACTCACACACCTTAGGACCCACACACAACCTCTCACACACCTCAGGGACCCACACACAACCACTCACACACCTCAGGACCCACACACACCTCATACACCTCAGGGACACACACAACCCCTCACATACCTCAGAAACCTATATAAACTCTCACACACTTCAGGACAAACATACAACCTCTCACGCACCTCAGGACACACACACACACACTCGCACACCTCAGGACACACACACACACTCTCACAGTTAGAATGACACATGGGGACAAAAGTGCCTTCTGTTTCCTCTTTGTAGTATTCTCTTCATTCATTCATGACGTCGGCATTTACTGCCTATTGCATGCGAATCGCTTGCAGAACTATCCAAGTGACACACGTCCCAAGCAGGCTCAGGTGAGCCCCAGGTGTATGTTGTCCACACGCAGCACCATGGATGAGAAGGACAGCCAGGGTTTAACAGGAATATCGACTCTTGCTTGCTCCTCATTCTCTTCTCTATCACAAAAATCACACGGACAATTCAGATGGAGATGCATTTAGTGAAATGATGAAACTTTGAATCCTGTCTCCTATTTAAACTCACATATATTATTTTCCCTTCATAAAAATGTTTTTTCTAGTAAATAATTTGATATCCGAAGAAAGTTTGTATTTCTCCAAGAATGTATGCTCAGAGAAATGAGCTCTTACTACACGTTGCGTATTGAAGACTGGATATAAAACACATGGTTTTTGTCAATTTGGAGGAGTAGTTTGACTCTCTCCAATGTCCTTTGTGGATGGATGGACTCCACTGACGATGAGCTTCTATATTAAGAATTGCAGGTTTGGGGATGTTTAATTATTATCTGAGCTGGTACAGTGGTGACGCTGAGTGAGACGTTCATGTCCCTTTAAGACAGAAAGTCCGTTGGAACTGTCCGCTGCTCTCTGGTCTCTGGATATGAGGCAGGAGGGCTTGGGGACAACTGTGGGGACATGGCCCAGATGATCTGATCCTGGCAGTAGTGACTGTTGGGGACCAGGTGAGGTGACGAGGTCTGGTGGTGGGGCTGAAGGAAAGGGTCTTCCCTGGACTGAGGGGGTCATGAGTTTGGGGCCGAGGACACTGGGGTGTCCCCTCAGAGGAGCAGGAAAGAAGGAGCTTTCTCAGGGCTGTGAGGACCGTGACCCCAGCCCACTTCCGCAGAAACATTCCCAGTCTCCGCGGGGAAGGAATGGCAGTGATCTGGTTACTGGTAGGTCTTGCTCTAGACCTTCGATTCGCTTCCATCAGGAGACTCTCTTTTAAATAGCATTTCTCCGATCACTGTGGTTAAACTGTTCCTTCTCACACAGTTAGAAGTTTATGAATTAAACAGTCGGGGTTTCGTTGGGGGCCACTGGCTTCCTAAAACGGACAGGGCAAGGCAGGGGTGGAGGCAGCTTTCAGAGACGACCCTGCAGGCTTGCAGGAAAGCTTTGCGTTTTTCTCTTTCGTTTTTGTTCTCTAATTGCTGTGAACTTCCTAGAACTGGCATAAATGCTGTACCTATAAAAAGGTGTTTCCTTTCCACATCTTCACCATGAATTCACAAATGTCACCCTGATGGTTCAAGACACATACTCAACACGGTGGAGGGTCTGCCTGTGCCCCTCCAGGTGGGTGCTGATTAAAGGGCTGAGAATTCCCTCGGTGTCTCATGCGACCCTCCACTCACACCTGCTCACACCCTGAGACCATTCCACTCACACCTGCTCATACCCCAAGACCATCGTGCTCACATCCGCTCACATCCATTCACATTCCGCTCATATCCTGCTCACAACCCACTCACATCCCACTCACACCGGCTCACACCCCACTCACACCCCTCTTTGGATGACTGGAGTGTGTTAGGTGTCAGGCTGATCTTCTAGGATCTAAAGCATTTTCCACGGAGGATGGTGGAGAGCCAGGTGTGGACAGCTCAGTCCCTCTGTCTGTGGTGTCCTTTCACCTGGTCAGCTTCGGGCCTGGGAATGTGCACATGACCCAGGGGGAGAAGGAGCGGCTGCGGGTCCTGCTCACCCTTAGTTTGGGGCTGGGGCCTTCAGCCCACACTGACGGGGTAGGAGGGCTGCATTCAAGTGTCCCCATAGCCCTTCCCTTCCCAACCAGGATGCTGGCAGGTCAACTCGAGGCCAGGGACCCCAAAGAGGGCACCCACCCAGAGGACCCGTGCCCAGGAGCTGGGGCTGTCATGGAGAAGACAGCTGTGGCAGCCGAGGTTCTCACGGAGGACTGCAACACTGGGGAGATGCCAGTGAGTTGAGCTCTGTGGGGACAGAGTTAGTCCCACCAGGCGGGACCCTGATTCCTGTCCCTGAGGCCCGTCATTGGACTTTCCCTTGCTGGACCCCTGTAGGAATGCACCACCCCGGGACACTGATTCTGTACTTCCTCTCCAAGGGGCATGTGGCTCTTTCCCCCTCTGCAACCGTATCTCTTGGTGGATGGGAGGCAGGGCAGGGAGTTAAAGAAAATATTAACATTCCAGCTTTTCTCCTCTAATCCAGGAGAAGGCACCAGACTTTAAAAACTTCATTAAAGAAAATCAGAAAGTTGACATGCCTCACATCATCCCAGCAAGTTTCCTGATTTTTACCATCTTCCTCATTGGACCCTGTTGGACAGTGCTTGCTGTCATTAAAGTCCCACGGGTCCCTGTGGCCAGGGCCACCCAGTGCAGGACTGTACCTTTATCACGATCCCACTTATTCTCAGAGCAAGGCTGGAGGCTCTACGATCCAGTGAAGGATCCCAGGGGAAGGCTAACATGTTAGGTTGAAAATGCAGTGGCTTCCATAATTTTTTTTTTTTTTTTTTTTTTTTTTTGAGACGGAGTCTCGCTCTGTCGCCCAGGCTGGAGTGCAGTGGCGGGATCTCGGCTCACTGCAAGCTCCGCCTCCCGGGTTCACGCCATTCTCCTGCCTCAGCCTCCCACGTAGCTGGGACTACAGGCGCCCGCCACTACGCCCGGCTAATTTTTTGTATTTTTAGTAGAGACGGGGTTTCACCGTGTTAGCCGGGATGGTCTCGATCTCCTGACCTCGTGATCCGCCCGCCTCGGCCTCCCAAAGTGCTGGGATTACAGGCGTGAGCCACCGCGCCCGGCCGGCTTCCATAATTTTTAAACTATTGACCATATATCCATGCCAGTACAGCCTTTGAGACCAGTCTGGCCAACATGGTAAAACCCTGTCTCTACTAACAATAGAAAAATTAGCCAGGTGTGGTGGCATGTGCCTGTAATCCCAACTACTCTGGATGCTGAGGCACCAGAGTTGCTTGAATCTGGGAAGTGGAGGTTGCAGTGAGCTGAGACTGCGCCACTGCACTCCAGCCTGGGTGACAGAGAAAGACACTGTCTCAAAAAAAAAAAAAAAAAAAAAAAAAAAAGGAAAAGAATGCCAGCCTCTTTTTGCTGTAGTAGTGTTTTAACAAAAAAATCATAATTCACTAACCATCTTTATCTGGTTATATTATGTGGACTAACTCATAATAAACACTACTTAATAAGAATAAAGCTATGGCCAGGCATGGTAGCTTATTCCTGTAATCCCAGCACTTTGGGAGGCCGAGGCAGGTGGATTGCTTGAGCCCAGGAGTTTGAGACCAGTCTGGGCAACATGGTGAACCCCCATCCCGAGTAAAAATACAAAAATTAGCGAAGTATGGTGGCACATGCCTGTAGTCCCAGCTATTTGGGAGGTCGAGACAGGAGGATCGCTTGAGCTCATCAAGTTGAAGCTTCAGTGAGCTGAGATCATGCCACTGCACTCCAGCCTGAGTGACTGAGTGAGACCCTGAAAAAAGAAAAGAAAAGAAAGAAAGAAAGGAAAGAAAGAAGAAAGAAAAAGGCTGTGGTAGTCCTGTTTATCTCATCGGGTGTCTTTTATTCCAGAAATAGTGTTGGTCTTACATCAGAGAGGGCTTGAGTATTTTGCAGATAAATGTGCCCATTGTGACATCTGAGAGGTTTTTCTGGTGTTCTCTTCCCAATAACAGCCATTACAGCAGCAGATCATCAGACTCCACCAAGAGCTTGGGAGACAGAAGTCTCTGTGGGCTGATGTTCATGGAAAACTCCGGAGTCATATAGATGCTTTGAGGGAGCAGAACATGGAGCTCCGAGAAAAGCTGAGAGCTCTGCAGCTGCAGCGGTGGAAAGCCAGGAAGAAATCTGCAGCGTCCCCACACGCGGGGCAAGAATCGCACACTCTGGTACCAAAAGCGCATTTATGTTTTTGTACCGTTTGCGTTATGTAAAAATAGCGTCCCCATAAAGATGTGGGCTTTATTGCTGAATGACGCGGTATCACTCACGCTCCGGGTGGTGGGAGGGGTTGCTATCTTTCCATCAACTCCATTTCCCGTAAGTAATGATTAATAAGAACTGGATACATCAGGCCTCTCACCTGGCACTCCAGCAGACAGAAGCATTGCCGCCCCCAGGCCGTGTGTCTCAAGTCCAGAATTCTAAGACATCTCATGATGTCTCAGGACAACAGCAGCAAACCCTTACTGTGGACTTTACATGGGCTAGGTACGGAGCTTTACGGTCTTACTCTCTATGACGACCCTATGAAATGGATCCTATTACTAACCCCATCGTGGCCACGGGCTGGAGAACGTAGAGCTGGGATTTGAACCCAGGGTGACTCCAGAGCCAGCTCAGTAGCCTGGTGTCCTTCTGTTCATCCTCTAGGACAGCTGTGTAGAATGCAATAGAGACCTGTTGAAACGGGAAAAGTTCCCTTGTCCCCCTCGCAGGGTGTGCGATGGGGGTGTGGCTCGCTTCTTTGGTTCCCCACTGCTCAAACCTCTAGGGGAGTGTACAGACCGGCAGGCTATGGGGCTCTGACCCCACGGCAGTGTCTGGGGGTGAATGTTTCCAGCTGAAGCCCCAGAGGGTGTGTGTTACAGTGCGGGAGCTCTTTCAGTTTACCCCTCCGTAGGCAGCTTGTGTTTATCAGCTCAATTAGACCCTCTGCCTTATCACAAGGACAGAGGGCTTTCTGTATCCTGGGTTCTTGCCTTGGTGTACCTGAAAAATCAGATCACACATGGGCTTGGAGGATGGGTGCAAGGTTTTTTATTGAGTGGTGATACCTGTCAGCAGATGGGGGAGCCAGAAGGGAGATGGAGTGGGAAGGCAGTTTTCCCCTTGGGAGTTGGGCTGCCCAGTGACCGGGCTCTCCCCTGACCACCCCAAGCAAACTCCGTGTCATTCCGCCAGTCGATGGCCTGCTGGCGTCTGCTGTGTCTGCTGGTGTGCTCTTCTGCCGGTGTGTTCTTCTCGACATCCAGCCGCTTGGTCTCTGCCCGCTAGGGTCTTGGGGTTTTTATAGGCATAGGATGGGAGTGTGGCAGGCCACGGTGGTCTTGGGAAATGCAACATTTGGGCACAAAAGCAGAAATGCGTAGGTCCATGGGCACAGGCCCAGGGGTCGAGCCCTAGCCAGGGACCCCGTTCTTCTCCACCCAGGACTTTCCTGCCCCCATCCTGTATCACTAACCTGCTCTATCCCGAACGAAGAACCAGCATTCTCATGCTGAAGTAGTGGGTGCCTCCCAGCACCAGCCTGCCTCTACAGAACACTGAGCTTTCACGTTTGATCACACCGCTCAAAGAACCAGCCTAAGAGAGTGTGAATGTGGCCAGTGTTATCACTGCCTTGTCTGGGTTCTGTTTCCTGCATATGGATCTAAATAACTTGAATCATTAAAATTATACATACAGGTAACAACACATGAAACCACATGAACACCCTCCAAACGTAAGTGGGGATATTTCTTAGTGGATTAAGAAAAGTACTAACATTTCCTAGCTGCATTTATTGTGTGAACTTTTAAATCGGTACTTCCAGGACTTAGAATATTTCCGATACAGCACAGTGATTACAACACACACACACACACACACACACACACACACACACACACAGGCACCCACCGAATACATTCCAGAGGAGACTGCTCTGTGGTTTGTTCTCCAAGCACAGCAAAAACAGCCACAGCTGGGCGCGGTGGCTCACACCTGTAATCCCAGCACTTTGGGAGGCCGAGGCAGGTGGATCGTGAGGTCAGGAGATTGAGACCATCCTGGCTAACACGGTGAAACCCCGTCTCTACTAAAAATACAAAAACATTAGCCAGGTGTGGTGGCGGGTGCCTATAGTCCCAGCTACTCGGGAGGCTGAGGCTGGAGAATGGCCTGAATCAGGGAGGTGGAGCTTGCAGTGAGCCGAGATCGCGCCACTGCACTCCAGCCTGGGGGACAGAGCAAGACTCCGTCTGAAAAAAACAAAACAAACAAACAAAAAAAACTGCCACAAGTTCCTCTACAAGAAATTACGGGAAATCTTGGAAGTTATTCCCACTCTTCGGGAGCTCTGCGAGAGCTTTGTTTCCATGGAGATGGCTTCTGCTGCCTCAGAAAGAAAGTGAGTTTAGCCTCTCAGCACAGCAAAGCGCCGAGTCCTTCTGCGGAAGGAAGAGCAGAAGCTGGGCAGGCTGTTCCTCTGTCAGAGGAAGAGTGGGGGAAATTGCCACAAATACTGGCCGGGATTGTCCACCTTCTGTGGGGAGAACCCAAGAAGACTCACAGGGATTTTTTTCCCTACATATATTGTATGCCAGTTCCTAAAAAATAGTATCTACTGCCCCATTTGGGTCATTGTATAACAATTACCCTAAGAGTCAATGAAGTCTTATTCAGTCTTCACATGCCCTGCAGTTTTGATCATTCTCTTATTTTGAGATTAGAGCTTGGTGAATTTCCAAATATTTTTCCATTCTGTGCATTGCACTGGTCACCGTGGGGCTATTTATAAGAACAGGATGTACGCTCACAAGAGCATACCTGATTTGAAGAAACAGGATGGGATATGTGAATCCCACACTTTAAATATGCGAAGGTGTATCTGTGTGTAGTCGCCGTTTTAGGGACTGAATATCTAAAAGGCTGAGACTCGAGCACCCACAGAACGCGGGCATGGCTGTGTGGGTGAGCCACTCTGGATCTGATATTAAGGGTTCGTTCATAGCAACCCTCTCCCCTTCTCATTCCCTTCTCCTCCTCAGAGGGCAGAACGGTGAATAATTTAGCATTCCAGACCTAATATACCTCATCCCACCTGAAGGATCACCCTGTTCCAGGTCAGTCTGCTGATAACAGGGAAAGTTGGGAATTTGCATTTTGGATCTTAGACAAGTTGTAGAGACAACACTAGAAGTAGTATCACATTTTCTTCCTCCGTTAACACACTCCCGGTTGAAGACACAGGAGCCTAAAGGAAGATATGTTGGGGATTGTTTGTTCTGTAGCCTTTGGGATCCTGTGATCATTTTGAAACAAGGAACCACAATAAGAAACACAAAGCAAACATCGGCTCCACAAAGGTTCCTTCACAAACGCTTGGTGAGGGTTTCTGTTCTTATCAACATATTAGGGGGAAAACCCAGTCCAAGTCCCCCTACCTTGTACCCTATTTTTTTCTAGGACATTCCAATTATTCTTCATTGTATTAAAATTTGAATTTATTTTACCTTCGAAAATGTGAAGAATTTCCCTGCATTTTGTCTTTTAGGCATTGGAACCTGCTTTTGGAAAAATTTCACCTCTGTCAGCTGATGAAGAGACAATACCCAAATACGCTGGCCACAAGAATCAGAGTGCCACTCTCCTGGGACAAAGATCGTCATCTAACAATTCAGCTCCTCCAAAGGTGACCCTTTGTGCTTATCATCTGTAAAGAGAAGCAGAGGTTCTGTACCCAAACACACACATCCCATCAGCTCCTCACCACACAATTTCACCTCCCTGGGTGAGCATGGTGCTCCCTGGAGTCCTGTGTTCTTCCAAGGACACGGGTACATGCCTTTCAAACAAGATCCTAACCCTTAGCACTTCTTGCTGTGGAGCAGATTCCAAGTCCTCCCGGCTGCTTCCCTCTGAGTACACTCACAGCAGCAAGCGTCTGGCTGGGGCCGAGGGGACTTGGGGGCTTTGTTTCCGTGGGTGCAGGCTGCGGAGGTGATGTGTGTGGCACTGTCTCCACCCGTGAGTCTGAGGGCTCGCAGCCTCCCGTGCTCCCTGCTTCTGCACTGCGGTCTTGCACCTGCTGCTTGTCGGCGTGGACTCCTCTGAACAGGGGTGGCGCTGTTAGCTTGGGAGCCACAGTACAGGATGCTATTTTGTCTCTTGTTGGGAATAGGCCCCCAGATCTGGCCATAAACTGGCCCCAAAACTGGCCACAAACAAAATCTCTGCAGCACTGTGACATGTTCGTGATGGCCATGATGCCCACGCTGAAGGTTGTGGGTTTACCAGAATGATGGCAAGGAACACCTGGCCCACCCAGGGTGGAAAACCGCTTAAAGGCGTTCTTAAACCACAAACAGTAGCATGAGCGATCTGTGCCTTAAGGACATGTTTCTGCTGTGGATATCTAGCCAGAGCCCATCCCTTTGTTTTGGCCCATCCCTTTGTTTCCCATAAGGAATACTTTTAGTTAATCTATAATCTATAGAAACAATTTATCACTGGCTTGCTGTCAATAAATATGTGGGTAAATCTCTGTTCACGGCTCTCAGCTCTGAAGGCTGTGAGTGCCCTGATTTCCCACTCCACATGCTATACTTCCGTGCGTATGTCTTTAATTCCTCTAGCACTGCTGGGTTAGGGTCTTCCTGACCGAGCTGGTCTCGGCAGTCTCTATCACATTTTTCTTTGTTAAAATTAGCTCCTCTTTAGAACATTCTCCCAGCCAGTGTGTCTCTTCCTGTCCCAGCTTTGTGTCACCCTCATACTCAGGAAGCAAATCTCGTGAGTCCACAGCCAGCAACTGATACTGGGTTGATGTGGATGGAGAAGGCGCCCCCAACTCCTGAAGATGATTTATCCCCTCGCATTCTTTCCCAAAGCAACTGCTGAGCAGATAACACTTTATTCCCTGAAGGAAGATCAGAAATCTACTCCAAGCATTTGTCACAAGTAGGAAAAGAGCCTTTTCAGATCCTATGAGTACAAAACATCGTAAGTCCCAGGGTGGACTGCACAGGCCCAGCCTCCTGTGAGACGCGGACTTCTCTCATGCTCCATCATTGACCTGAGTTAATCACAGGCATGCGGGGCAATGTACGAGTAAATAGATAACTGAATGGGTGGCTTATCCACGCCTTGAAACCATCAATTGTTAAATAGTGCAAAATGTAGAAAATTATTTTTATTATGCATTTTTGAATTGAGTTTCAAGCACTTTATTTCACTGTTGACTTTACAATATCAGCCATGTATTGGAATCCCAAATTTCACAAGAGCGTGGGCTGTAAAATGGGGAATGAGAGACACTAAGTGTGGATACCTCATGTGTCCTTCTGTAGGAAGGGGGAGTAGAATCATCTACATTCTGTGATAGCTGGTATGATGTGTTGCTTAACATTTAAAAATAATATAATTGTTACTAATGCAAAAATATTCCCACATTTGTTTTCAGCCAATGAGTTTAAAGATAGAAAGAATTAGCTCGTGGAAAACACCACCACAGGAAAATAGAGATAAAAATCTTTCCAGGAGACGTCAAGACAGAAGAGCAACACCTACTGGAAGGCCAACTCCCTGTGCAGAGAGACGGGGGGGTGTCTGAAGATGGAAAGGTGGCCTCGGACACCTGTGTCACTCTACACTGGCCCCTTGGAAAATTCAGATTCAGATAAAGTTCCACTTAGGTCTAATAAAAGTACTCAATTTGTTATTCAAAATAGACCTAGTAATTTATTAAACTAATTATGTTTCTATAGATAAAAACTTGAAGTTCTTCAGACATGTCTCTAATGCTATAAAAGCAAACAACTTGGATTGGGTTTTATAAATCAGTTGCTTTCCTGAGCTCTGTAGTTGGTATATTTCTGCAGAGTCTTTAAAAAAATTAACCCACCTTGTAGTATGGAGTGTCGGGCTGTTGGGTGAGCCCTGGGGTCTTGCTGGAAATCGAGGATGGCTGAAGATGGCTTTGTGCTCCCAGCCTTTGGGCTCAAGGCATTGCCCGCTCCAGGGACCTTGTGACAAGGCGGGCCTGTGACTGTCATTGCCCCAGGCTATGCATCCATCTTCCCGAAGTCTGCAAAACTTGAGTGGCAGAAAATCACCAGTGCAGGCTTCCCAGGCCGCCATGCTGCAGGAGCAGATGGCAGCAGCCGGAGGAGCTGGTGAGCAGAGTTGGGGACTCCTGTTTCTATGCTCCCCGTGAAATGCGGGGCTTTCTCGTGGATACGCGTGAGCAGAACATCTTACTATGGCAAGGACATGTCCTTCCTGGAGCTGCCTAATTTGTGGCCACTTTTTGTCTGATTCCCTCGTTGGGTCCTCACCTGTGAGACTTGCCAACACCCCCAGCCCTCCACCCCACACACAGCCCACATGCCGGTCTCCAGGGGCCGTGACTGGAGATTCCGAATCCTAGCGGTCACTTCCCTCTGAGCACACTCCCAGCAGAAGGCGTGTGGCTGGGGCTAGATGCACTTGGGTGCTTTGTTCCCCTTTCTCCATTTGCCAGCCCATGGCATTGCTGCCACCCTGATGGAGCGCCCTCTCATCTGGCACCTTCCTGGCCTCTTTCCCAGGCCCCAGTTCTGTCCATGCAGCTGTGGGTGCTTCCTGCATTGCGGGTCTCACGGGGAGGAGACGAGAGTGCCCCTGGTTGAGTCAGGAAAGAATTCTATCTTCACGTCGCTGCCAGCAAATGACCACAGCAGCTTCACGACCTCTGCAGGAACCTATCTTGGTAAAGAAACGGGGCCTATGTGGTGGCCGAGCCTCAGGTGTGGCCGAGCTTCAGGTGTGGCCCTTATGCACAGCACAGCCCAAGCCTGTGGGCACCACTCGCCCTGGGCTGCCTGGCACCTGGACTCCTTCCCATCCTTGGCCGAGGTCTGCGTGGCCCTTCAGGGCCGAATCTGACACTGTCTTCCTCCTGAGTCTGCCCCCCGGGCTTCCTGCCCACCCCCAGGCTGTTTCATGGCCTCTGCAGGGAGCTTCGTAGAGGTGAGGCTGGTGCCATCTGTCTGCTTCAGACCACCTCAGGCTCTGCGTGCCCTCACAGTCCCCTCTGCACTTCTCTGTGGGGCAGGGAAGCCCTTCCCATCAGGTCTGCTCCAGCCTGGCTACCTTGTTCCTGCTGTCCCCTCCCCTTCAGGCCCCCGGACAAGACTTCAGTGTACTTGCTGGTGCCGGGCAGAATGGGGGACCTTGCCTCTCACACACACCTGCTAGTATCTCCGCAACCTCCAGGCATCATCTCAGCTGACAGTGACGCCATCCTGGGGAAGCTCCCCTGACTCCTGGCTCTCCTGGAAGCCTGTGGTGCTCCTTCACAATGGCCCGTGGCCCTTCATAGGTCCCGTAAGCCAGTGTCACAGGGATTCGGCTTTTCTCTTCTGTGTTTGCCTGCTGCGGGACTGTGAGCAGCTTCAGGGCCAAGACAGTGCCTTTCCATCCGTGAATCTCCTGATCCATCAGAATACTCGAAAGAGAAATACCGACTGAGTGTATTCATTAAAGAATTAATGTTCCTTACAGGATCATTTGTTGTTGAACTGACCTGACATGTGTATAGTAATCTCATGAACAAGAAAGAATGTGTTCACACGTTTGCTTAAATTGAATTTAGCAATCGCATTAGGATACTGATATTTCCACAATGTATATACACTATCCTTTTAAATTTAACTTATTTGCTTTTTAGACGGAAGCTCCTCAGTCTTAGAGAGTTCTGAAGGTGGATTTCTCAGCCACGTTCAACCTGATGAGTTCACTGCTTCTTCCCCAAACATTGCAGAGCTGCAGGTAGGTGGGCTGAGTGGCTTCTGCAAGGGTGGCCCGCCAGGTTCCCCTGAGGGAGACCTGAGAAGCTCACCTTTTCATCCTGGGGAAGTGAGATTCGGAGTGGGTGTCAAGAGATGGTTGCATCTTCTTGACAAGAACAGAAAATTAAGATGATTCCAAATGTCTCTTTATTTCCTGAGGTTCAGCCTTTCAAACAGAGACTTTCTTTTATAGATTTAAGTTGGTTGCATTTAGCACATAGTCAAACAGGATTAATATTTTTCATGGCTTAAGAGTTTCCCAAGTCAAAGTTTCATTTTTTATCATTTTGATTTACAGTTCTCAATTGACATTAATAGACTCGAAGGCACGAATAGCAAACATATTTCTAAGCCCTAGCTAGTGGTCCACTTGTAACATGCTATATTTTACAAAAAATGTCAATAAAATGAAATTATTTTCTCTACGGCAGGAAATTTGGGCTGTGAACTTACGTGTGATGTAAGTAGGCACCTGGCGGGGAAGTCTGGGAACACAGGTCCCGCTTGTTTTCTGTTCTCCCGAGAAAAACCCACATTCTGTTCTGCCCTTTTCAACATCTTCAGTGGGGGGACGAGTGGGAACATTTTTCTTGGGATTTTATTTTGTTTGGGGATCCAGCTAATGGGTTTGCCTGGAAGCCTCAGGGCTAATGATCTGCATTTAGAAACAGTGCCACAGTCATGGCAGGTGTTATTTGTATGTTATTTGTATGTCTCTGTGTGTTATTTGTATCAGGTGTTGAATGTGGCGGTTGTCACTGTGGCCACCCTGACCCCAGAGCAAACATATAAGTGGGAGATAACCACTTTAATAAAACACAAAACATGGTCCAAATTCCTGGTGCTGACTGTCCGGGGCTCAGCCGTGCCCACCGACTTAGAGGCAGAGGCTGCAAAATGCCAGCGCAAGGTGCATTTCTCCCAGGTGAAGGACTGGGAATTCCACCTCAGTCCAGTCCTCTCTCCCACTAGCCTAGAGCCACAGTGTCTTGACTTCTGGGCTTGGGTGACAAGCCCTCTCCCCACGCCTCCTTGCTGTGGAGGATGCCCATGGACAAGGTCAGCCCACTCCCACCTGCTGGGACGGTGCTTTTACCCCCCTGTAGGAAGGACTTTACTAGATTAAATCCAGGTTCAAAATGATAACACAAACTGCCTCCCAACATAGGTGTTTCTGGTGCTTACAGGTTTACTATTATGCAAATGCTCAGACGACACACACGACCTACCCTGATGGTTTGGAAGTTGTGCAGTTTCTTAACAAGCAGACAGGTGAGTGACGTCACCAGGAACCCGTGTGGGTAGGTGCCTTTGCATGCGAATGTGCAGAGGTGTGGGGACTTGCAGGTTAGCAGATACTTGAGCCCTGGAGGCAAGTTCCCCACAGCAGCAGCTGTCCAGATAATTTGGGGCTTACCCTGCTTAATGCATGTTTTCCTGGTTCTTATCCAAGAACTGTGAGCCTGTGGCTTCCGTGCCGGTGTGTAAGCGCACCCAGGTCTGGATGCCTCCGTAAACGCCGTCAGACCTCAGTCTGGGGCTTGTGTTTCAGCTTTTCTGGGTGGGCCTGGCTACATGGCTCGAGCAGCAACGGAGATAAATGGGTGTTACTTACTCGCACAGTGCAGTCAGCTCATTGTCTTAAAAGCCACCACATTCTTTCCCGGTCTCACCTGGACTCTAAAACGCCATCCTCTAGGTAACCCCTGGGTCTCTTGGGAACTGGGCTGCACAGCAGGAAGTGAGCGGCGGGCAAGACAGGGGAGCTTTGTCTGTATTTACAGCCACACCCCATCGCTCCGTTAGGCCTGAGCTCCGCCTCCTTCAGACCAGTGGCAGCATTTGATTCTCATAGGAGTGCGAACCCTACTGTGAACTGCGCATGCGAGGGATCTAGGCTGTGCGCTCCTCATGAGAATCTAATGCCTGATGATCTCTCACTGTCTCTCTTCACCCCTAGATCAGACCCTCTAGTTGCAGGAAAAAAAGCTCAGGGCGGTCGAGTGCAGTGGCTCACGCCTGTAATCCCAGCACTTTGGGAGGCCAAGGTGGGCAGATCACAAGGTGAGGAGTTCGAGACCAACCTGGTAAACATAGGGAAACCCTATCTCTTCTAAAAAAAAAAAAATACAAAAAATTAGTTGGGCGTGGTGGATGGCACCTGTAATCTTAGCTACTCAGGAGGCTGAGGCAGGAGAATCGTTTGAACCTGGGAGGTGGAGGTTGCAGTGAGCCAAGATCATGCCATTGCACTCCAGCCCGGGTTACAGTGTGAGGCTTTCTAAAAACAAAAACAAAACAACAACAACAACAAAACAAAACAAAACAAAAAAAACCCTCAGGGCTCCTATTTGTTCTACATTGCGGTGAATTGTATAATTTATAATTATTTCATTACAATATAATAATGAAGTGCACAGTAAATTTAGTGAACGTAATCAGCCAACCCCCCCACAACCCACACCCATGCCAGTCCGTGGAAAAATTGTCTTCCATGAAACTGGTCCCTAGTGCCAAAAAGGTTGGGGACCACTGCATTAGGTAATGAGAGAACTGTGTTAAAAATATCCCAGTTTGGGCCGGGCGCAGTGGCTCATTCCTATAATCCCAGCACTTTGGGAGGCCAAGGTGGGCAGATCACCTGACGTCAGGAGTTCGAGATCAGCCTGGCCAACATGGTGAAACTCTATCTCTACTAAAAATACAAAAGTTAGCCGGATGCGGTGGAGTGCGCCTATGATCCCAGCTACTCAGGAGGCTGAGGTTGGACAATCACTTGAACCCAGGAGGCGGAGGTTGCAGTGATCTGAGATGGCGCCACTGCACTCCAGCCTGGGTGACAGAGCAAGACTCCATCTCAAAAAAAAATAAATAAATAAATCCTAGTTCGGTTATGAATTTACTAATATTTATTTGTAATTTTTCTCTTTCTTATAAATTGGTTTCTTTTTAAAAATCCTTAACCAGTGACACCTATTTTTATACCTTTAATGCTTTCTGCTTTAAGTCTATTAAATCTAATAGGTATAGCAGCTTTCTTTTAGTTAGTTAATATGTGCCTGTTTCTATTCTTTCTCTTTTGCTATTTCTAAATCTTTATCTTTAAATATGATCTTATAAGAAACAGACATTAAGAAAATTATATAATCTGAAAATAACTTTCCTTTTAACCTGAGGTTTTATTTCATAAACTGAAAATGTATCAGTATCCTTACCGTCCTCTACAACCAACTCAAGAGTCTTCTAGTTCTGATTCTCCTCCCCAATCTCTCATGTCATTGTGTTGGCTTCTGCCAGGATTTTTACTCTAAGTTGTCTTTACCCTCAGTATTAGTTATGATTATCACTGTGGTGTTTACATAGCCAGTGTTTACTTTAAACTTTTTAAATTTATGCAGAATTTGGGGCGCTTCTTTCCCGTTTCTTGGGCACAGTTTCCTTCTAGTTGACGAGCATGAAGAGATGGGGGCAATCAACTCTTTCAATTTTGGCTCATCTGAAAATGTCCTTTGTTTTGCCTTGTTCATGAGTGATCATTCATCCTGATGCCCCTTCTGACCCGTCATCCCGTAGCTATTCAATGGTCACCATGTGGCAGGCATTGTTTTAGGGCTAGGGAATCAGCAATGAGCACATTTGTAAAAAGTTCTTATTTCATGACATTTTATTGGAGGGAAGCACTTTTATGTTGTGGACATGGTTTATTTCCTTAGACCTCATGAACCAATCTCTGCTACTTTCAAACTTTTCTTCTGTAGCTTTCTCACTCCTCTCAGCCTTTGTGGAACTGAGGAGAGTTCCTTGCTCTGGAGTAGGCTTTGGCCTGAGGGAACGCTGTGGTTGGTTTGATCTATCTAGACCACTGTAATAAGGCTGTTTCGCTTTCTTGTCATTCATGTGTTCACTAGAGCAGCACTTTTAATTTCCTTTAAGAGGTTTTTCTTTGCATTCACAACTGGGCTAACTCCTGGGTGCAAAAGGCCTTGCTTTCAGCCTATCTCAACTTGGAACAGGCTTTCCCTACTAAGCTTAATCATCTCTAGCTTTCGATTTAAAGTGAGAGATGTGTGTCTCTTCCTTTTACTTGAACACTTAGAGGCCGTTGTAGGTTATTAATGGTGTAATCCCACAATTGCGTTTCAGGGAACAGGGAGGCCTGAGGGGAGGGAGAGAGATGGGGGGCAGCTGGTCATTGGAGCACTCGGAACACACGTGACATTTATTACGTTTTCTGTCTTACGTGGGTGCGGTCGTTGGTTCCCCAAAACAATTACAAAGTAAAATCAAAGATCACTGATTACAGATCACCATGACGGATATAATGATAATGAAAAAATTCGAAATATTACAAGAATTAAAAATATGACACAGAGATATGAAGTGAACACGAGCCGTTGGAAAAATGGCACCCATAGAGGTGCCCCAACAGAGTTGCCACAAACTTTCAATTTGTAAAAAAAGTGCAGTATCTGCGAGGCACAATAGAGCAAGGCGCAATAAAACGAGGTCCACCTGTGCGCGCAACCCCCTCACAGGGAGGCTGTAAACACAACGCAGGAACATCATGAAAAGGCCCGTTCTGAGCACTGGGCTACAGAGGGCGCTGTTCGGTAAACAGGTCATTTCGCTGCACAAAGCCGCTCACAGTACATCTCTGAAGTTAACGCGCTCAGATTTTAACTTTTCAACCTGTGCCGTGCCACAAACTGGGTCACTGAAAACCGCGGAAGTTTATTCCCCCCCGACCAGGGGGGGCTGCGCCCTCAGGGAGCTGAGCGGTCCCCGTGAGGCCCCTTCGCTGCCTGCACAGTTCAGCTGTGCCGTCCCTAGCGCGGCAGTCCCTGGACCTGGTGTGCAGAGGAATCGTGGTAAGAAATGTGCACACATCATCCAGGCAGACGGTCCCGTGAGTCTGTCCAACAGAAAAGAGGAAGGCGAGGCGGAGTCCTGAAGGCGAGGCTTGCAGAGGCGGGAGAACCAGGCAGAAGGCCACGGGCCTGCCGAGCTCCCAGCAGCGACGGGGGCGGCGCCCTCAACACGCCGGCGCCCTAGGAAGGCCGAGTCTGTGTTCGCGCTGCCTGCGGTGTGTGGCAGCTGCGCGCTCCTTACCTGTGGGGCAGAGTTGGCCGGAGCCACTGCCTGAAGAAACTCGGCTCTGTCCTCCGTTCCGGGGAGCGGAATGCGGCCAGTGGATGTGAGTTCCTTCCGTTGCTTTCCGCAGCCCACAGCTAAGTCACTCTGATGAGCATCTCGCAGGCCTGCGCTTCTGCTTCTCGTTGCCTTCTAGGCGGTTCTGACTTTGACACCCCTTTCCTCCTCTGCTTGTGCCCTCGAATCCTACGTTAGGGAAATGGGGACCCTGTTTTGAAACAAAATGAGAAAGAATCATAACCTTCAACTTCAGAACACTTCAAAGTCAGTAGAACCTGTAAGGAAATACAACAACATTCTATCTTCTATAGATTGACAGCATTAAAAGATGCTGTAAAATAATGTATAAAAAGAAAAGAAAAAATAATGGCAATAAGAAAAACGTTCTCAATTTTACTATTAAAAATTTAGTAATAGAAAACTTTATTCACAGAAATTCATATAGAAACCCAACGTGAATAATAGATAAAGTTCAGTTGTGTTTGTCAACTTGCAAAACCCACCACCTCGCAGGTGGACCCTGAGGAGATGGTGGGTGATAAAATCTAATCTTCATCAAGGATGTTGGATAACCAGTAAAAAGCAGCTGTATGTTAATAAAGCTGTATTGCCTGTCCTTCTTTACAACTGCACTTTAATTAGATATTTACATTTTGCCTTTATGAATATATAGGCAAATGTTTTTCCTATATTTTCCTTGATGAAACATGTTTAGATATTCATTTGACTTCTTTCTTTCTCATTATTCCCTTTATTTCATTTAAGATGTGTACTCGTATTGAGCTCAGATCTCTGAACTCTTCCTCTTAATAAACAAACCTTCTACTTCTTTTAGTTCATTAAATCTATTTTAATCTTTCCTTGACAGTGATTTTATAAACAATGGTTGTTTATCGGAGAAAATAATATCTGGACTAGAAGAAATGTCAATGAGATTAGTTTTACAAACTATCAAGTCAGTTATCTAACTTGCTAAGTGCTGTCCAAGTTAGATAACTAGATAACTAGTAATTTAATAACGCTACAGAAACATCGTGTTGTCCACCTTTATAAAAAATTATTCCAAATAACTATGTCATTTGTTTTAATTTGAAGAATACATAGTACAGACAGTTAAGCTAATGATTACACTCATGGAAGCTGACAATTCAGAATGGGCAGTGTGATAATGTAAGATTAATTTTTCAAATATTTTAAAGTTTCTATTAAATATTTAAAAATTATACACCAACTGGGTCTTAAGATGGCCAACTCAATGCTGCTGGGAAGTGTGGCTCCCATGGAGAGAGGCCGAGATTTTGACTAAATCAACATAATTTCAACAGATCTTTGTAAAGAAGATGCTGAATGTGGATGTAGAAAAGATGCAGACCCTGAGGCTGAAGAGGGAGGAAGCTGGAAACTCCGTGCGGGTAACTGAATGCTAAGGCTGCTTCCTGGCCTCCAGCGGTGTCTGAGGAAAGGGTAAGTGAAGGGACTTGGAGACTGGAGACCTCACACGCGCCACGGACATTTGAGCTGGTAGGTGGATGTCTTCAGAGATTAGACAGAGACAGAGCTGCCACAGGCATGGCGCCAGGAACCTTTGTGCTAGGGACAGCTTTGGCGGAGCCTAACCCCACCAAGGGCTGCCTATCTCCCTTTGACAGTCTCTGGCCCTAGCTAACCACTGGGGAGAAAGCAGGGCCACCTTCCCTGTGGGACTGGGGCACATCTGTCTCACAGGCCACCTGCCTGCCAGCCCCTCCCAAGTCTTCTGCCTGGCCACCCTGCAGAAGCCTGTATACAGCATAGCTCCACTGCCCAGCCTGGGTGCTTTGTGCCACCTAAGTGCATTCTGGAAGCCTGGGAGCCCTTCAGATCCTATAGTGCACCTGGGACCCAGTCCCAAGGGTCTGGAGAAGGGAGCTGCAAGCAGGTCCTGGCACCCCAGGGTCCTGGCCCATGGCTCAGGATTACCTAGCCAGGATCTGTGCTCTGCACTCAAGTTGGGGAGGACCCCACACTCCCAGAAAACTGAGAAGGGTGAATTGCACTGGTTCACAAGTTGGCCTAGAACCTAGATGTGCCTCCCCTCCACAGGGCAGGTCCAGTAAAGATGTGGCCTATTTCCCTACTGGACCTCTGTCCAAGGGAGCCCCGAGGCTGAAACATCAAATTTAAATAAATAAATAAATAAATAAATAAATAAATAAATAAATAAATAATTGGAATTGCTGGCAAAGTGCCAGCGATCAGAGATGGCTCCCCCAGTCCCCAGGAGTGGACCTGGTGAGGGGGTCACCTCTCTCCCCCTTGTACCACAGAGCATAGCTGCAAATCCAAGGATACACAAAGGAGCCATGCTGCCAAGTAAGAGCCCGTCTTCCATCCATTGCTCTCAAGCACTATCTACCAGATCGCAGCCCAAACTACAACAACAACAAAAAAGTCACTCTGCCACTTCTCCCTGCTGATAAACCAAGGGCAAGAATTCAACCACAAAGACCCTTACAGAGCCTTAGCCCTCTGAAAACTTCCGGATACAAAGCCAACTGACTATGCTAGATTACCATCACAGTTAAAGGAACCCAGCCTTCTCAGATGGGAAAAAAATCAGAATAAGAACTCTGGCAATTCAGAAAGCCAGTGTCCCCTCACCTCCAAACAGGCCCACTAGGTTCCCAGCAATGGTTAATCAGTCTGAAATGTCTGAAATGGCAGACATAGAATTCAGAATCTGGATGGCTAGGAAGCTTATCAAGACCAAGAGAAAGTTGAAACTCAATCCAAGGATGCAAAGCAATTCAGTAAAATGATTCAAGAGTTGAAAGACTAAGAAGCCGTTTTAAGAAAGACCCAAAATTGAACTTCTTGAACTGAAAAATTCGCTACGAGAATTTCAAACTACAAGCAGAACTATTAACAGCAGAATAGACCAAGCAGAGAAAAGAACCTCAGGGCTTGAAGACAGTTAATTAAGTCAACTCAGTCAGGCAAAAATAAAGAGAAAAAATAAAGAAAAATGAACAAAACCTCTGAGAAATATGCAATTATGCAAAGAAACCAAATCTATGACTCATTGGCATTCTTGAGAAAGAAAAATAATAAGCAACTTGGAAAGTATATTTGAGGACATAGTCCATGAAAATTTCCCTAAACTCATTAGAGAGGTTGACCTGCAAATCCAAGAAATATAGAGGACCCTAGCCAGATACTATACAAGACATCCATCCCCAAGGCACGTGGTCATCAGATTCACTGAAGTGAACACAAAAGAAAACATCTTAAAGGCAGCAAGAAAGATGGGGAATGTAACTTACAAAGGGAACCCATCAGGCTAATAGCAGACCTTTCGGCAGAAACCTTATAAGCCAGAAGAGATTGGGGGCCTATTTTTAGCATCTTGAAGAAAAAAAATTCTAACCAAGAATTTCATATGCTGCCAAACCAAGCTTCTTAAATGAAGATGAAATAAAATCCTTCTCAGAAAAGCAAATTCTGAGGGAGTATATTTAAACTAGACCAGACTTACAAGACATCCCCAGAAGTGGACCTGGTGAGGGAGTCCTCAGATCCTCAGGTCCCCGGTGAGGGGGACCTGGTGAGGGAGTGCTAAACATAGAATTGAAAGAGCCTGCTACCACAAAAGACACTTCAGACCATAGCCCACAAGAACTATAAAGCAACTGCGTAATTAAGTCTACATAACAGCCAGTTAACAACACAATGACAAAATTAAAATCATTCCCATCAATAGTAACCTTGAATATAAATGGGCTTAATGCCCACTTAAAAGTCACAGAGTGGAAAGCCTGATAAAAAGACAAGCCCCAAATGTCAGTTTGCTTCAAGAAATCCATGTCACATATAATAACACCCACAGGCTCAAAGTAAAAGAATGGAGAAAATTCTACCATGCAAACTGAGAGGAAAAAAGAGCAGGAGTCACTATACTTATATCAGATAAAACAGACTTTAAATAAAAAATCAAGAAGGACAATAAAAGGCATTACATAATGATAAAGGGTACAATCCAACAAGAAGCCCTAACTGTTCTAAATATATATGCACCCAACATTGGAGCACCCAGATTCATAAAATAAGTTCTTCTTGGCCAACGAAAAACCTTAGACAAACACAAAATACTAGTGGGAGGCTTGAACATCCTACTGACAGCGTTAGATCATCAGGGCAGAAAGTTAACAATGAAACTCTGGATTTAAACTTGACACTTGACCAACTGGATCTCAGACAGCTACAGGACACTACACCCAACAACCAAAAAATATACATTTTTCTTGTCTGCACACAGAATGTATTCTAAGATCAACCACATGCTTGATCATAAAAAGTCTCAATAAATTCAAAATGATTGAAGTCATACCAAAGCACATTCTTGAATCACAGTACAATAATAGTAGAAATCAATATCAAGATTGCCTCAAACTATACAAATACATGAAATTAACTAACTTACTCTAGCATAACTCCTGGGTCAACATCAAAATTGAGGCAGAAATCAAAAAAATCGTTTGAAATTAATGAAAATAGGGACACAACTTACCAAAATCTCTGGATGCAGCCAAGGCAGTGTTAAGAGGAAAGTTTATAGCCCTAAATGTCTTCATCAAGAAGTTAAAAAAATCTCAAATTAACAATCTATCTTTGGAAAGGAAGAAACTAGGTCAACTAAGGGAAAGGAACTAGGGAGGAGAAAATCCAAAACTAGCAGAAGAAAAACCACTGAAATTAGAGAAGAACTTAATGAAATTGACATGTAAAAATCCATACAAAAGATCAATAAAACCAAGACTTGGTTTTTCAAAAAAATAAAATCGATAGGCCACTAGCCAGTTTAACAAAGAAAAAGAAAGAGAAGATCCAAGAAAGCACAATCAGAAATGAAAAAGGTGGTTTTTTTTTTTATCAGTATCATAACTGGTCCCACAGAAATACAAAAGACCTTCAGAAACTATTATGAATAACTCTAAGCACACAAATTAGAAAATCTAGAGGAAATGGATACTTTCCTGTAAGCACACGATTTTCCAAGATTGAATCAGGAAAAGACTGTTAACGTGAATAGACCAATATCAACTTCTGAAATGGAATCAGTAATGAAAAACCTACCAACCAAAAAAGCCCTGGACCAGTTGGTTTCCCAGCTGAATTCTACCAGACCGAAAGCAATCCAACACAAAACTACATGACTCAGAAAATATTGTATAAATTGTAGTTTATCGTAGAATTGTTTAAGGGCTCAAATCCCTAGAGATTCTAATTCTGTTTCCTCTAATTACCCCTCCTTCCTCACCTGCATTTACAGAGAACACACATTGGGCAAAATATGTGTCTGTCCTACTGGGAAAGTTTATCAACTCTACATCATAGAACTGAGAACAAATGCGGGGAGAGCTAATGTTTTACCAAGATGAACTTAACCAAACAAAGAGATAGAAATAAAATTCAAAGCCAAGAGCCTTACGTATAGATAAAAATGGAGGAATGAGAACATAGCATTTATCCAGGAATCATGAGTTAATCATGTTACCAGGCTTTAGGGCAAGGGGCTGGGTGAACAGTCACTATAATATTACATGCATAGTTCTTTGAAAATGTCAAGGAAAAGGCCGGGCGCAGTGGCTCACACCTGTAATCCCAGCACTTTGGGAGGCCAAGGCAGGCAGATCACGAGGTCAGGAGATCGAGACCATCCTGGCTAACATAGTGAAACCCTGTCTCTACTAAAAATACAAAAAATAAAAAATTAGCCAGGCGTGGTGGCGGGCACCTGTAGTCCCAGCTACTCAGGAGACTGAGGCAGGATAATGGCATGAACCCAGGAGGCAGAGGTTGCAGTGAGGCGAGATCACGCCACTGCACTCCAGCCTGGGTGACAGAGCGAGACTCTGTCTCAAAAAAAAAAAAAAAAAAGAAAATGTCAAGGAAAACTATTTCCCATGGATTTTTAACTGCTTGAATTCAGGGCAAAGAAAACAAGAAAACTTGAGTGTAATATTAACAAAGACCCTTAAAAAAGATGTTATATAAAAAGAAAAATCACAGTCCAGTGAAAAATACATGAAAAATTCTAAATAACATTTTAGCAAACAAAATCTAGTGATTATTAAAAGTGTAACACAAAAAAGGGAGATTTTTCCCAAGAATGTAATAGTAGTCAAACATTTTATCAAGACATTTAAAAATAAGCATAAAAATAGATGTCTGAGTGCTATTTATAAAATTCAAGATCTATTCCTCCCATCCAAATACTAACCAGGCCTGACCCTGCTTAGCTTCATGAGATCAGACAAGATCAGGCGTGTTCAGAGTGGTGCAGCCATATTCAAGAAGAACTAAAAAGTGTAATAAAATAAGAACACAAGACTATCACTGAAAAGAAGTTCACAATTTCATGCACACACATGAAAAAGTTATAGGCCAAAAGCAATATAGACATGAGAGTCTAGGGGAGGTTAACAGCATCCAGTCTGGAGTCCGAGTACTTGAGAGTTATTCTAAGTTTCTCATTTCTCTGTGATCTTGAGCAAGTTATGAAATTCTCTTTGCCTCAATTCTTTATATTGTTAAATCAAGTTTAGACTAAAGCTGCCTTTTAACGTATTTTAAGTTCAGCCTAAAGGCTTCTCTGTACATAGTGAACTTTAACCTAAATGAAGATGTAAACAGACTGAAGCCTACTTTTGTGCCAATCACCAAGTTTTGGCCAATCAAGGGCTAACTGTTCAAACTATGTTCAAATAAGGCAAATGCCTGCCGAGCTGCAACCAATTTGGTTGTTTCTGTACCTCACATCTGTTTTCTGCACGTCACTTTCCTTTTTCTGCCTGTAAGTCTTCTACCACGTGGCTGCGCTAGAGTCTCTGAGCCTACTCTGGCTCAGGAGGCTGTCTGATTCACAAATTGTTCTTTGCTAAATTAAACTCTTAAATTTAATTCAGCCAAAGTTTTTTCATTTAATAGGTGGCATCAGAAGTGAGATCCAAAGTAGATCCTCTGATGACCCCCATGAGTGCTGAGTGACTAAGCAAGGTACCCACTGGACCCACTGAGGACTAAGCTCTGATATTTTTTATCTTGCTCAAATTCCTATCTAAGGGGTCGGATTGGATCTGATAATTAGCTGGCTTGGATCCAGTTATAGGCCTCTTATGTCTGACTGGGACAGAAAGAAACCAGTAGTAAATGGCAATATTGCAGGGGGTGTAAAATTTGGCTTTTGGAAATTCATGGGGATTTTTCTATTCTCCTCTTTGTTTCATTTTTATTGCAGGCTTAGATAGGGAAAAAAATGATTAGCCAAGTTGATTAAGGGAACCTGATCTCCAAAGCCAATATTTCAGGTAAAGATGGAACCTTTAGTTTTGGAAGAACTGAGTACCTTCTGGCTTATACATGCTGTGAACCCCAAATATTTGAGACAGGCCTCCATTAATATAGAAAGTTTATTTTGCCAAGGTTGAGGATGCGCACCTGTGACAGCCTCAGGAGGTCCTGATGACAAGTGCCCAAGGTGGTCAGAGCACAGTTTGGTTTTATACATTTTAGGGAGACATGAGACATCAATCAACATTTGTAAGATGAATATTGGTTAGGTCTGGAAAGCCAGGAGGGGGCTTCCAGGTCATAGGTAGATAAGAAACAAATGGTTGCATTCTTTTGAGTTTCTGATGAACCTCTCCAAAGGAGGCAATCAGATATGCATTCATCTCAGTGAGCTTAGGAGTGACTTTGAATTAGAATGGGAGGCAGGTTTGCCCTAAGCAGTTCCCAGCTTGACTCTTCCCTTTAGCTTAGTGATTTTGGGGCCCCAAGATTTATTTTCCTTTCACGATGCATAAGTATGAGGCCTCAGAAGCAGCAAAGTCTTACAGAAATGGTGAAATCTTACTAAAGATAATTTACCATGGAAGGTTCCAAATAAACAACACTGCACTGAAGAAATGCATTTGAAAATGAGGCCTCCTGAATTAGTCTCATCTAGGGATGCCTATTGATATGCAGAAGCTTCTAAAAAGATTTCAATCTTTTTATTTAAAGATTTTATGAAAGGCAAATAAAAAGCTTAAGAAACTAATTGATAAGAAAAATTAAATCTGCTAATCTTTGCTTAGTTACTATTCCACCCTAAAGGTGGAAAGAAAGCTATCCTAGATAAGGTATTTATAAAAGTTAGGCCGTCAGGTAAAATAGGCTTGCTTCTTGTTCCGACCTATCCATGCGGGAGGCCAGCCATAGAGGATGCTTTTTTGACTCTGTTCCCTAATGGGTTCCACCCTGAACTCAGTAATTTTAACTAAGAAACAGTGGTTACATTAAAAAGGACACCCTATTGAAATAAAATGCACCTTTCTGGAATTTAATTGGCTACCTTGAAACTCTTTTGTAAAGGAAATTTACATCTATAAAGGAAATCTCAATTTGTAGGGATGTCTGCCAATGTACAATAGAAACTCTAACCTTTTTTTAAATTTAAATAATCAGTAATGCCTTTGTTTAAGGTGCTTTTCTGTCTATCTTAAGTGAACTTTTACTTGAGCAGTTTTTTTTTTTCCCTGGGTTTGAGCAAATGATGAATCAATACTTAGGCCGAGAATCTTAGCTCTGTGCTTATGAAATATACATGGTTTTTTTGTTTCACCTAAGGGATTGTGTCAATTTCCCTCTCATAGCAACTGGGAATTGTGGCAAGTTCTCTCTTTAGAAATGCAAATTTGTTGCCTAGTTAACAATTGCTTAGGGAAATGAAACAGGTAATAGAAAGATTGATACACCAAATGGAGAAAAGAAAAAGTATTTAAAAACTGGCAAAAGCTATAGGATCCGCTTCTGTTCGTTTGTATGTCTATATATGTTATGTGTATGTGGTATCTGGTAAATAAAGCTAGTTTTTAATTCGTTCATAAAATAAAAATGGCTTCAAAACTATCAGTTAAATATAATTAGATACTCGCTTGATTTGATTGTGAGCTTATGTCTTTGGTTTAGAGTCTCTGGATTCAGGGGTCTGGATAGGTGGCCAAGATGACATCTGGAGACGCATTCTTGGTGCCTAGACCACCAGCTACAAGCCCAATATGGCCCCTTCTTCCTCTGCTTTCCCTGTTTTGACTCCTGGCTATTGTGGGAGGGGTTGGATTCTCCAAGTATAGCCTTCACAGCTCTGGCTTCTGTTCTGATGGACTCAGAGAGGCCCTGATCTTCATAGTCCTCATGGGTGGCACATGGCTTCTTGGGACCTAGAATGGCTGGGAGGAGACATTAGGGAGGCTGCCTATGTCATAGCCTCAAAATTTTTTTTTTTTTTTTGAGATGGAGTCTCGCTCTGTTGCCCAGGCTGGAGTGCAGTGGTGCGATCTCGGCTCACTGCAAGCTCTGCCTCCTGGGTTCATGCCATTCTCCTGCCTCAGCCTCCTGAGTAGCTGGGACTACAGGCGCCCACCACCACGCCCGGCTAATTTCTTTCTGTATTTTTAGTAGAGACGAGGTTTCACCATGTTAGCCAGGATGGTCTCGATCTCTTGACCTCGTGATCCCCCCGCCTCAGCCTCCCAAAGTGCTGGGATTACAGGTGTGAGCCACTGCGCCCGACTCAAAATTATTTTCTGTAATTTAAAATCCAAGAGTCATGTTATGTTAAATTAAGTAATACAAAAAATCAGAAAATGAGTCATGTTCAAGCTAAAATACTGGAATATTCATTATTAAACATGATTTAAGTCCATATACCTTGACATATTATTTCTATATAGTATAGAAAAGTAAATATATTTAGATCTGATAATAAAAAATAATTTGAAGAACTATATTTCTAAAAAATTATAAAATGGTTTTTATCTACAAATAACTGATACGAAACAATTCAAAATTACTTTCTAGAGTTTTCACTAGAAATGAAGGTTACTAAGAGTTAAAAACTACTGTCAGAGGTGTTTGAACCTGAGCAACTCCATCTTGAATAAGGGCTTGGTAAAATGAGGCTAAGACCTACTGGGCTGCATTCCCAGCAAGTTAAGGCATTCTCAGTCACAGGATGAAAGAGGAGGTTGGCAGAAGATACAGGTCTTAAAGACCTTGCTGATAAAACAGGTTGCAGTAAAGAAGCTGGCTGAGAGCCATGAAAACCAAGATGGTGATGAGAGTGACTTCTGGTCGTCCTCACTGCTATACTCCCACAAGCGCCATGACAGTTTACAAATGCCATGGCAACGTCAGGAAGTTACCCTATATGGTCTAAAAAGGGGAGGCAAGAATAATCTACCTCTTGTTAGCATATCATCATTAACAACCATAAAAATGGGCAACCAACAGCCTCGGGACTACTCTGTCTGTGGCGTAGCCATTCTTTATTCCTTTACTCTCCTAATAAACTTGCTTTCCCTGTACTCCAAAGACTCGCCCTGAATTCTTTCTAGCATGAGATCCAAGAACCCTCTTTTGGGGTCTGGATTGGGACTCCTTTCCTGTAGCATCTTTCTGGTGACCACTGAAGGGACTGCAGTGCAGAAAACCCCCACCCAAAGGCTAACTTTTGGTAAGTGGTGGGGGCCAGTAACATTTTTCTAGTGAACCCTGAGGGGACGATACTGAAGAAACCCCCCGACCCAAAGGAAATAGAGTGCAGCACTGATAGGCCAACTTTGGGTAAGTGGTGGGGTACCCAGGTAAAGGATGGAATTGGGTTAGAGGCCCAACTTAGGGGAGTCAGAGTCTCTCCTAAGACAGAGTGGGTCAGAGGCCGCTCTTGATAAAAGGCAAGGACACCTGACCTACCTTGGGTTAAAGGCCCAACTTAGGAGGGTTAGGGTCCCTTTTAAGATTTAAGGGGTTAGAAGCCCCTTTCAGTAAAGTCCTTTTTGGCTAAGAATGGGTTTGGTATTATGAGACGTTAACTGCTATTCTCTTTGGATTAATCTGCCTTGAACTCTTTGCTGAGGGCTGTGGGTGACAGGATTAGGCACATATAGGATTGTGGGACATGGGGAGCTTTTTCCTCCCTAAAAGGGGAAACTCGAGAGCTGATGATACCACTGGAAAATATCCCTTTTCTACTGACAAGCAGCTGCCTGAACTTTTCAGTGTCACTGCAATGGGTGGGTCTTTCTGTGGTCTCCCTGAGCACCTGGCCTTCCCCACCCTGCCTCAAGCAATGCTTCCTCTCCCTCTCTCTGTCTGTTTCTGTCTCTCTCTCTCTGTGTGTGCAAACTGGTTGAATGAACGGTAAAAATCATTGTTTATCTCCTCCGTAAAAGTTTAGATTAATGGAAAAAAAGGATTTGTGAGGCTAGTCCTAAGCTATAGTGAATCTGGTGTGCTTTGTGTGTCTTTCTGTATTGCTCTGCCATAAAGAGGGGTATCATAGGATGGAACATGGTCTTAGGACACCTGTAAGCCGACTGTTCAAGGTGGCCCAGCAAACTGGTCAGTTATAAATTTTGCTGCAGGTCCCTAAAAACAAAACTGGATGAGATTTCCCTCTTGTCTTGTATGTCTTGGGGAGCCTGACCTTGTAACCATGTAGTGATGCTTTCTCTTTTCACAGTGGCGGCCCAGGTTCAGGGTTCAATTCCTGCCTTAGGGAATGAGTCCTTTATCTAATTTTGTCTGGGTCCTGGGCTCCACACCTGGTACATAATTAAAATCACTTACTAACCAGGTTTTTCACCAAAAATAAAAGTTGCTAAGAGTTAACATTGTATGCACTCCAGCCTGGCGACAGAGCGAGACTGCATCTCAAAAAAAAAAAAAAAAAAAAAAAAAAGAGTTAACATTGTAACATGTAATTGAGACTGCTGAAGAAACAGTTTTACCTTCAAAGTGTGGGAGGGAAGTAGAATGTACTTTTGGTAAAAGATTATAAGAAGGCATGGGAATGTGGATTTCTTGCCTAAGTTTAGAGAGTTAAAGGACTGTTTTAAATTAGGATAAAGCTGAAGGTTTAGGCAAGTTGTTAAAGGTCTGTGAAATCTTAATCTCATAGAAGAAATTATCTGTGTGAACATATTGGCTAAAATTAAAGGGATATTATTCAGTTTTTCGATAAATTGAACATTGGAATAAAAGTACAACAGGTTTTTCTTATAATTATTAATAACATACACTAAGTCATGTCAGAATTATAGGAGTTTCCCATTATTTCAGATCACATACCAATAACATATTTATGCAACTATAGCCCAAAGAAAGCCAAATACCATTTCATATTTGGCAGTGCTCCCTGTATGATTTTTATACCCAATAAGCCAAATTTCACCTTTACATTAATGTACTATTTATGTTAAACCCAAACCTTAATCAAACCTTATAGACAAAGGTATTTAATCTGAATCAGTTTGACCGTATGGTAAGATTTTAATAAACCTTTTATAACCCTTAAAAATTTTGTTAAACAGCAGATTATAAGCAGGTTTTTGCTCTAAGAATTACATAATTGATTTCTGGGACACTGTGCCACACAAATTTTATAGGTTTCTTTTATTTTGTGCCTCAAAAGGCAAGTGTGCATTCCTTCATTTTCCTCAGTAAGAGGATTTCAAGTCTTGCTCCTGGCTGGTCCAGATGAAGCTCAGGTATTTTATAAGGCTCTACACCCTTTTTCTCAGTTATTTTACACATCAAAGACTGTGATTTTCCATTGGCTTCTAGGAGTTGGTAACTAACTAAAACGTGGGCCTCAGAATGTTGTCTTACCGACTATACGGTGCACAAAGAATATTCTTCCCAGCCCAAAGTCAGGAACGAACATTGCTTAATTGTTTCAGTATGTTTGCAGTGTTTCTTTTTCCTTTCAGCTTTATGATGATTACAAATGTAGCATTTGCTACATATCTTTAGAATATACTTGGTTAATGCAGGCATTCTCTTTGAAAGAACCAGTTATTTCTAATCTCAACAAAGCCTATGGTCAGGGAACAATGACCCGAGATCCAAGTATTTTTTGTGCACTGGCTATGGGAGAGGGTAAAAAGAGGTTAACAAGGCACCTTCGTATGTCCAAGAGAGACAAGCTGGCCCAGGCTGAAAATGATGAGGAAAATGAACACCAAGGGTCATCATAAACCAGGCTCAAGGGTATCATAAGCCATGCCTGGTAGCATGTGTGGTCCATCCAGGAAGCTGGGCTCATCAGAGGCAGAATGAGCAGTGTTCAGAACAGGAGGTCTTTGTAAAAACACCTTCTCAAAACGATAGGAAAGAAAGCAATGTGACATCTTCTTGTACTTTGCATAAGAAGTCAGATGAGGGCCGGGAGCGGTGGCTCGCACCTGTAATCCCAGCGCTCTGGGAGGCTGAGGCGGGCAGATCACTTGAGGTCAGGAGTTCGAGACCAGCCTGACCAACATGGTGAAACCCCTTCTCTATTAAAAATACAAAATTAGCGGGGCATAGTGGTGCATGCCTGTAATCCCAGCTACTTGGGGGGCTGAGGTAGGAGAATCGCTTGAAACCGAGAGGCGGAGGTTGCGGTGAACCAAGATCACACCATTGCACTCAAGAGTGAAACTCTGACTCAAAAAAAAAAAAAAAAGTCAGATGAAATCTGTTTCTATTATGGAAAACTGTTGCGGGGCATATGGAAAACTGTTGCGGGGCATGTGGTAGAGACCACCCAGATGAGGCCCTCCAAGACCTTGTTGTCTAGGGTGATTTATTCCCTTTATTTAGAGACCCAGGCAATTAATTCATTTCTTTTTGTGATGATAGGCTTTTGGCTGTTAGACCAGACCAGACGCTGTGTTACTCTATGAGATGAATAATAGTGGAGAACTATATAACTTACCTATTTTACTTTTTACCTTGGCTTCCAGGAAGCATAGAGTGCAATCTGATACTCAATTTCAATGATTACACATAGCCTAGGTTTTTGGTACATCCACCTTTCTCTCATAGATACCTAAATAATTTGACATATGCAATAAACAGGGAGTTCTTTTCTGCCCACATTATGCTTCTTATTGTGCAATTAAATGACCTTTTTTCCCTTAACTGACTGAGTTCTGCTAGCTCATATAACATGCTTTTTCATCGATGATTTCCAGAAGAGAGAAAATACCAAGGACCTTCTTGGACAAGTTTTGTTGAATTACATCTTTCATTCTGTTGCATCATTTGTGAAATTTAAGACACATTTAAATTAAATCTAGTGACCTGTATATAGTGGGAATTCCAGCCTGAGTCTATCTTGGGCTTCAGATCTCTTCAAACTGCCTCATGGATGATCACGTGAGCCCGGGGAGGTCAGGCTGCAGTGAGCTGTGGTTGTACCACTGCACTCTAGCCTGGGTGACAGAGTGAGACCTGTCTCAAAAAACAAAACAAAACAAACCTCCATGGGTTGGTGGGGGTGCTGCTAGATGCTGATTTCCTGGAGGAATTGTAGTTTGGCAGAGAATACCTGGGGTCAAGAGGAAGTGGGAGGATGTCTGTGTCTAAAATTGGTTCTTATTGTAGCCCAGTGGGTTTGTTTTCCAGACTGGAGTTTAAGGGGCTGTTTCAATGAGGGACTTTATGATACACAAAGAGGCAAATAGTGTTGGTGTTTATGGATGAGTGGTACCGGAGGTTGAAGGAGAGGCACTTCCCAAGAATGGATCTCAGTGTAGTCTTGGTTCCTTGAAGACCAAGGACCTTCAATTGAGACACTGTGGACACAGACAGAAAGGCATGAGAAAGAAATCTTTTCAGGGGAAGCAGATGCTGACAGAGAAGGTCTGAGCAGCTATGGTCATGATTGAGGAAAACACTCAAATGACGTCTGGGGTGTTGAGTACATATAAGGGTGGTTGTGAGACAGACCACGGGACTCCAGAAAACCAAGGTGAGGACTTGGAGAGGGGCGGGAGGCTCTGTAGTAGACAGATGCATATGTATGGCTCCTACATCAAGTTAGTTACTTGTTTATTCATTCTTTTTTTTTTTTTTTTTTTTTTTGAGATGAAATCCAGCTCTTGTCCCCCAGGCTGGAGTGCAATGGTGCAATCTCAGCTCACTGCAACCTCTGCCTCCTGGGTTCAAGCGATTCTCCTGCCTCAGCCTCTCGAGTAGCTGGGATTATAGGTGCCTGCCACCATGCCTGGCTAATTTTTGTATTTGTAGTAGAGACGGGGTTTCACCATGTTGGCCAGGCTGGTCTTGAACTCCTGACTTCAGGTGATCCACCCGCCTCGGCCTCCCAATGTGCTGGGATTATAGGCGTGATCCACCGCGCCCGGCCTATTCATTCTTATTTTTATTAATAATGTGACCTTATTGACATCCACCGGCTGCTGAGGCTTGGGACAACCAGGATGACACCCAATGTTGTACCAAACCATGGATACACTAGTGCCTACGGGGACAGGATCTCGGCTTGTCTCTCTCACTCTGTGTGTGCTCTCTAGAGCTTGCATGGCTCTCATGCAGTGAGCACAGATGAGTCACTGGACCACTTGCCTCACCTGTAAAATGAGAGATCTGGACCACATGGTCTCTGAGAACATTTCAATTTCTAAAATTCTAAGATTCCATTATTTGTTACAAACCAGGATGCCAGAAATACATGAAGATGAAACAAAGGGAGTATATGAGTCAGTTTGGCCTGCTATGGCAGAATATCATGGACTGGCTCAAACAACAAACATTTCTTTTTTTTTTCTTTTTTTCTTTTCTTTTTTTTTTTGAGACGGAGTCTCACTCTGTCGCCCAGGCTGGAGTGGAGTAGCGAGATCTCTGCTCAGTGCAACCCCGGCCTCCTGGATTCAAGTGATTCTCCTGCCTCAGCCTCCCGAGTAGCTGGAGTTACAGGCATGTGCCACTATGCCTGGCTAATTTTTGTATTTTTATTAGAGATGGGGTTTCACTGTGTTGGCCAGGCTGGTCTCGAACTCCTGACCTCAAGTAATCCACCCGCCTCAGCCTCTCAAAGTGCTGGTATTACAGGTGTGAGCCACCTCACCCAGCCACAAACATTTATTTCTTATAGTTCTGGAGGCTAGGAAGTCCAAGATCAAGGCAGCAGCAGATTTGGTGTCTGGTGAGATCCCTCTTTCTGGTTCGTAGATGGACGTCTTGTCCTGTCCTCACATGGCTGAAGAGAAACAATCATCTCTGTTGTGTCTCTTCTAACAAAGACTCTAATCCCACCATGAGGGCTTCACCCTAATCACCCCCAAAGGCCTCACCTCCTGATATTCTCACATCGGGGAGTAGGGTTTTAACATGTGAATTTTGGGAGAGAGACACAGCATTCAGTCTATAACAAGGAATAACCAAACGAGTTGGAAATCGAGGCTACTGGTGTGTAGGGGCAGAGAACAGACTGAGTTTTGAGTCCTCAATTCACCACGGGGACCCTTTAACCTTGAATGGGTTATTTAACACTCCCCCCAGCTTCTCAAGCTTACATCCTGAATACCAATTCTTGCCTCAAACACTTATTGTGAGGATTATGTAAGTGTGTGAATGTGTGTGTCCAAACCTCCAGGTGTGTGCTGGCCATGGTGTACGTATGCAGTGAGTGCTTTTGACTGATGACCACGACACCAGCTTTCCAGACCATATAAGCCTCTGGGATCTGGGGATGCAGGAGTTTCTTAGCTGTTAGGAACAGAATGGAAAGGCACAGTCCTTCTTTGAGTCAGCAGACCTGGGTTTGGGAATTGCCTCTGTAGTTTACCACAGGAGTTATAGAATAGTTCAGGGTCTTATGTCTTCATCTGTGAAATAAAGCACTTGGATTCTCTATATAATCTTAAACTTTTTTTTCTAAGTTGTGTGGTTCTAAGATCTGTAAGCTGTTAACCCCTTGGATGGCAGGAGTTTTTCTTTCTAATCTTTCTACTTCCCACTGCCTTTTGCACATAGTAGGTGTGGTAAATACTAAATGAATGACCGATGAGATGGCTCTGGTAATTTAATGCTGCTCTTCTCAAAAGAGGAAGAAAACCTCACTCAGAACCGAGGGATGCAAAACCTTAATTCTCTGAGTGATGAACTATCTGAGTCATGCTGTTTCAAAGATTCAGGCTTGTGGCCTAAACTAATAACAAATTCTTTCCATTAAGAAATTGTTTCCTCTGGCCAGGCACGGTGGCTCACACCTGTAATCCCAGCACTTTGGGAGGCCGAAGCAGGCGGATCACAAGGTCAGGAGTTCGAGACCAGCCTGACCAACATGGTGAAACCCAGTCTCTACTAAAAATACAAAATTAGCTGGATGTGGTGGCGGGCGCCTGTAATCCCAGCTACTCAGGAGGCTGAGGCAGGAGAACTGCTTGAACCCAGGAGGCGGAGATTGCAGTGAGCCGAGATTACGCCACTGCACTCCAGCCTGGGCGACAGAGCGAGACTCCGTCTCAAAAAAAAGAAAAAGAAAAAAGAAATTGCTCTCTCTGGTGAGCCTGACTTTTGAAGCAGACAATGCAGATGCTGGCAGAGCGATCGGCTGCAATGATTGCAGCCAGGTTGAGCCATTCAAACAAAAGCCCGGGACACCCCAGTGATACTAAAAGCTAAGACCTGCAGCCCGGTGAGAGGCTGGAGAAGAGCATAGCTAGACGTTTCCTTGGTGCACGCCTGAGTCTCTCTAATTTAAGGTGTGGAAACCAAATTTGCTACATGATGATTTTTGAGTAACTCTTCACCTGTAAGCACCTAGCTGAAGCATGAGGGTTCCTACACGAGGGGAATCTCACTGTTGAGACCAGTCTCTATGCCCAAGTGGTAATTCACAATCCAACAGATACACAGAATGTGGCTCTGTATCTCCCTGGCACATAAGAATGAGTTGGATGTGACGGAGCCTGAGACCCTTGCTTTTTTTAACCTGCTTTTGGAAAATGTGTCAGTCAGGCTCCGGTGGGAGAGTAGAATCTGGAGAGAGTTGATTGGGGGTCGTTTAGGTGGAGAGGAGACTATGGGAAAGGTGGAAAGAGAGGAGGGAGAAAAAGCACCTTTGTGGCATCCTCTCCTGGCCTTCTTTCTCGATGACATTCTTCCTGTCTTTTCTCCTCTAGAGTGATTTTTCAAGGCTGCTTGTATCTGGCTGTCCAGGTTTTTTCTTCTCTTTTGGAATGGGAGGGAGGAAAGAGGCTTTTCTCTTCCCCATCCGAAGCCTAGTGACTCCTTTTCTCCTGGTGCAGTGGCAGGGCTCTCAGCCCATCACGGAGCCTGGGCTTTGCCAGGGACCCTTTGGGATTTAGTAAGTTTCTATCACATGAATGTACAGACGCCACAGAACCAGAAGAGTTACGGGTCTCTGGTTGGTTGTTTTTATTTTCTTGTTTTTCATATCACTGGGGAAAAGTGCACCTTCAAGTTTTCATCCAAAGCCAAGAATTGTTGCTATTGACTTTTATCCACTTCCTAAGCACTGCATTTCTTTCAGGCTTCATCCAGGGCAAAATCCTTCATTCAGAATCTTTTTCATCGCTTTAAATAGTCCTCTCACCTTTGTTGAAGTTTTCTGCCTTTAGAGAGACGAGGTCAAATCTGCTCCAACAGTGGAAATAAAATAGGGGAGGAGGACTAGCTGTAACCTTTGTGCTTAAAACTTGAAGATGGTATACAATTTTTTTTTTCAAAAAGAGATCTACTGTTTGACTATTCTGATCTCTTAAGATGCATCTGAAAAAATACTATATTTTGAACAGAAAATGTTAAGAAAATGTCTGTGCTAACATATATATTTCAACAAGTTTTTAGAGAGAAAAAATGATCTCCAAATTGAGAGACTCAGCCTGGTTCTATGATATCTGTGTAGCAGCAGGGTATAACAAAGCTAAAAATTTAAGGCAATTTTGACACCTTAAAGCAGAATGGCACAGGCTTTTAAACCCACAGAGGATTCAGCCTGCTCACTCATTACTTTCCACATCTTCAAAAGGACAATGTCTCTTTTTTAACCTTTTGACTTTGCTGTGAAACCATGGGAAGTTATTGACTTTACAGGCACTTCAAGTATACAATCAGGCAGAAAAAGGGCATTGGTGCACTCAGGGGCTGCGAGTTCAAATTCTCGTCTCTTTGTGGCATTCTCCTCCCCACTCAGACAGAATTGAAAAGGGCAGGACAAACAGAGAGGGGCTGCCATGGGTTTTGATGGGGGCCCTTGCATTGAGTCACGGGCACCTGAAGCCATTTGGCTAAAGAGAGGCTCCTTTCTCGTTTCTGTTGTTATTTTTTAATCTGACAGCTCCCAGGGTTCCCTCGGATGGTGTGCTCAGAAATGCCATACTTCCTTGTAGCCCCTGCAAGCTAAAATAATGAACAAGCAATTAAATCTCATGCTTCAGGGCCTGTGTTGATTGCTTGCAGGAGAGGGGCAGAGCCCTGCCTTGTTCATTGCATATGGGGCACAGGGCCTGGCTGTTTCCCTTGCAGGAGAAGCACCTGCTACCAGGCTGTGTCAGGGGTGGGCTGCAGGGGTGCTTGGGTGCTAGAGGAAAGGGACTTGATGGGAAACAAAGGTCCACCGAGTCACCTGTATTGAAAATGGGTGCTGGCTGATGTTGTCCTCCTAAGGTCTTGGCAAGACTGTTACTTATTAGCAGAGCACAAGTGGCTGTGACTCCTCTTTTTCTTCTTTATTATCCTTTGATGAATTAATGTGTACTAGGAGCATGGTTTCTTCTTTTTTATTATTATCATTAAATAGGTATTCTTGGTTTTGACTGAAAAGTGGGTTTTGTTTAGCTAGTTGCTGGGAGGCTAACTTTTGTCTTCTTGACTTTCCTATGCAAGCTACTCAATTTTGGAGAGGAAGTGTCAGGGATAACGATAAGATAACTTCCCCAAAGTCACAAAACCAGTATGTGGCAGAGCCAGAAATGGATCTGAGTAGTTTGGGGAATGAGGAGTTTTAACTATGTTGCTGGTGCACCTCAATATTAATTAATTTAAAAAGTAATTAATAAATCACTTTTTAATAAATATATATGTATTGAAATTCTACTGGGGCTTTGCCACTGGGAATTCATGGATAAGCAATATATAGCTATGTCCTGCAGTACTGGATTATGTATTCTAGCACGGGAGACTGCCATTGATGAAAAGGCCCACGTTATCTTACAACAGCAAATGTACTAAATACCCTGAAAGAAAATCAAGTGGTGAGGTAGGAATGCCTAAAAGATGGTCTCAACTGGTATAAGGGGTCGTAGACTACCATCCTGAAGATGTGAACTTGAACTGAGGCCCGAAGGATGGCTAAAGGGGAAGGAAGTGAGGTAATACAGGGGCAGGAAAGCCATGGGAGGTGAGGCTGGCCGGGAGCCAGGGTCAGGTCCTGTGGGGTCGTGTACATCTCCTTAAGGATTTTAAAACAAAAACAGGCTCACGCCTATAATCTCAGCACTGTGGGAGACCGAGGCAGGTGGATCACCTGAGGTCAGGAGTTCAAGACCAGCCTGGCCAACATGGTGAAACCTCGTCTTTACTAAAAATACAAAGAAATTAGCTGGACGTGGGGATGCGCGCCTGTAATCCCAGCTACCCAGGAGGCTGAGGCAGGAGACTCTCTTGAACCCAGGAGGCAGAGGTTGAAGTGAGCCAAGATCGTGCCATTGCACTCTAGCCTGGCAACAAGAGCGAAACTCCATCCCCCCAATCGAAAAACAAAAACAAAAACAAAAACAGATGCATGGGACTTAAACTAAAAAGCTTCTACACAGCAAAAGAAATAATCAACAGAGTGAAGAGACAACCTGCAAAATGGGAGAAAATATTTGCAAACCATGCATATGATAAGGGGATAATATCCAAAAATATATAGGGAAATGAAACAACTCAATACTAAGAAAACAAATGTTAGAATGGCTATTATTAAAAAGACAAAAACTAACAGATGTTGGTGAGGATATGGAGAAAGTGAACTCTTAAACAGTGCTGGTGGGCATGTAAATTAGTACAACCTCTGTGCAAAACAGTATGGAGATTTCTCAAAGAGCCAAAAATAGATATACCATTTGATTCAGCCACTCCACTACTGGGCATCTACCCATAGGAAAAGAAATCAATATATCAAAAAGATACCTGTACTTTTATGTTTATTGCAGCACCATTCACAATAGCAAAGATATGGAATCAACCTAAATATCCTAAATTGAATGAAGAAAATGTGGCATATAAACACAATGAAATACTATTTAGCCATAAAAAGGAATGAAATCATGTCTTTTGCAGCAACATGGATGGAACTGAAGGCCATTACCTTGAGCAAATCAACCCAGATACAGAAAGACAAATATTGCATATTTCCCACTTGTAAGTGGAAGTGAAAAAATGTGTACAAATGGCCATAGAGATTGGAATAATAGACAATGGAGATTTGGAAGGATGAGGGAGCGGGAGGGGGTGGAGGATGAGAAACTACTTAATGGGTGCAATATACATTATTTGGATAATGAATATGTAAAAACCCCGACTTAACCATTATGCAATCTATGCATGTAACGAAATTGTTCTTGAACCCCATATATTTATATAAATTTAAAAAAAAGATTTTATTTTTGACCCAAAGAGCAATGCAGAGCTGTGAGAGGACAGAAGTAGGGAAATGACACCACAACATCTGTGCATTGAGAAGGGCGCTCTGCTGGGGCACGGCAGTGAGTACGATGGGATGGTTTAGGAAATAGGTGGGTTGTACCTCAGACCGGGGTGGTCCAATGAAGACGTAGTTCTGAAGGCATATTTCTGAGCTCTTTAGGAGGGAGAATGGACAGGGCTTGTGATGGCTGGGGTTGGGGAGCAGGTGAGGGGTCTGGGATGACTCTTTGGGTGTCTGGCTCGCACAGCTGGATGAGTGGCAGTGCCACTAGCTGAGAATAAGAACATGGGAAGCCCGCTAGATTTAGGAGAGGACTCAAACTTCATTTAGACCTGTTGAGTGGGAGATACCCCCCAAAAGAAGGTATGGTGTGAATAGTTGCCTATAAAGGTCTGATATTCAAATGAAAGATTGGAGGCATCTGAAAATGGAAGCTGCCAGTGTGGATGAACCATCTTAAAGAGAGGCTACTAAATAAGAATGAAGACTAGGACTGAGATGCCAGGACTCCGGTGTGTGTGGGCCATGGTGCAGAGATGTAGGAGTGCCCAGAGCAGCAGGAAACTTGGAGGGTGGGGCACCTCAGGGTGGGAGAGGCTGCTTCAGAAAGGAGGGCCGGCCGGGGGTGGGGTGGGGGAGGAGGGTGCCATGGAGCCCACCAAGGTGATGATTCACTCAAGGATGGGTGTGGACTCACCCTTGAAAACACTGTAAGGCAGAGATTATTATTATCTTCCTTGAATAGATCAAGGGACTGAAGCTCAAAGAACTTAAATAATTGGCTTCAAATCACACAATAAATAGGTTGTGGAGCAGAATTTGAAGCTGGTTCTCTAGGTCCAGATCCCCTGCGCCAGCCCTGTCTCTCTGTAGCTTTATTTCTTTCACGTTGAAGCATTTTTTTTTTCTAGAAAAGGAACAACATAATGGTATTTTGGTTTGTTAAGTAATCATGATGGGAAAAAGAATGACAACTGACATTTAATGTGAGGCTTATAAAATGATTAAAGGGTTTGAATACTGTATGATAAATAGGCTTTTAAAATCCACGTATCTGACCTCTTATTAGGCTGCTTATTTCTACACTGACAGTGCAGCTCAAACAATTGCTGAAGAACTGCATATATCTTCTGCCTCAATTACTTTCTTTCAGAGACAATTTAGTAACGATGACTTTTCTGAAGTTAGCCAATGTAATTCAAAACCAGATAGGTAAAAGAGAGGCCAGTCATGAAGGATGTGAACGAATATCACGTTGAGGACTAAGAGAATTAAAATGAACTGAGGATTTCTGTTTTTCCTGTCTTTATGATGATCAGAAACTGAGGCAAAAGGATTAAGTATATGTCTGTTGATTTCAAAACACAATGCATGGAAAATTCACCTTCAAATGACATGTGGATTTGGAAAACTCAAACATGGACTGGAGTGGATTGGACTCTAGGGGTTTTAGATATTCTGATGTTTGTGGTAGTACGGATGATGAGAAGTTGATGAGTCTAGGAATATATGAGTCGCTGGCCTGGAAGTAATACAATGATTCAGATTGGGAGTTGGGAAGGTCTACGTCGTTATCCATGGGGGAGGTTGCTAGAAAGGAAACTATTTAAACACTTTAAAGAAACACAACTCTGAAAACACCTAGAACCTGAAGAGTGAGGGGAAACAGACAGGGTCCCCAGTGGGGTGACTTGGCTCTTTTTGAGGGGCCCTATAATGTCCTGGGCTTAACGCTATCTCTGCCCTTCCACCATGCACTGTAATGGTCTGATAACTGGTCTGCTTCATAAGAGCATGAACTTCTTACGGCAAGGACTGTGTCTTACTCACCTTTGTGTCACTTAGTTCAGTGCCTGGATCATAGCAGATGTTTGTTAAATAAATGTTTGTTAGAAGGTTGAGCAAGTAAACAAATGCCAGGAAAGGTGAGAATTTGAAAGAAGGCTAGGGAAAGGGAAGGAAGAAGGCTTTGGTCTCTGTGCTAGGAGAAGGAGAATTTGGGAAAATCGTGTATTTATGTATGCCCAGAAGAGTATTATTCATGGCTTGAGTGTGAATCTAAGACCTGGATACCTTTTCTGACAGAAAGGTATCACATTCTTCAAAATTAAAAGGAGAAGATGCCTGAAGAATTGTTCAGGTGCAAAGAGAAATTCCATCAGGAATCCAGCAAGGCGGGGTTGGGTTCTAAGATGAAGACTTGAGCAACACAAATGTATGAACAACCAACAGGAAGCGGAGCCTGTCCAAAGCCTGATTTACTTAGTGAGGCTCAGCTCATTTGATTTAGGAGGTGATTTTTGTAACAAATTTTTGTCCTGAGGTGGCCAAAAAGTTCTTTAGTGCTTAAAGCTGATGGAGTGTGGGTTAGGAAAATAAAAACAGCCCAGGGGGAATAGATGTCAAGGAGGTGTGGGAAAAAGACCCTTATTCCAAGGGTAAGATCTTTGGAGATGGGCCTCTCCATCCCATTTTCTTGCTTTGGGCCCTGGGAAGGAGGGGGTCTTAGTCCTCAGCATCTCATGAGATTAAAAGTAAATTTAGGCCAGGCATGGTGGCTCATGCCTGTAATCCCAGCACTCCAGGAGGCCAAGGCGGGTGGATCACTTGAGGTCAGGAGTTTGAGACCAGCCAGGCCAACATGGTGAAACTCTGTTTCTACTAAAAATACAAAAATTAGCCAGGCATGGTGGTGGGTGCCTGTAATCCCAACTACTCGGGAGGCTGAGGCAGGAGAATTGCCTAAAAACCCAGGAGACAGCGGTTGCAGTGAGCCGAGGTAGCACCACTGCACCCCAGCCTGGGCGACAGAGAGTCTCCATCTCAAAAAAAAAAAAAAAAAAGTAAATCTGTTCAGTGGTGGAGAAGAAAAGAAGTCAAACCTTGAGGACCAGTTGCTTGATGACCAGTCTCATTTGCTTATTTATAACAATAGCCCTTTCCTGATTGATTCATCGGAGTCAAGGATATGGCTTGAACAGTGCATTCTTGAAGGCGTAATTTCCTTTGTGACCTCACAGAAGACGTGATCCCTGAAGCTGGGCCTCCAACTATCCTGAAGTTCAGAAACAGCTGATGGATCATTAATTTTTCCTTTCTTGTGTGGGCCAGGAAGCTCTCTGGTTAAGAAAACTTTGCCCATCAGGGACATTAGTTAATTAACTAATTAAATTAATCAATTAGCTAATTAATTAGATTAAAGAGGCATCATTGTAATTTACTCTATTTCCTATAAATTAGATTATTGAAGGAGTTGCTTTTTTTGATTCCTTGATAGTATTTGCCACTCCATGGTGTAACATGATAGGTTAAAAATCAGTCAAATAGGGAATGATGAAGATAAAAATAACAGTCATGGACTTTAAACTCATGCACATTAAAGTAGTGAAAATATGTGCTTTTATCTGAATTTCTTGCTATGAGGCTTTGGGAGTGTTTCTATAGATAATATTTTAATGAATTTTTTATTCCAAGTTTTCAATGTTACAAAAGGATGACTTTTAGATTTTTCTTCAGTGCAGGGGAAGAAATGAAAGGCAAGACTTGATTCTCTGCACTAATTAAGAAGTGAAGAGCTAGAGAAAAAGCCAGGCAGCCTCCATAAAGGGTTTGGAGTCAGACAGCTGCTTGTACCCTGACCTCTGACAAGCATCTTAATCTAAGTCTATAAAATGGGTATATCTCAAAGGAAGCTTGTGATGAGGAAATGAGATAACGCATGTATTGTGCCTGGCGCCGTTACCCATACTAGTGCATAGAAGTACTTCATAAGTGTTGGCTGTTATTTTTCTTTTTTCACATTATTGAAATTTGTTATTAGAATATTATGTAACTTCCTTTCCTTATCCCTATGTCTCAGAAGTTTACAACAAAATATTTTCATCCTTCCCTTTATGTATGATTTGTCATCTAGTTTTGCTGACATTAGTTGAATGCATGGATAGATGTGATACAAGTTTCTCAGACACTGCATATTCTGGAAAAAAAAAGGGTACTACACCTTTGGATATCCTAGAGTTTACTGGAGATTAAATATATTAGAAACTCTTGAAAGACAGTCGTGCTCTTAAGGAATTCATCCTCTGGTAATTTTCCTATTCAAGACATAATTTTAGGCTCCAACTATGCCTGTAATTTGCATTTATCATTAAAGAGACTTTTTTTTTTATTTCCTTGAATGAATTTTTAAAGAGCTCCTCAGGAATGCATCATCCAAAATGTACTACTGTCTTGTTGAAGTTATGTTTTATGCAAGAGTTTCTGGGCTACACAAATTTCTTTTTTTTTTTTTAATTATACTTTAAGTTTTAGGGTACATGTGCACAACGTGCAGGTTTGTTACATGTGCCATGTTGGTGTGCTGCACCCATTAACTCGTCATCTAAAATTAGGTATATCTCCTAATGCTATCCCTCCCCCCTCCCCCCACCCCACAACAGGCCCAGGTGTGTGATGTTCCCCTTCCCGTGTCCATGTGTTCTCATTGTTCAGTTCCCACCTATGAGTGAGAACATGCGGTGTTTGGTTTTTTGTCCTTGTGATAGTTTGCTGAGAATGATGGTTTCCAGCTTCATCCATGTCCCTACAAAGGACATGAACTCATCATTTTTTATGGCTGCATAGTATTCCATGGTGTATATGTGCCACATTTTCTTAATCCAGTCTACCATTGTTGGACATTTGGGTTGGTTCCAAGTCTTTGCTATTGGGGCTACACAAATTTCTTTATCCTGTGTTGCTAATGGATTTGCTGTTGATCACCTGCACATTATGTGACAGCAGCTTGAGGAATGGACCTTTATTACAGAAAGGCTTGACAATAATTTGGGACGTATTTTGGAAGGATACTTTCATTTGTCCCTGGTACACATCAAATTTGTCCAAGTAGATGGTCAAGGTTTGGGAATTATTTTTAACTTTCAACAGTTTCCAGTCTAAGCTCCACCATCAGTTTCCTGAGGAGGCTGGTATATACCTGTTTCATCACTCTACTGTTCCTCTATTTTTTTTCCACCAATATTCAAAGTAGCTTTTAATATTGCAGAAAAAAAAAGAGTGAGGGGACCACAGTGGGCATTGGGGGGTGGAAAATGCCAACTTTCTGGGTTACCATTTGTGGTTTATTTGCTCTCTTTATGCATGTCTTTGTTTCCCAGTGATTAAAACTTGGTATAAATGTTGCTACTTATCCACCTGTCGAGGATAGTGTGAAAATGAGTAATAATGTCTGAGCCATATTTTTGCTCCTTAGTAGAAAGGTGCTATATACATACAAAATGTTATTTCATTAAAAATGCTTGTACGATAACAGCATATGTTAAATTCAATTTCCTTGACCAATTGGATAAATATATTTTGGTGTTACAGTATGGTTGTTTTTATGGTGAGTAAGTGTGTATCCTACACTCTGTGTTCTATTTTCCACCTGGGTGGTGTAACATATCAAATGTTTAAGAAAAATAAGGACACCATTCTAAAGAGATCAGGAAGCTATTGCTAAATGTTATTCTGGGGGGGATTTCAAATAGATGTTAGCGAGATACCTACTGAATTATTGAGGATATGAACTGTACAACCGTATAATAGGACATTATAAATATGTAGGCTGGTATACACCTGTTTTGAGTAAACAGTATATTTTTCTTATCAATCTTAGTTCTATCTTGGTGGTTTGCAGCCCATGAGACCAAAGCGTTTTATGATTAAACTTAAGAGCCTGGGCTTCAGTGGCCAGAGATGATGCCTGTTAGCATCATTTAGTGGGGCATTGGAATCCGTGCGCAGCCCGGGGAAAGGACATCCCTTCTTGTCTCAGACCATCCATCCAGAAACTTCTTTTGCTGAAGAGGAGGATTTGAATCCCTCCCATCACTACAGCAAGCCCAGAGAATGCAGATGTGGCAGATACATGGAGACATGGCACCATTATAGCACAGTGTGGTCATTTTTGGATAATTTTTTTCTAATGCAGTATCGACCTTCAGGCAAGTCATGACAAAGGCCCTCTGTGCCATTTTCTCCCACCCACATTTTTCTCAGCAATTTACTTGACTTATTGCCTCACAGATAAGAGATACCTCCATCTGCACCTCTCACCAAATTATTTGCAACTCTACCTATTCTACAAAACTTTTTAGTTTGAAATAATTTTAGAATTCATAAAGAGTTACTAAGACAGTACAGAGTGTTCCCATACACCCTTCACCCAACTTCCCCGAATGTTAACGTCTTACATAGTATGTTTATCAAAACTAAGACATTGATGTGGTGCAATATTAGCAAGAGAACTACCAACTTTATTTGGACTTCTCAAATTTTTTTTTGAGATGGAGGCTCGCTCTGTCGCCCAGGCTGGAGTGCAGTGGGTGCCATCTCGGCTCACTGCAAGCCCCACCTCCCAGGTTCACGCCATTCTCCTGCCTCAGCCTCCCGAGTAGCTGAGACTACAGGTGCCCACCACCACGCCCGGCTAATTTTTTGTATTTTTAGTAGAGACAGGGTTTCACCGTGTTCGCCAGGATGGTCTTGACCTCCTGACCTTGTGATCCGAGCGCCTCGGCCTCCCAAAGTGCTGGGATTACAGGCGTGAGCCACCGCGCCCGGCCTGGACTTCTTAACTTTTTCTGTTAATGTGCTTTTTCTGTTCCAGGACCCTGTTTGGGATATCCTGATACCTTCACTCATCATGTCCCCCTAGTTTCCACCAATCTGTGATAGCTTCTCTGTACTTTCTTGTCTTTCATGACTTTAGATGTTTTGAAGAGTAGTGGTCAGGTGTTTTGTAGAATGCCCTTAACTTGGGTTTATCTGATGGTTTCTCATAAACATTCTGAGGCTGTGGATTTTGGAGAAGAACACCACAGAGGTGATAGGCCCTTCTCATTGTATCATGTTAGTGGGCGTATAATGTCAGCATGACTGCAGGTAACATTAACTTTGATCACCTGGCTAATGTGATGTCTGTTAGGTTTCCCCACTGTCAAGTTACAATTTTCCTCTTTCTGTCATCTATTCATAAAAGCAGGTCACTAAGTCCAGTCTATACTTGAGTATGAAAGTCATGTTTTTTTTTTTGTTTGTTTTTTTTTTGGGGACGGAGTCTTGCTCTGTCACCCAGACTGGAGTGCAGTGGCGCAATCTCAGCTCACTGCAAGCTCTGCCTCCCGGGTTCATGCCATTCTCCTCTGCCTCAGCTTCCCGAGTAGCTGGGACTACAGGCGCCCGCCAACACGCCCGGCTAATTTTTTTTTGTGTTTTTTTAGTAGAGATGGGGTTTCACAGTGTTAGCTGGGATGGTTTCGATCTCCTGACCTCGTGATCCGCCCGCTTTGGCCTCCCAAAGTGCTGGGATTACAGGCGTGAGCCATTGCGCCCGGCCCAAAGTCATGTTTTAAAACCATAAGAGTGGTTAGTAAATTTAGGAAGGGATACAAATATGATGCAAATATCTTGTTACTCCTTAAGGTTCAATCACTAATTTTAGCAATTATCAATTAGTCTTGCCCGTAGCAATGATATCTGTGGTGTTCCAGTGGCGATTCCCTGTTTCTCCAATTCTCTCTACATTTATTAATTGGATTTCTTATGTAAGAAAGATTGGTCCTCCTTCTTTTGTTTATTTATTTATTTATTTATATCAGTATGTGCTGATGGATATTTATTTTATTCTTTAGATGATAATTCAATACGATTGAAATTTATTATGGTGCTCAAATTATATTAGCTCAGGCCACTGGGAGCTTTATTAGATTGATTCTTGGGTCTTTCTGATGTGCCCTCATCTTAAAAACACATTCTTGGGGGGTACTTTCCTACTTTCTGATACTATGCTACATTCCAGGGTCACTGCGATGAGCAAAGTAATTTCCTATTACTTGGCTTATTGAAGATGTAACTTTAGCCTACATGGAAAAAGAAATAGACAATTTATAAAAACAGATACGATACAAAACAAAGCTTTAAATATGAGTACAACACCCTATTCTGCTTTGTTTGGGAGCTGAGAATGACAGTTGTTAAGCCAGACCTTTTCTGTTGCTACACATGTGAACGGGAGGACATCTCAGAGGTGATGCCGTGCTGACAACCAGGTGTGATTCCCTCACAATGTACAAGCACTGGGCATTTCAGAGGTGACTTTGTGCTGTCCTTACCATGTAGAGGTAGGCACTGGGCATCTCAGGGGTGACCTTGTGTTTACAACCAGGTGTGCTGCCCTCATCATGCACAGGTAGGCGATGAACATCTCAGGGTGGACCCCATCCTGATCACCAGGTGTGCTCTCCTCACTGTGCACAGGTTGGGGCTGGACATAGCAGGGACCCAGGTGTGTGCAAGGTGCAGCGTTTGTTCCATGGGGAGGACCTGCAGGTCCGTCCAGCTCCCCATTCCTGTCCTCAGAAACTCACTGGGGCGCAATGCCTGTAGGGCAAAAAGCTGCTTGTGTGCTGTGATGTGAACCTCAGGGTGACTCCAAACGTGATCGTGCTCCATGTTCTGTTAGGCTGCTGTCAATAAATGCAATAAATGTGTGAACAATTCCTCGTAGATGTCTTTGGATATTTTTATGTCTGTGCCTCCTCTTTCGGCAATGAGTTCCATAAGTTTACTCTTCGTTATATAAATTACTTTCTTTAATTTGTCCTCAGTATAAATCAGACATGTTAAACATGACTCTGAGGTTTTCTCTTTGTCCTTATGTTCTGGGAGCTGACACCTTCAAAGTGAAGGAGACTTGTTTTTTCTCAAAATGAATGCATGTACTCTTTTATTTTTAATTGTGATGAGACATATGTAACATAAAACTTACCATTTTAACATTTTAAGAGTACAGCCCTGTGGCATTAGGTAAATTCACAATTTTGTGCAACCATCATCACCACCATCCAATTCCAGAACTTTTTCATCCTGACCAGAATCTCTGGACCCATTAAACACTAGCTCATCATTTCTCTCTTCCCCAAGACTCTAGCAAAAGTCATTCTACTTTTTGTTTCCATGGATTTTTTAAATTGACATGTAATAATTGTAGATATTTATGGGGTAAAGTGTGATGTATTGGTGCATGGGTACCGTGTGTAATAATCAAATCAGTCTAATTAGCATATCCATGACCTCAAACAGTTATCATTTGTTTGTGTTGAAAGCATTCAAAATCCTCTCTTCTAGCTGCTTGAAAATATACAGTAAATTACTCACCCCATGAGAAGACCAAAACTTCTTCCTTTCTAATTGTAGCTTTGTTCATGTTAACCAAGCTCCCCACCGCCAGCACCTCACTCCCCTGCTGTTTCCTGTAACCACTGTTCTATTCACCAAGTCTGTGAGCTCTTCTTTAGCTTCCGCATATAAGTGAGACCATGTGTTGTCACTCAACAGAGCGAGACTCCATCTCAAAAAAATAAATAAATAAATAAATAAATGTTTGCCATCATTAAAATTTGTTTTAGCCGTTTTCAGGGACCTTAACATCTTCAACGTCCTTAAGGCTCATAATGTGGCTTTTTTTTTAGAGGGAGTCTCGTTGTCGCTCAGGCTGGAGTGCAGTGGCGCCATCTCTGCTCACTGCAGCCTCCATCTCCCAGGTTCAAGCGATTCTCCTGCCCCAGCCTCCCAAGTAGCTAGGATTACAGGAGCCCGCCACCATGCTCAACTAATTTTGGTATTTTTTAGTAGAGACGGGGTTTCACCATATTGGTCAGGCTGGTTTCAAACTCCTGACCTCAGGTGATCCACCCGCCTCAGCCTCCCAAAGTGCTGGGATTACAGGTGTGAGCCAACATGCCCAGCCTACTATTGCCAGTTTTTAAAATATATCTGCACAAACACAATCAGGTAAGCAGATTCACTGACTGGCTAACTTTAAAAATTTTGAAGTTAATTGCAGAACTATAGCAAATAGGATAATTACAATGTATTTTGCCCAAAGAAAGTAACTTACTAAAATATATAAATATAACTTCATTTATGTAACAAGTAAATAAATAAACAAAATGGCATACTAAAACATTCTCTCTTGATACCCCTCCTCTCACTATTGCTTCACTTATCTGTGCCTCTTTATAGAAGAATAACTTTCATAGATAACTTTAGGACAGTGGCCCACACCTGCTGTTTCCTCCCTTCTTCTCCTGATCCTACTCCAGCTGGCTCTGGTCCACATTACTCACATGCACACCACCTCACAAAAGTGGCTCTGGCCAAGGTCACTGCTGGCCTTCATGCTGTTGGATCCAGTGGTCCGTCACCTGCATGAGTTCTCAGCAACACTCAATGCAGCCTCGCGAGTAGCTGGGATTACAGGTATGCACCACCACACCTGCTAATTTTTGTATTTTTAGTAGAGATGGGGTTTCACCATGTTGGCCAGGATGACCTCAGGTGATCCGCCCACCTTGGCCTCTCAAAATGCTGCGATTACAAGCATGAGCCACCGCGCCCGGCCAGTTTGTGGCAATTTGTTACAGCAGTCACAGGAAACAAATACAGAGCCCAAAGTCTAAGTCCTTCACAGGGACCCACCCCCTACCCCCAACCCATCTTCTCTCATGATCTTCTGCAAATAGGCTGGGTGTCCCCAGGACCTTGGCACACACCATCCCTTTTCCTGGAGCTCTCTTTCCACCCTTCTTAAGGCTTGCTCCTTTGATTCCTCCTGGTTTCTGCTCAAATGCTGTCTTATTAAAGAGACCTTCACTGGCCATTTTGATAAAATACCACCCACCCCCCAGAAAAGTGCACAATGTGGGCAGGACTTTTTCTGTTTAGTTCACTTCATAGGATGGCACTTGGTATGGACACACCCATCCTTCCTTCCTTCCTCACTCCCTCCCTTCCTTTTCTTCCTCCTTCTCTTTCTTTCTCTTTCTTTCCTTTTCTTTCTTTCTTTCTTTCTCTTTTCTTTCTTTTTTGTTTCTTTCTCTTTCTTCTTTCTTTCTTCTCTTTCTTTTCTCTCTTTCTCTTTCTTTCTTTCCTTTCTTTTTCTTTCTTTCTATCTTTTGAGACACTGTCTTGCTCAGTGGCCCAGGCTGAAGTGCAGTGGCACAATTACAGCTCACTGTAACTTTAACCTCCTGGGCTCAAACAATCCTCCTGCCTCAGCCTCTCAAGTACCTGGGACTACAGGTGCATGCCATCGTGCCATGCGAATTTTAAAAACTTTTTTTTGCAGAGATGGGGTCTCACTATATTGCCCAAGCTGGTCTTGAACTCCTGGCCTCAAACAGTCCTCCTGCCTCAGCCTCCCAAAGTGTTGGGATTACAGGCATGAGCCACTGCTCTCGGCCCCCACTCAATTTTTTTAAAAATTCATATTGGATAAAGGACTGGTATTTAAAAAAAATATAAAGAACCCTTAAAACCCAACTATAGGCCAGGCGTGGTGGCTCACGCCTGTAATCCCAGCACTTTAGGAGGCCCAGGCGGGCAGATCATGAGGTCAGGAGATCAAGACCATCCTGGCCAACATGGTGAAACCCTGTGTCCACTAAAATGCAAAAAATTAGCTGGGCATGGTGGTGCATGCCTGTAGTCCCAGCTACTTGGGAGGCTGAGGCAGGGGAATCACTTAAACCCGGGAGGGGGAGGTTGCAGTGAGCCGAGATCAAGCCACTGCACTCCAGCCTGGGCAACAGAACAAGACTCCGTCTCAAAAAAACCCAACCAAACAAACAAGCAAAAAAAACCAACAATAAGAAAACAAATAACCCAATTTAAAAATGAGCAAAATATCTGACCCTATCAAAGAAGTTGTACAGATGGCAAATGAAAAAAAGTATTTATTGAATGAATAAACGAATGGGATTTAATGAGTTAGGACACTTTTTCATCTCTCCAATTCTTTTAGGATCTTGTCTGGGTCCTTTTATTGTTCAGTTCCTGCCTACCCCACCCGCTCCATGTGCCTGTGTCCCTGCACGACCAACACCATGCATCTCATTTAATTTGGTCTGTTTTCCGTGGATACTCTTGTGTATACCGGGTTTTCCCAGAATGGCCTCACTGCAGGGTGGAAAGGACTGCAGGCTCCATCCTAGTGGGACGGACTCAGGCAATTGACATGGGGCTGGTGGCTGGGCCAGCCATTGGCAGAGCCACGCAAGGGCTGGGTTTCATAGTGTTAGTGATTAATTCTGCAAGTATGAATATGAATGTTTATATATGTATACACATATATATTTAAATTGTAGTAAAATACACATAAAATTTATCATCTTAAACTTTTTTTTTTTTTTGAGACAGGGTAACGCTCTGTCACCTAGGCTGCAGTGGAGTGGCACAATCACACCTCACTGCAACCTCAACCTCCCAGGGTCAAGCCGTTCCCCCACCTCAGTTTCCTGAGTAGCTGGGACTACAGGTGTATGCCACCGTGCCCCACTCATTTTTTGATTTTTTGTAGAGATGAGGTCCCACTATGTTGCCAAGGCTGGTCTCGAACTCTTGGGCTTAAACAATCCTCCTGCCCCGGCCTCCCAAAGTGCTGGGATTACAGGTGTGAGCCATTGCGCCCGGCATCTGAACCATTTTTCGGTGTACAGTTCAGTAGTGTTAAGTACATTTACATTGTTGTACAAACCATCCCAGAACTTTTGCAACTTGCAAAACTAAGACTCTGTTTCCATTAAACATTAACTCCTCATTTCCTCCCATCTACCCCCACAGTCCCCGGCAAGCTCTGTTCCACTTTCTGCCTCTATGGATTTGACTCCTCCAGATACCTCTTATAAGTGGCACACACAAACAAACACACACACACACACACAATTTGTCCTCTTGTGACTGGCTCATTTCATTTAGCATAATGGCCTAAGTTTCATCTGTGTTGGAGTATGTGTCAGAATTTCCTTCCTTTTTATTTATTTATTTGTTTTTGAGATGGAGTCTCACTCTGTTGCCCAGGTTGGAGTGCAGGTGTGCAATCTCAGCTCACTGCAACCTCTGTCTCCCTGGTTCAAACAGTTCTCCCTCAGCCTCCCAAGTAGCTAGGACTATAGGCACATACCATCATGCCTGGCTAATTTTTGTATTTTTAGCAGAGATGGGGTTTCACCATGTTGGTCAGGCTGGTCTCGAACTCTTGACCTCAAGTGATCCGCCCACCTTGGCCTCCCAAAGTGCTGGGTTCATAGATGTGGGCCGCTGCACCTGGCCTTCCTTCCTTTTTAAAGATGGGTAATACTCCATTGTATGGATACACCACATTTTGTTTCTCTGTCTATCCGTGGATGGACACTTGGGTCGCTTCCACCTTTTGGCTATTTGAGTAATGCTGGTGTGTTAATGCTGATATTTTTAGATGTAGGAATCACACAGTTTAGCACATGCTATCAGATGGTTTTATATATATATATATATATATATATATATATATATATATATATATATATATAACTTTCACTGTTTTCCTAGATAAGCCTTAGAAAACAGGATTTTAAGAAGATAGTACGTCCTGTGAGCTCCCTGGCAGGGGTCCAGAGGACTGATTTGGGGAGCCGCTGTGTGGGACTTTCCGAGGCTTTTGAGGGTGATGGGCAGACACTGGCGCTGACTAGGAGTGAATAATTTTCAGGACTGAGGTGACCTGGGCCTTTTCCAGAGAAACAACCCGGGTCATAGCGGGGGCTCTGAGTCCAGGGCCTAGCCAGGTAAGCACAGAGATGCCGCCCTCCATTGCCCACCTCCTCCCGGGTTTCCTTTTCATGAAAGCTGGGAAAACTTTCTGTGTATTCTGTGTGGATGAACTACCTACTGGTGATGAGAGAGAGATCAGAGAAAGGAAAACTTTCCACTTTATCAACCAAACCCAGCCTTTCCCAGCAAGCAGAGAGAGGGGCAGGGAGCATGCCTGGCGGGGCTAGAACAACGGGCACATCCTAGGGGAACAGCAGCTACCATTTACTGGGGGCTACCACGCTTGGGTCCTGTGGGGCACTTCGCATTCCTTACCTTGTTTACTTCTCACAGCAGCCTTGTGTGGTCTCCATTTTACAGATGAGCAAATGGAGGCAGAAATGGTGCCCAGAAAGTCACCAAGGTGTCACCGCTACCAAGTGGCAGAGGCAGGATTGGAACCCAGGTTAACTGAAGCCAGTGTGACCCCATGCTGGCCGGCCTCTGTTCAAACATACACATGTCAATCTGTAAGGCAGAAACAACATCCCACAGGGGCCAGTTTGCAATGTGGTCTTGAGAGAGAAATAGCATACGCACGCACACATGCATGTATGTGTACACACACATACACACGCACACACACATGTGAGCATGCAGACACACAGACATGTACACACGCATGCACGAGCACACAGACACACAGGCATGCACACATGCATGCATGAGCAGACACACATAGGCATGCACACACACGCACAGACACATAGACATGCACACACACATGCACAGCACACACACAGGCACGCACACAGTCATGCACAAGCACACACAGACATACATAGGCATGTACACACAGATGCACAAGCACACACACACATAGGCATGCATGCACAAGCACACACAGACACACATAGGCGTGCACACATGCACGCACAAGCACACACAGAGACACACAGTCATGCACACACATGCATGAGCACACACAGACACATGTATGCAGGCACACACATGCACACACAGAGACACATATCATGCACACACACATGCACACACAGACTCAGCATGCACACACACATGCACACACAGACACATAGCATGCACACACAGGCACACATGCATGCACACACACATGGACGAGCACAGAGAGACACACATAGGCATGCACACAGACATGCACAAGCACACACAGACACACACATGCAGGCACGTGCATTTTGTTTGTCCTGCAAGCAGCCATTGATTCTGATGGAAGGAATGAGTGAGCAAATGAAAAGGTGAAAGCCCTGTTCATGCAGCTCTGGTGCAGGATCGTCTTTGTGAGCGCGAGAACGTGGTGCCCTGTCTTGGCAGCAGTGAGGGCTGGAATTTGAAGGTGCTGATTGATCCTTCCACCCCAGCCCCTGTGAATGCATCCTGTGTGAGATCCAGACACCTCCTCGTGCTGGATTCAGGATGGGGAGACAAAGCTGGAACAAATGACAGCTGTGCTTGAGAAGGAGCATGTAGACACCCCCTCACCCACCCCTCGGGAATGAAGGTGTGGGAATCTGTGGTTCCTGTGAACTCTGAGCAGATAGAATCACCTGGGATATGGTGGGAGCCCATGGACTAGACCCTTCCAGAACCCAGCCAAGTTGGCTGACCGGCCTGGCCACCTCCACAAATGCCACATTCCCCTTTGTTTCTTCTGGGGTCACATTCCTGGAAGCACTGAATATGTCAACCTGGCATTTCATAGTTCAGCCATCCAAGCACAGAAAAGGGCATGATCCCAGGCTGAAAAGGTGTATTTTATATTCACACACTTGACTTTCAAGGCCCCGAATGAATTTTGCTGAAATAAATATTCACCTTTGGGTTTCATCCAACTATGATAAGTTTTAGTCCCAAGAAGTCTTTTCTTTTCCTTTCTCTCTTTTTAAAAGAATATTAAAAGTGACTGAAAAGAAGGATTTAGAAATGAATGGCTGTTTTTCAACATGTCTTATACAATGAAAAGGAGTAAATGCTATAATATTTCTTAGAGAAATGGATTTAAGCAAAATCAGATTTAGAACCCGGTGGCTGTTTATTGCAATGTGAGACAAATGTCCTTGCAGGTCTCAGTATAATGTCCTTGCAGACCTCAGTATTCAAACTTGAGCTGTCAGAAGGGAGGTGAGAATTAGGATGGTTGCCCATCCCGTATTGCCTAAGACTACTACCCTCATTGTAGCACTAACCCATTCATCCCTCACAAACCAGAATGATTGGTGTTCCTGGTTGAAATTACTATAGCTATAAGAAGTACTCACAGGAACTCACATAACCCAGTCCAGGTGACCAATTCCTTCCTTCCTTCTTTCCTTCCTTCTTTCCTTCCTTCCTTCCTTCCTTCCTTCCTTCCTTCCTTCCTTCCTTCCTCCCTCCCTCCCTCCCTCCCTCCCTCCCTCCCTCCCTCCCTGTCTCACTCTGTCACCCAGGCTGGAATGCAGTGTTTCAACCTTGGATCACTGCAAACTTCACCTCCCTGGCTGAAGCAATCCTCCCACCTCAGCCTTCCGAGTAGTTGGGACTACAAGTGCGCGGTAGTGCTCAGCTAATTTTTTGTACTTTGGGTAGAGATAGGGTTTCACCATGTTGCCCAGGCTGGTCTCAAACTCCTGAGCTCAGCCTCCCAAAGTGCTGGCATTACAGGCATGAGCTGACATGCCCAGCCTACCAATTTTCACCTCACTTCATGTTGCATCTACATCACGAATTGTGCGCAATGCCAAATGCAGGTATTTGTGAGGGCTGTAGAAATCAAACCCTGTTTCCCATCCTAGCTCTAAAGTAACTAGCAACCACCTCTCACCTTCAGGATGGAGAGAGCTGACAATGGAGATTAAGGCTGAGATATGTGGCAATGAAGGGCTTCCTTAGATCAGCGGCAGAATGAGACGCAGGCAGCTGTGGCCAATCACAGGCCTCACCAACTGATGGAAGGTCCTGGGCTTTGCCTTCTTCATGTGAATATTCCTAGTGCCTGGCCTGGTCCCTGACAGAAAGCACTCCTTAAAAAGTAGCTGTTGTACTGAAGGAAACTGTTGTGGCAAAAATGCAAAAAGGAGTTGTATTAGTCCGTTTTCACACTGCTGATAAAGACATAGCCAAGACTGGGCAATTTACAAAAGAAAGAAGTTTATTAGACTTACAGTTCCACATGGCTGGGGAGGCCTCACAATCATGGCGGGAGGCAAGGAGGAGCAAGTCACATCTTACATGGATGGCGGCAGGCAAAGAGAGAGCTTGTGCCGAGAAACTTCCCCTTAAAAAGTGATCAGATCTCATGAGACTTATTCACTATCACGAGAACAGCACAGGAAAGACCAGCCCCCATGATTTAATTGCCTCCCACCGGGTCCCTCCCCCATCACATGGGAATTCAAGATGAGATTTGGGTGGGGACACAGCCAAACCGTAACAGGAGTGTGTTTGTGCATGTGTGTGTATCTGCATGTTCTGTGCATGTGTGTGTGTCTGCGTGCTCTGTGCATGTGTGTGTACCTATCTACATGTTCTGTGCATGCATGTGTCTGTATGTTCTGTGCATGGTGTGTGTGTGTCTATATGTGTATTGTATGTGCACCAGTGCCCACCTGCTCCTGGCTTTTTTGGTACCACCTCCAGGAATCTCTGCATCAACAGGTCTCCTGAGAGCTCACAGTTGGAAGCTGATGTGACTGGGCATAGTCAGTGTTCTTCAACTGATGCTGTGCCCTGGACCAGCTGAGAGCTGATGCAGAGGCTGCTCTGCAGGCCACCCTTCCTCTGGGGCAGCTTTGCGGGCCTCAGAGGTGGAGGTGCTCCAGGCACATCTACCCAAAAGCATCCTATTGGAGCCAGATTGCTGCATTCCAGGCCCCACCTAGTTGAGGTTATGTTAGCCGTCTGCCATCTTTACTGCTCTACTTCTTGTAGCCAGCTCTGGCTCATGGCAGCTGATGGTTAAACATTCAGGAATTTTTGCAAATTGGTTGTTAAACACAGTCACCATGAAATACTAAATTACAGAAGCTTACAATTAAATAGATTATATTAGGCACAAAGGCTGTCAATTCTCAAAACTCAACATTTCCTAATTATTTCACCTTATTTTACTATTGTCTTGAGGTCATTGACATTGATTGTACCTGTAGGGTAGAAACACTATATGAAGGACGTTGTGTTACACTCGCGTTGGCCAAGGAGGGAGTATTTACACCACAGAAATTGGCAGATGCTACAAATCAGCACTTCTCTGCCCACACCTGGGGTTGCTGGTTGTTACAGCTTTTCCAGCAACTCCTGGCCTCCACCCAGCATGGTGTCTGGCACAGAGCAGGGCTCAGCTCGTGCTTTGTACATACAGTTCCTTGAGTCATCCCAGTGTGAATGTGTCCCCTGCTTCTGGCTGGGGATCTGTGACTAGTCCATGCCTCGCCTTGTGCCACTTCCACTCTTGGGAGCAGCTCTGGAAGCTTCTGTGCTAGTTTCTGTGGCTGCCATAACTAATGACCACAAATGGTGTGGCTTAAAACAACAGAAATTTATTCTCTCCCAGTTCTGGGGGCCAGGGGTCTCAAATAAAGGTGTTGGCAGGGCTGTGCTCCCTCTGAAGACCAAGAAGGGGGTCCTGCCTTGCCTCTTCCGGCACCTGGTGGCCCCTGGCAATCCTTTGCACTTTTGGTTTGTGGCTGCGTCACTCCAGTCTCTGCCTCTCTAGTCACGTGGCATTCTTCTCTGTGTGTCTGTCTGTCTTCCCCCTTCTTAGAAAGCCGCCAGTCATTGGAGTTAGAGCCCATCAGTGCCACCTCATCTTAACTAATTATAACTGTGAAGACCCTGTCTCCAAATAAGGTCACATTCTGAGGTTCCAGGAAGACGTGTATTTGGGGGAGCAGTGTTCAACCTACTATGGAATCTCTGCCATAGAAACTGCAGGTGATGCTGTCCCTCTAAGGTCGTGAGGAAATTTCCAAGGGTTGCCTGACACCAGTCATGACCAATGAGCAAAAAGGCCCTCACTGAAAATGTTTGGCACTTTGCTTTTACAGTGACTTTGTGGACAGCAAGAGAGCGGCTCCACAATCATGTCCTCATGCCATGGGGTCATGGACCCTGGTGTCTCCCCCTCCGCTTTCCCCGACATGCACCCAAGTATGTTCTATTTGCAGTGCCTGCATCATTTTCTTTTTTAAATTTTTTAAGTTTTTTTTTTTTGAGACAGAGTCTCCGTCACCTAGGCTGGAGTGCAGTGGTGCAGTCTCGGCTCACTGCAACCTCCGCCTCCTGGGTTCAGCTTTTATTTATTTGTTTTTCTCTTTCTTCTTTTTTTATTTCAACAGTTTTTGGGGTACAGGTGGTTTTTTGTTACAAGGATAAGTTCTTCAGTGTTGATTTCTGAGATTTTAGTGAACCTGTCACCCAAGCAGTGTACACTCTACTCAATATGTAGCCTTTTATCCCTTACCCGCCTCCCAGCCTTTCCCCGCAAGTCCCCAAAGTCCATTATATCACCCATGCTTATGCATCCTCAGAGCTTAGCTCCCACTTTTTTTCTTTTTTTTTTGACAGGGTCTTGCTGTGTCACCCAGGCTGGAGTACAGTGGTGCAATTTCAGCTCACTGCAACCTCTGCCTCCTGGGCTCAAGGGATCCTCCCACCTCAGTCCCCAAAGTAGCTGGGATTACAGGCTTGTGCCACCATGCCTGGCTAATTTTTGTATTTTTTAGTAGAGACGGAGTGTCGCCATATTGGCCAGGCTGGTCTCGAACTCCTGACCTCAAGTGATCCGCCCGCCTTGGCCTCCCAAAGCACTGGGATTACAGATGTGAGCCACCACGCCCAGCCTAATTTTTAATTTTCGTGGATACGTGGGAGGTGTATATATTTATGGGGTACTCGAGATATTTTAATACAGGCCTACAATATGAAATACGCACATCATGGAGAATTTCCATCTCCTCAAGCATTTCTCCTTTGGGTTATAAACAATCCAATCACACTCTTTAAATTATTTTAAAATACACAGTTAAGTTATTACTGACTACGGTAACCCTGTCATGCTATCAAATAGTAGATCTTACTCATTCTTCCTATTTTTTTTGTACCCATTAACCATCACCCCCTTCCCCACTCCCCTGCACTACCCTTCCCAGCCTCTGAACCATCATTCTACTCTTTATGTTCATGAATTCACTTGTTATGATTTTTAGATCCCACAAATAAATGAGAGTATGCTCTGTTTGTCTTTCTGTGCCTGGCTTATTTCATGGAACATAATGATCTCCAGTTCCATCCATGTTGTTGCAAATGACTGGATCTCATTCTTTTTTTTACGGCTGAATAGTACTCCATTGTGTGTATGTATCACGTTTTCTTTATCCATTCAACTGTTGATGGACACTTAGGTTGCTTCCAAATCTTAGCTATTGTGAACAGTGCTGCAACAAACAGAGGAGTACACCTATCTCTTTGATTTACTGATTTCCTTTCTTTTGGGTATATACCCAGCAATGAGATAACTGGATCATATGGTAGCTTAACTTTTAGTTTTTTGAGGAACTTCCAAACTGTTCTCCACAGCAGTTGTACTAATTTACATTCCTGCCAACAGAGTACAAGGGTTCCCTTTTCTCCATATCCTCTCCAGCATTTGTTATTGCCTGTCTTTTGAATAAAAGCCATTTTAACTGAGGTGAGATTCTATCTTACTGTGGTTTTGATTTGCATTACTCTGATGATCACAGATGTTGAGCACCTTTTCATAGGCCTGTTTGCTCTTTGTGTGTCTTCTTTTGAGAAATGCCTATTCAAATCTTTTGCCCATTTTTTGATTGGACTATTAGATTTTTTTCCTATAGAGTTGTTTGATCGCCTTATATATTCTGGTTATTAATCCTGCCTGCATCATTTTCTTTCTTTTCTTTTCTTTTTTTTTTTTACTTTGAGATGGAGTCTCCCTCTGTCACCCAGGCTGGAGTGTAGTAGCTCCATCTTGGCTCACTGCAGCCTCCACCTTCTGGGCTCAAGCAATTCTCCTGCCTCAGTTGCCTGAGTAGCTGGGATTACAGGCCTGCACCACCATGCCCAGCTAATTTTTGTATTTTTAGTAGAGATGGGGTTTCACCAGCTGGCCAGGCAGGTCTTGAACTCCTGACCTCAAGTGATCTGCCCGCCTCCGCCTCCCAAAATGCTGGGATTACAGGCGCGAGGCACTACACCCGGACCTGCCTGCATCATTTTCTAGGAAGACCCACACTTCTGTGGATGGCCTCTGCGGTGTCACCTTCCAGAGGCTAGGGTTCAGCCTCTCATTCTAACAACCTGTAAAGCTGTTGTCTGCTGCCCATGTGCATGCTGGCCCAATCTGGTGGCCAACTTCAACAGAAGTTTCATGAACACTTGACACAGAGAGACGCGCATTAACCTCTTTTGATCTTGCTGTGATTATGATAATACCTTATATTTTTGGGCAGTTAGTGGTTGTCAAAGCTGACATCATTTGTATTATCTCTTTGGATCCTCGTTGCAATCCCATGAAAAAGCCAGAAAGATTCACATTCTCAAATATACAAACTTTTGCTTAAAACTTCAGAGGGCTCATGGAGCTCTAGAAAAGATCAGTGGTCCCCTTAAGAGTTCAGGAACCTCGGCCAGGCATGGTGGCTCGCGCCTATGATCCCAACACTTTGGGAGGCCGAGGCAGGTGGATCACGAGGTCAAGAGATGGAGATCTTCCTGGCCAACATGGTGAAACCCCGTCTCTACTAAAAATACAAAACATAGCTGGGCGTGGTGGTGCATGCCTGTAGTCCCAGCTACTCGGGAGGCTGAGGCAGGAGAACCGCTTGAATCCGGGAGGCGAAGGTTGCAGTGAGCCGAGATTGTGCCACGGCACTCCAGCCTGGCGACAGAGTGAGACTCCATCTAAAACAAAACAAAAAACAGAGTTCAGGAACCCCAGGATAAGAAGTCAGGAAAGGAAAGTATCTTCAAAGCTGATGGCATGACTTTCTCCTGCCAGGCTCCCCATTGGCTGAACCCAGCAGACAGGCGGGGAGATGCTGATGGGGGTCTGGAGGTACAGGACAGTGGAGCAGGCTGGGGGCCATGGAGAGCAGGTCTGCAGGAGCAAACAGAGGGTTTCTGTACAGGATGAGCAGAAGGCCCAGCTGCAGGAGTTGGGCTGCAAGAGACAAGCAACAGGGCGGGGTGCTGGGTTTCAGGGACCCAGGTGGAGGCAAGCCCAGCTCTCAGCTGTCTGCCTATCAGGACCCCTGGGGGGAGTTTGGGGGGCGGAGAATGCAGATTCCTGGGCCTGGAGCCCCAAGGTCTGCCCTCAGGGACTCTTGGGTGGGGTTTGGGAATCTCTCGTTGTAGATATATTAAACCAGTGTTAGCGAGACCAGGGCAGGGGCTGCAGACGGTCTCTGCTGAGGACCAGGGCTTGGTCCCTGGGTGCTGGACGCCTTGGCCTGGGAAAGTCAGAGGGGAGGAATTCAAGCTCAACTTCAAGTCTCCAGAAATCCCAAACCCTCCCTTCATCAGCCAGTCCTGGAAACCTATGCTTTCTTCTCTTTTTGAGGGCAAGCTGACCCTAAGAGGCGGGCCTTAGGTGTCTGTGCACAGGGCCGGCAAGAAGCTGGGGTGGGGGTGGATGGAGAATGCAGAGACAAGAGCTCAGAGGGCAGCAAGGGCCAACCCGAGGAGCCACTTCTGAGCAGCTGTGAGCAGACATGTCCAGGGCCTGCCAGGCCCCCGACCTGAGCTGGGCTCACCTGGCCCCATCCCAGCCTCTTTTCTACTGCCCACGGCTGGCCAGGCAGGTGCACGACAGCCTTCCTCAGCCCTCCCTCCTGGCTCTGCTTCAGCCAGCCCTGCCCACAGGGCCAGAGGCCCACTGCTTTTGCTTCTGGGGGACTCTGAACAGCCAGCTCCCGGCCCTCTTTCAGCCCACCTCAGGGACCCTGGTACACAACAGGAAGTCATGGAGGGGACATGCAGGTGGGGTGCAGGGGCAGGATTTGTCCAAACCACCAACATTTTAGTTTCTTTTTTTTCTTTTAAGACAGAGTGTCACTCTGTTGCCTAGGCTGGGGTACAGTGGCACGATCTTGTCTCACTGAAACCTCTGCCTCCTGGGTTCAAGCAATTCTCCTGCCTCAGCCTCCTGAGTAGCTGGGACCACAGGCGTGTGCCACCATGCCCAGCTAATTTTTGCATTTTTAGTAGAGATGGGGTTTCACTATATTGGCCAGGCTGGTCTTGAACTCCTGACCTTGTGATCCATCCACCTCGGCCTCCCAAAGTGTTGGGATTACAGGCATGAGCCACGGCACCCGGCCCAGTTTTGAGTCTTTTTAAAAACACGTTATCATAATCTATGTATTATTTAATAATGACTTTAAGGATTTTCCATGTCGGTACATAGAGATCTAGCTCTTTTAAAAACATGATACAGTGCATTTTTATTATTTTTTCAGAGCAGCTTGACTTTTTCCCAAGACATCTTCAATAAGAAGTATCCATGTGTACGAACTGAGTGACAGAGGCTCATTTACCAGAAACCCCGGGCGGAGCAGAGCTGGGCTTGGCTGGTCCATGTGATTCCCCCTTGCTGACCAGCACAGGCCCCTCTCTCCCAGGGCCCAGGGTTTTACAATCAGAGGTCAAGTTCTAAGGAAGGAAGTTTGGGAGCTCAGAGCTGGGTGGCAACTCACTGGGTTTGCAAATTCTTCACAGATTAGCAACACATTTTCTTGCTAGTTCATTGTTAGTGAGTTGGGAATGTTTTCCTTTTTCTCTTTTAGTGAGGTAATGTCATTATTTTACACATGCCTCTAATTGGAGCACCCTCCCTTCCTCAAAAACTAATCGAGCCTTTTCCAGGTCAGGTTGGTGCTTAGTCATCTGAACACGAGTCCCGTCCTCTTCCCTTAATCTTTCCCAGGCTGGATTTTGTCTTTGAAACAATAGGAAATGACAGGCTCTATTTTCTTTTCTTAAAAGGACTCAATCCATGGAGTCATGAGTTTGGAACAGGGAAAGTGTGGGGAATTAATACGTCCTCCCAATCAGAAGTAACCAGCTTTCCTCTCTTTGTTTGGCTGAGCCTCTGCAGCCTGAGCTCATGATATCACAGGCAGTTCGCTTAAAAGCAGGAAGGCGGCATTTTCACCTGAAGATAAATTTCCAATGGGATTTTCTGTTAGACCCATTGGAAAGAAATGCAATTAGGCAGTGAGCAGTCTTGGGGCAAAGACTAGAAACATTTCAAAAAAGGGCTCTGCCAGAAATAATTTGTTAGACCCTTGAGGTCTATTTGCATTGATGATATTAACTGCATCTTAAAGTGTCCCAGGTGAGTCAGTCACCGGAATACTTAGGATAATCACTCTTAGGATAAGAGTGATGATTTTAATTTCTTCAACGAAATTCAGCTGTAATTTGGTCACTTCCAAGATATCGAGATTAACTGGATGGTGTTCAGTGACCTTAAAATCCGGAGCAATTACTATTCCAAGAGTCAGAAGGTCAAGGTTGGAGGCCAGGCCCAGCCTGCTCCTGGCTGTGGGTTCCTTATCTGTTCACAATCCCGAGACGAAAGACAATATTAGGAGCAGATAATGGACCCACAACCAGGAGCAGGCTGAGTGATGCCGCCCAAAGTGCGTAATGTTCTTACAGCCAGGACACAGGCACGCGCCAAAGCCCAAAATATCAACATTCTCCAGGTGCCCTTCACCCTTTTAGCCTTATTTTCCCTCACTCTGGCTGTTCCCTGTACTTAAACGTGCTGTTCCTGTTCCCACCTCCTGGCTGCTCCCTTCCCTACCTTCCTTCACCTTTGGAAATTCTGCCTATTCTTAGAGGACCATGTTGAGCGTGATCTCTGATAAGCTTCCCCTAGTCCATTTGGTGGAATCATTTTCTCTGAGCTCCCAGGGCCACTTGGTTTGGCCATTTACTGTCATTCTTCGATGTCAATTGTATTTAATTAATTAATTTATTTTTTACTTTTTTGAGACAGAGTTTTGCTCTTGTCGTCCAGGCTGGAGAGCAATGGCGCAATCTCGACTCACTGCAACCTCTGCCTCCCGGGTTCAAGCAATTCTCCTGCCTCAGCCTCCTGAGTAGCTGGGATTACAGGCATATGCCACCATGCTCGGCTAATTGTTTTTTTTATTTTTAGTAGAGACAGGGTTTCACCCTGTTGGCCAGGCTAGTCTTGAACTCCTGACCTCAGGTGATCCACCTGTCTTGGCCTCCCAAAGTGCTGGGATTACAGGCGTGAGCCACCGCACCCAACCCTTGATGTCGATTGTTTTTTTAGAGTCAGAGTCTCACTCTGTGGCCCAGGCTGGAGTACAGTGGCACAATCTCTGCTTACTGAAACCTCAGCCTCCCGGGTTCAACAGACTCTCAAGCCTCAGCCTCCCGAGTAGCTGGGATTACAGGCACCTGGCACCATGCCAGGCTTTTATATTTTTAGTAGAGACAGGGTTTCACCATGTTGGCCAGGCTAGTCTCGAACTCCTGACCTCAAGTGATCCACCTGCTTCGGCCTCCCAAAGTGCTGGGATTACAGGTGTGAGCTACGGTGGCTGGCCTACCGTCATTCTTACACTTTGTCTAATGTAGCTAAGCCCCTGAAGGATAAAGAAAGGGCCCCTGCTGAATCTGCTCATGGGCTCAGCAAAGAGAAGAAGGGATCAAAGGGAGAGAGAAAGAGGAGGGCAGGAGGTGCAGTTCCTTCCTGGGTGGACCCAGGGGCTCCTCCTGGAGCGGGGGGCAGGCAGGGCCCAGGTGAGAGGAAAAGATCTGGCCTGAGGTTTCTCTCGAATGTTCCTGGGGTGCAGATGGCTGCAGGGTCAGGAAAAAGGAGCCCTTTAGGCTCTCCAAGGTGGTCACACCCTTTTCAGGGCACAAAGGAAGGGGAGTTAACAGCAGCAGCAGTGCCCAGAGAGGTGACAGTCACAGCAGCTGCCACAGGACCATGGCCGGGTTGTGTGTTAGGAACAAAAAGGAGCAGCAGGCTGAGTGTGGCCAGGGGACGGAAGGGGCACAACTCCTGCGGTCGTGGCTCTTTGGGGCTCAGAGCCCATGAAGGTGAGGCTGCAGCCCCAGGGGGACAGGAGCCTGTGCACTGAGCCTTCGGGGTTTGGAGACAAGAGACATGCAGGGGTATCCCCAGGAAGGTGGGCAGAGGTCGGGTAAGGTGGAGCTGGGTTCCCACATTTCTGTGCCTGGGATTTTGATATCTGATTATGTTCTCAGTTGGTGAGGGCAGGGAAATATCTGTCCCATTTTATCAATGAATTGAGCAGGCGTCTCCATGCCTGACTTCATACACTAGCTCAGCACTGTCCAACAGAACTGTCTGCACTGTCCAAGACAGTAGCCACTGGCCATGTGGCTATTGAGCGCTTGAAATGTGACTAGTGCAACTGAGCAGGTGACTTTTACATTTTATTAATTGATTTAAATTTAAATTTAAATAACAGCATGTGGCTAGTGGCTCAGTCCCGGACAGCACAGCCCAGAACTGACAGCAACTGCAATTAGCTACTCTCATTCATTCTCCAGGGAGCCTGGCGCTGTGCCACACCCAGAGGAGGCGACTGTTGATTTGAAATTCCTAAAAATGACGTAGTAGTCCCGGATCCTTAGTTGGCTTCCTGAATCCTCCCTCATGGGCTGATGGTTATCGTGGCTCTTTCCTGCCTTCTCTTTAGCTATGGACCAGTGAGGCTTCCAGTTCACAGAGCATTTGTTGGAGTATTTAGGATTTAATCTCCAAGGCTACCATCCAGTCTTGGAGTGGGGTTCAGCCAACTCCACACTGGTGCTCAGGCTTACAACAGGTTTTTAAAACCAAATGACCATAGTTCCGGGTTACAACTACCCTGCCAAAACTGAGCACAGCTTAAGTCCATGTGCCAGAGACTTGACAATGAACTTGGCTGCAGAATCCAAGGAAGTTCAGGCCTTGACACTTTTCCTCTGAGCTCTGCAGATGCAATTATTTCTCCTCCACAAACTCGTCTCTATAGCAGGGCTGAAGGAGGCTGGCTTGTTATCTCCCTCAATGACTCATTCTTATAATGCTTTTGAGTTTTGCGAAATGCCCTTAGTGTGGTCTAAATGGTGCAACCTCGGCCACACGGGATGCTGGATGCTGCCTCTCACGGGAAAGAAATCATCGATGATCAAAGCTGAAATGTATTGTTGTCACTATGTGTAAAGCACCGTGACTCTCAACACCACTAGGAAGTAGATTTCATTATTATGCCCATTTTACAGATGAGGAAACTGAGGCACAGATAAGTCACCCCAAGACTGAGCTAGGACCAAGTCAGAGCAGAAGCTGGGAGACAAGAGTGACACAGTGAACGAGGAAACCCCGAGTCCAGGGCTGAAGCAGAGTCGTGTCTAGTCTGGTTGACGTCAGTGGTCCAGGGGTCCAGGGTGGCAGGCAGGAAGTGGGGTGGAAGCTTTCAGGGCAGTGGTGCTTCTCAGGAGGTCCCACTGGACATGTGGGGATTTGGGGAGCAGCGCCGAGACCCAGGGAGTTGGAGGAGAGGCTGGCTTGGTTCCCTTGACTGCCTGGCACTGGGCTTTGGTTCCTGGAGCAGTAACTGGTTTCCAGGGACTCATGGAGAAGGCTGGGGGGAGACTGGAAGGGGGATCTTGTGGGCACTTCTTTCCAAGACTCCCCAGATGCCAGATGTATGAGTGCCTGACTTTTCCCAACACCACAAGCTAGTGGGGAGGGTTGCTGATGTTCCTTTGGGCCTGGCTCCCACCCACTGACATTGCAGGTGATGCCGCCCAGCACTGTGGCTCAGCAGGGGCTGGCACACTCCCTGGTCCACAGACCTCTCACATTGGATGCTGTAAGTCAGTTTCCTGAGATGGAGATTTGTGCACGAGAGATTTATTGAGGGAGTGCTCTCCGAGGAAACACCTGTAGGAAAGCGGGGAGGAGTAATTCTCTGTAGAAGAGGACAGGTGTGGGCCATTCACAACCACTCCTCTCAGCAGCTGGAGGCTGGGTGCCTGGGAACGGGGCACCAACATCACACATGGTCCCATTTGTGGGGTCAGCAGTGGGACTGCCTCTAGGCTCCCCAGAGCCTGCATGGTCCCTGGGTTTGCTTGGTCCCTGGGCTTCTCCCTGAAGCAGCAGCAAATGTAATGGCTGCTACAAGCCCCAGCAGCCCCTCAGACAAGCCCGGTGTATCCAGAAGAGTAGAATTTCACAGCAGGCAGCTCATGGATGGAAAGTCAGCATTAGCAGCAAGTAGCTGAGCTAGGGACGTGCGAACCTCCCAGAGGGAACTGGCTTCTTTTCACAGGGCTCCTGAGACCCCACAGCTTGGAAACTGTGGGGGCTCTGCTGCCCAGAAAGCACAAAAGCAAGAAGTGGCAGCCCATATGAGCCCGTGGTCCCTGGGAGGACTTCCACCCGGGAGCTTCCTCCCAGCAGCTTCCTCCCAGCCACCACAGTCCATCAGCAGTCTCTCATCCAAATCTGCTCTGGTCATTTTCCCGCTGGACTTTGTGCCAAGCCAAACACAATCTCAGCAGGACCCTTCAGCCTCCTTCCACAACAAGAACATGGCATTCTTCTTTGGGGCTCTGAAAATGCAAAGAAATATCTCACTGTATCTGCACAGGCCAAAGACTGACCCTCGAGTTGGCAAGCCTGTTGACCAGCTGCCTCTGTAGGGATCCTGGGAGGGTGTGTGTGTGTGTGTGTGTGTGTGTGTGTGTGTGTGTGTGTGTGTGTTTGTGTGTGTAAGCATGCATGCTGGGGGCTAATGGGGGGAAATTCAGATAAGCGAAAACCCATTGTGGAATCCAAGAAAACCATGTGACTGAGGCCAATATGGGCACAGCTCTTTCTTCAACTGGTAACGTGAACATCTGCAGCCCCAAGCAGACGGTCATCAGCCACCAGCTGGACAGCATTTGTGTTCATGGGGACAGGGAAGATGCTGCCTTCAAACTGGAAATAGAGACAGACAGCTGCTCTGGGAGCTGGGACATTATCAAAATGCTCCTTGCTGAACTCAGGGACATGAAAGGACAAAGATTCTCTTTGATTAGAACAAAATCGTTATGAAATAGTTGGACAATGGAATTCACTGCATTCTCTGATATGATCTGGAATAGATTTCTCTCCAGGCCAGGCACAGTGGCTCATGCCTGTAATCTCAGCACTTTGGGAGGCTGAGGCGGGAGGATCACTAGAGGTCAGGAGTTCAAGACCAGCCTGGCTAACATGTTGAAACCCTGTCTCTACTAAAAATACAAAAATTAGCAAGGTGTGATGGTGAACACTTGTAATCCCAGCTACTCAGGAGGTTGAGACAGGGAGAATCACTTGAACCCGGGAGATGGAGGTTGCAGTGAGCTGAAATAATGCCACTGCACTCCAGCCTGGGCAACAGAGCAAGACTCTCTCAAATAAATAAATAAATACATAGATAGATTTCTCTCCAATGACAGATTTAACCCTTCTCCCATTTGCCCTGAGAATACTCACGAGTGGCACTTGAGGCTGTAGCGTTTACTCCGAGATAACTTTTCCAGGAAATCTCTCTTTTATTATTATTTTTGCATTGCTCTTGTACATTGACTTTGGAAACAAAAGACATCATTCTGTTTATAGCATTCTGTTTTTAGTAGAGGTATCTCCATTTATAAAGTGTAGTAATCCTCGATTGCTGAAAATGTCAAATCCTAGAAAATGTAGCATTCCCATGCCTGAGGTTAACGTCATTCTCCAACAGTTGTTGGCTGAAGATTCATTTGATGAATTTAGTTTTTCTGAAATAGATGATTCTGTTGTTAGTTCTGTTTAGAAATAACTCCAAGAACACTTTTTCTTTTCTTTTTTTTTTTTTTTTTTTTTTTTGAGACGGAGTCTCACTCTGTCTCCCAGGCTGGAGTGCAGTGGCGCGATCTCAGCTCACTGCAAGCTCCACCTGCTGGGTTCATGCCATTCTCCTACCTCAGCCTCCCGAATAGCTGGGACTACAGGCACCCGCCACCACACCCGGCTAATTTTTTTGTATTTTTAGTAGAGACAGGGTTTCACCATGTTAGCCAGGGTGGTCTCGATCTCCTGACCTCGTGATCCACCGACCTCGGCCTCCCAAAGTGCTGGGATTACAGGCGTGAGCCACTGCGCCCGGCCCCAAGAACGCTTTTTATATTTTATGTTCACACTGAAAATCAGTCAGATTTGCTTCGGCCTCAAAGTGTGTTTATGTAAAATTAAATGAGCGCTGACAGTGAGTCGCGTTTTTTTTTTTTTCCTAAACGGGGAAAGGGTTAAAACACATCATCCTCAACCCCTTCAATTTCTCCCTATGGGAGAAATTCCGGTACCTGGAAATCCTGAGGAATTTCAATCTCCACCCAAACCACCCCCAGCCCATCTGTATGACACCTCTCTTGGCCAATCCCTGCTCTCCCACCTGCAGGGGGCCTGTGTAAGGGAAGCTTGCTTTGAAATTGGCAGGTGTGGAGGGTAGAAGAGGGGGTGCCATTCTGACCCATCTTGACTTTCCCCTTCCTTCCACTGAGTGGACACACAGGATTTCCCACCAGCTCTGTCTGTAGTTGCTGCTTTGTGCTGGTGAAATGCCACACATGAACGTTCACAGCAGCACTATTCACAGTGGCCAAAGGAACCAGCCAAATGTCCACCAGCTGATGGCTGGATAAACAAACTGTGGGCTAGCCGTACAATGGAATATTATTCAGCCCTGAAAAGGAATGAACACATGCTACACTTGCTACAACATAGATGGATCTTGAGGACGTTATGTTAAGTGAAATGAGGCAGTCACAAGAGACTACATGTTGTGTGATCCCATCTACATGAACTATCCAGAACAGGCTAATCCATAGTGACAGAAAGCAAATTGGTGTTTTCCAGGGGCTGGAGGGAGGGAGGAATGGGGAGTGACTGCTTAACGGGCAGAGAGTTTTCTTTTGGGGTGATGAAATGTTTTGGAACTAGATAGAGGTGGTGTTTGCACAACATTGCAAATGGACTAAACGTCATTGAGAGAGTTAATTTTACATTATGTGGATTTCAACTTACTAAAAATGAATGCCAGAGTGGCAGCTGAGCCTCCTCACTCCACACCCACCCTCCTCTGCATCCTGCAGATAGGCCCTTCACCCTTATGGTCTGCAAGACTGAGAGAGACATGCCTTCTCCATACCTGTCACTGTAGGAGTTCCTGTGGGAACAGCTATGTTTCCTGAGCACTCAGGACGAGTCAGTCCCAGCACTTCCCAGCTGTGTGACGTGGGCTGGACGATACTTACCCTGGCGGCCTTCAGCTTCCTCATCTACATATGTTTATAGGGTTAGTGATGACGAAGTAAGATAATAAGATAACAGAGAGAGAGCTCTTTGGTAATAGGCATATGAAAAATGCAATCATGTTTATATTCTAAGCCCCTGGGATTACTAGGACAAAAAAGAAAAAAAACATGTTTTCTTATTTGATGCCACAGCTATAAGCCTCCTGTCTACCAGGGAGAGCCGTCTGCAGGAACCAATAATAAGTTCTCCCACTGGGGTCTGTTTTCTGAACTCTTTCTTCTGCTCCTCCACCCAGCCCTCCCCAAGTGGGGTAGGACCCTGTTTTTGGAGAGATTTGGGAGCCAGCTCCACTTGATCCTGGCCCACAGCACTGTTAGGTACCCTGGTTGATGGCTATTACCACCAGGGGCTCTGCTGTTTTAAACTCTAAACCAGGAGTCAGCAAACTTTTTTCTATAGAGGGCAAGAAAGTAAATATTTTAGGTTTTGCAAACCATACTTTATTTACAAAAACAGGTTACAGGCCAGCTCCATCCTGCTGTCTGTTTTTGTACAGCCTTTGAGTTAAGAATGTTTTTTTACATTTTTATTTATTTACTTTTATTTAAATTTTTTTTAATTAAATAGAGGTAGGGTCTTACTATGTTGCCCAGGCTAGTCTCGAACTCTTGGCCTCAGGCTTTTACATTTTTAAATGGCTGGTTTAAAAAAAAAAAAAAAAAGAAGAACGTGGAACATGTGAAAATAAAATGAAATTAAAATTCAGTGTCCAAAAAGAACGTTTTATTGGAATACAGCCAAGTTCATGCATTATGTAATATCTGTGGCTGCTTTTGAGCTGCAATGGAGAGTCGAGTAATTGTGGCAGAGAGGATTTGACCCACAATGCCTAAAATATTTATCATCTTGCTTTTTTTTTTTTGACAGTTTCTCACTCTGTCACCCAGGCTGGAGTGCAGTGGCACGACCTCAGCTCACTGCAACCTCTGCCTCCTAGGTTCAAGTGATTTCTCCTGCCTCAGCCTCCCAAGTAGCTGGGATTACAGGCGCGCACTACCACACCCAGCTAATTTTTTATTTTTTTGGTAGAGATGGGGTTTCACCGTGTTGGCTAGGCTGGTCTCGAACTCCTGACCTCAAGTGATCCACCTGCCTTGGCCTCCCAAAGTGCTGGGATTACAGGCATGAGCCACTGTGCCCAGCCTATCATCTTGCCTTTTAAGAAAAAGTTTGCTAACCGTTGGTCTAAACAAGTCAGTGGTTAAAATCACTCATGAGCTCATGTTTGCTGAGTATCTGTGTAACTGTTTTACGTGTATATATAGGAATCTTCTGTTTAGTCATCTGTAAAATGGGGGTAATAGTACCAGCTCATGACATTGTGAGGATTGAATGACTCAGAACATGAAAAGCAGTTAGAATAGCGCCTGGCATTATAAGCGCTCAACAAATGTAAATTCTAATTATGTATAACTTATTAATGTATAGACACAAATTCAAAGAAATACAGAAAACAAAGACTCTTCCCTCCTCATTTATTTTGGAATGTGCTAGAAACAGCTTGAAACATCCCTTTAATAGCTTCCTGGCCTCACGAGTGTTGAATGACATGACGAATTCTCCTTCATAGAAGGTACAGGTGAACCAGAACTGGAGGGGCATTTGGGATCCTTCCTTCTTCAGAAAGTGCGATCGCATCAAGATGCATGTGGTTTTCAGTAGAACTGGCCCATGTTTCTTGGGAGCGAGGTGTCCAAACCACTGTTCATCCATATTTCCTGAATGATTTGCTCCCTGCGCTCAATCCTTTCTGCGAGCTCTGCAGCTTCTATGGAACTGTATATAGGATATGAAGTCCTACAGAACCCCGACAGTTCCCCTGGGAAATCAGACTCAGAGGGGTCCTCCTCCTCTTCTTCATCCTCGCTGTCCTCCTCGACCTTGTCACTTCCTGGCACCAGCTGCTCCCTCCCCAGCTGCAAGTCGCGGAAGTCCTTGGCACAGGACTCTCTGATGACCAGGGCGCACAGTGTGAGGGCCAGGCCGATGCAGACACTGGACACGAACAGCAGGGCAGCTCTCTCCGGGTGGGCTGCAGGAGGAAGAGAACATGTCAGGAGCTGGGAGGAGCTGGCAGACTCCACCAGTGCCAAGTCCCACAGAAACAGATGTCTGCCCAAGCAGGGGGCTAATGAAGAATGCCAGTCCAGCATCTTTGAGACTGTCTACACCAAAATAATCATATATCCCCACTGACATTTTTTTTCAAAAAAGCTTTTGCGCCTACGGAGTCAATATATGTATGTGTAGGAGAAAAACACACAGCAGAGGGGCTCAGGAGCCAGACTCCTCTGAGTTCAAACTCAGGTCTGCCACTCAGTAGCTGTGTGACTTTGGGCAAGTTTCATAACCTTTCTGTGCCTTAGTTTCCTCATCTGTAAAATGGGGCATATAGTATCTTCTATCACAGAGTCATTACAGTGAAATGAGTTAATTCCTATAAAGCTCTTAGAATATTCCCTGACACATAGTAAATGCTCAATAAAGTGCTGCTATTATTAGTAGTAGAAGTAGCTCATGAAGAATTAACTTATGTACGAAGTATATATGTGAACCTAAGTAATAATATAATAGATGTTAGCAAAACTTAATTCTGTCCTTTTTCAGATTAAAAAGTAAATATAAATATACAGTCATCCCTTGGTACCCGTGGGGGACTGGTTCCAGGACCCCTCCCCCACACTCCCAGGCTACCAAAATTCACGGACGCTTGAGTCACTTATATGAAATGGCACAGAATTTGCATAAAACCTAAGCACATTCTCCCCTATTCTTTAAATCACTTCTAGATTACTTGTAATAGCTAATGCAATGGAAATGCTAGGTAAGTAGTTGTTACCATGTATTGTTTTGGGAATAATGACAGGAGAAAAAATGTCTGTACATGTTTGGTAAAGATGCAACTATCCATTTTAAAAAGATATTTTCAGTCTGAGGTTGGTTGAACCCATAGATGAGGAATCCATGGATACAGAAGGCCAACTGTAATATAAAATACAAAAATATGCTGGGTGTCGTGGCTCACGCTGGTAATCCCAACACTTCGGGAGGCCAAGGTGGGTGGATTGCTTGAGTTCAGGGGTTCAAGACCAGCTTGGGCAACATGGTGAAACCCCATGTCTATTTAAAAAAATACCAAAATATATCTGGGCATGGTGGTGCGTGCTTGTAGTCCTAGCTACTAGGGAAGCTGAGGTGGGAGGATCACTTGAGCCTGGGAGGTCAAGATCATATCACCATACTCCAACCTAGGTAATAGTGTGAGACCCTGCCTCAAAAAAAAAAAAAAAAAAAGAAAAGAAAAATATTAAAATAAATAATATAAATATGTATATTATTTATAAATATTAATAATATAATAAGTATTGGCCGGGCACGGTGGCTCACGCCTGTAATCCCAGCACTTTGGGAGGCCGAGGCAGGAGATAACGAGGTCAGGAGATCGAGACCATCCTGGCTAACATGGTGAAACCCCGTCTGTACCAAAAGTACAAAAAAAAAACTAGCCGGGTGTGGTGGCGGGCGCCTGTAGTCGCAGCTACTCAGGAGGCTGAGGCAGGAGGATGGCGTGAACCCGAGAGGTGGAGCTTGCAGTGAGCCGAGATCACGCCACTGCACTCCAGCCTGGGCAATAGAGTGAGACTCCATCTCAAAAAAATAAATAAATAAAATAAAATAATATAGTAAGTATTATAATACTACTATAATGATATTATATCATTGTAAGTATTATAATACTTACAATAATATAGTAACAACTATATTACAATAATAACAACTATATTATTGTAAGTATTATAATGCTTATTATATTATTGTAAGTATTATAATACTTACTATATTATTGTAAGTATTATACAGATGGAAGCCTGTATACTGTAAGTAATATGCAGATCAAAGCTTCATCTCTCCCGACTTCACTTTCATCTTCCTCCCCTTTGAATTTCCCTCCTTTCCTCCCCATCCTGCAGCCCTCCTCTCCCCCGAAATCTTTGAGCCACTGTCCTCTCCAAACCCTCTCCTTCTGTGATGCTGTTAGGGCTTTCAAGGTGGGCCACAACTCAACTTCTCTGTCTTGGAAAATATAAACTTTGAGCCCCACTGCCAGTGATGCTGCCGACCTCAAGGAGTGCTGAGTGTGAGGAAGCTGAATCCCATCCATTTATAGTCTTTTCCAGCCACCCATGGTCAGGCCAGGGACAGATCTGGACAGAAACAATTCCATCCAGCTCAAGCCTCTGAGGTACAATGGTCATCCGTGGCCCCCTCCCCTCCTCTCCCAGTGGTGGTGTCGTGGGAGGGGCCGGGTACCCAGGGCAGACAGAGTAGGGTCACAGCAGAGCAATCAATTCCAGCAGTCAATTCCAGCAGCGACTTGAGCTATAAGTGAAGGAAGTCGAATGGGGACGTTTCAGGTTCCAAGAAGGGAGTAGGGTGCCACAGCCGGTAACTATGGACTTGCTACTGTACCTCTTTTTTCATATTTTGAGGATTCCTGGTGGACTGAATTAAATTACCCATAATCCTTAGGACATGAGACATTCTCTTCATTGGTCAATACATAGCCCTACTTTATGTCTAACGAATTACTTTTTAATACTGTAATTAGCACCAGTGCTATGAATGCACACCCGTATAGGAGCGAGGCCTTGACCACACCTGTGTCTAACCTGTGCTTCCCCATCCCCTTGCCTCCCCCTCAAGGTGACTACCACCTGAATTCCAAGCTCCTTACTCCCCTGTTTCCTTTTTTATATAGTTTTATTTTCCGTCTCTATGTATTCCTAAAATTTTATTTAAAGGGTATAATATTATAGGTAGTGTTGGAGACTTGGTGTTTTTTTTTAATTTAATATCATATCGCTGTAAAATATTTCACTGTCTTGGCTATAATGTAGTTTATTCACCCACTCTCCTGCTGGTGGGTCGGGAACTGTTTATTTGCCTGCTCTCCTGCTGTTGCCAGGTTTCTGCTTTTGTGGATGATCGTGAGCATTCTTGTCAATGTCCCTGGTCAACACCTGCAAGCGTTTCTCTTGGGTACTACCCTAGGAGGTAACTGATGGACTTAGGGCACGTGAGTTTCAATTTTCAGAACTACTGCCAACACGGTGTTCAAAGTGGCTGCAATGTGTGAGAAATCCTGTCAGTCCTCATCTTCTCCAGCACTTGGCTCACATAGACTTTTACATTATTTTCTAATCACATGGGTATAGAATTGTACCTTACGATGGTCTTGATTTGTGTTCCCCTGATCTGTACCTGTCTTCACATGCTTATGTATTTCCTCTTCTCCAAATGCTGGCTCATGTCATGTACCCATTTTTTTTCTGGGTTGCCTGTGCTTTTCCAGTTACATATAAAGGATGTGTATATTTTCTTTTTTCTTTTCTTTCTTTCTTTCTTTTTTTTTTTTTTTTTTTTTTGAGACGGAGTTTTGCTCAGTTGCCCAGGCTGGAGTGTAAGTGGCATGATCTTGGCTCACTGCAACCTCCGCCCCCCACCCCAGGTTCAAGTGATTCTCCTGCCTCAGCCTCCCAAGTAGCTGGGATTACAGGTGCATGCCATCACACCAGCTAATTTTTGTATTTTTAGTAGAGACGGGGTTTGCCATGTTGGCCAGGCTGGTCTTGAACTCCTGACCTCAGGTGATCTGCCCGCCTCAGCTTCCCAAAGTGCTGGGATTACAGGCGTGAGCCACCGTGCCTAGTCCAAGGATGTGTATATTTTCTATAGACTCTTGATGATAATCCTTTGACAGCAAATATATTGTGTATACATATAGATAGAGAGAGAGAGAGGGAGAGAGAGAGAGTCTCCCTTTGTCACCCAGGCTGGAGTGCAGTGGCACAATCATAGCCTGCTGCAGCCTTGAATTCCTGGGCTCAAACAATCTTCTCACCTCAGCCTCCTTAGAAGCTGGGACTACAGGCATGTACTACCATGCCTAGCTAACTTTTTATTATATTTTTTTGTAAAGATGAGGTCTGACTTTGTTGCCCGGGCTGGTCTTAAACTCCTGGCTGAAAGTGATCCTCCTGCCTTGGCCTCCCCAAGTGCTGGGATTACAGGTGTGAGCCATGGCATCTGGTGTGAATATCTCCTGGTAAGTGCCTTGTACTTTCACTTTCATTAAGATGTCTTTCAACCTTGTGAAATTATCTGAAAACCAGGGATGAAACACTGTTCTGCTCCATCTTCCCTGCAGGCACCTGGTCCCCATCCTCCTCTCTTGCCCGCCTTTTCTAGTGAATGGCCGGATAGGAACTATTGCAGGTTTATGGGCCATATGGTCTCTGTTGCAAATATAACAGCTCTGCTATTGTAGTGCAAAAGCGACCACAGACCATATATAAACCATCTTTCCTGCATGGCCTCTATAATCTTTAAGAAACACACATTGGGTCACATCACTGCCTGACTTAAAACTTATAGATGGCCTCTTCCCTCTCCTAAGCTATTAGGTTGGTGCAAAAGTAATGGCGGAAATCGGCCGGGAGTGGTGGCTCACACCTGTAATTCCAGCAGTTTGGGAGGCTGAGGTGGGCGGATCACTTGAGGTCAGGAGTTTGAGATCAGCCTGGCCAACATGATGAAACCCCATCTCTACTAAAAATACAAAAATTAAAATTAGCCAGGGGTGGTGGCGTGCGCCTGTAGTCCCAGCTACTTGGGAGGCTGAGGCAGGAGAATGGCTTGAACCTGGGAGGTGGAGGTTGCAGTGAGCCAAGATCACACACCACTGCACTCCAACCTGGGTAACCAAGAAAGACTCTGTTTCAAAAAAAAAAAAAAAAAAAAAGGAATGTCGGAAATCGCAATTACTTTTGCAATAAAAGTCAACTCCTGACCACAGCCTAGGAAGCCGGCTATGACCTGGCCCTTGTCACCCTCCCCAAGTTCAACTCCCGAGAACTTCCGCTTCCTCTCTGCTCCCCGCTCTAGCCTGCCATTCCTCACTCGTGACACATCAGATACCTGCACACCCTGGTTTTTCTGCATGTGCTCTTCTGTTAGCCTGGAAAGTTCTTTCCTCCCTCTTCATCCAGCACTACTAGATACCTCCCCCTGCCTTAGCCTAGCCAGGTCCCCTGTCATTTAGTCTCAGAGTATCTTGAATGTTTTCTTCACAGCCCAACTTACAATCGTCACTCACTCGCTGAGTGGGTGCCATCCTTTCTCTCCACCTAGAATGCAAGCTTCCTGAGGGCAGGGGCTGGAACCATCTTGCTCTTTGCCAAATCCCCAGTGCCATCCCTGGCACAGAGTGGGCATTATGAAAATATTTGCTGAGTGCATAAAAGGAGGGAATTGTGGATTTAAGCACTCAGCTTGGCGCCTGGGGATGGGGCTCCATAAATCAGCTCCCTTTTTTTCCCTCTCCTCTTCTCCTGGGAGGTGGGTGTCTGGGTTCTCCTGCCAGGAGAGCTTCTCTCCCATAAGACTCCAGGTGCCTCTTGGCCTAGGCCTGCCTCCTGCTAAGTGAGCGCTCTTTAAGGCAAGTCTGCATCAACTCTGCTGAGATGCAGCCACCAGAGATGGACAATATGGGCAATGCTTGGCAAGTCCATGGGAACAAGGCTTCCTAGTCATCTGAATCAACTAGTTTGAAGATACAAACTCACCAGATGTTGGTCAGCTGGAATCTTAGTGATGAGCTGGTCCAACCCCTCTTGTTGTAGCCAAGTCACTTGTGCAAAGCCACCACTTGGCTAGGACCCCAAGCTCAGGCCAGGGCTCTCTCCATGGTCCCAGGCTTTACACTAAGGGAATGTCAACTGTTCTCTAGAATCACTTGGACTACTTTATACTTTTGTGGCTCCTTTTCCTATTCCGTATTCTGGAAAAACAAAGTTTTCCTTGTGATTGAACAGAATCTTCACACTGTGTTTCTGCTGGCATTGTTCTAAATTTAGCCTTGGTTCATCCCCAGCTGGAGTGAATGACTTTAATTTGATCAGCTGTTGCATGCCCATGGGAGCCTCTGAAGGGGGACCTATGGCCTTTAAGGCTCCTTTCCACCCTTAGATCCTGACTTGGGGCAAATGCACGCTCCAGCTCATTCGTGTCCAGATAAGACACCCAGAGGCCATGGCGAGCGTTCCCCCTGTTGGGGCCCTATTGCTGTTGAGAGGATCGAGGCAGCAGTCAGGGCCCGAGAGTTGTCCAGAAGAAAGCACAAAGCATACCAAGTGCTGGTCTGACAGCACTTAGGGGTGTGACAGAAACCTTCTATCATGGAACTAGAGATTGGAGACCGTGGGAACACATCCGAATCCATATCTCCGTGACAAGGTGGTGCTGATTTCCAGTGATTCTCCCTGGTGGGGGAATCACATAGCTCTGACTCTGGAGCGTGTTTTTGTGTTTCTCTTTCAGTATAAGCTTATCTGTGGCCCTAGAGTTCCTCCCTTATGAAACAATTATGCCTCCCAAAACAGGACATCCCAGGCTGCAAGCCTGTCCCTTCTGCCCAGCTTCCTTACCCCTGCGCCCCAGAAGCCCACAGCAGGGCCTGCCAGAGGCTGATGACATATCTGTCACTGTCCCAAGGGGGCAGGGGCAGTGACGGAAATATTAGGCCACAAAAGGCATGCCTGCAGGCACATATGAGGTAAACACCCAAAGCCAGATGTCAATGAAACAGTAATTATGTGGAATAGGAGAGGTCATATTCTCATGCAAGACTGTCTAAATACGTAAGTCCCCTTGGGCACAATCTGCCAGGGGACAATGGCTCATGCTGAGCCAGCTATTACACTGCTTTGCTAAGAACTTCCAACACACACTTACACACACAGATACACACGCACATGTGCATGCACACACATGCATGCGTACACACACGCACCCACACACACACATGCAGGCACACATACAGATACACACACACACAAACACACATACAGATACACATACAGGCACACACGCACACACACAGATACACACATGCACAGATACACATGCACACACATGACGGCACACACGCACAAGCATACAGACACATGCACACACATGCAACACACATACATACATGCACACAGAGATACACATATGCACAGAGATACACATACATGCACACACACGCAAACACATATGCACATGCAGATACACGTATGCACACACATGCACACACACGTGCACATACGCATGCACACATGCACACAGATACACATGCATGCACACACAGGCACACCTGCAAACCCATGCACACACAGATACGCATGTACACACATGTACACATAGAAACACACATGCACACACATATACACATGCACACACAAAAACACGCATACATACAGACGCACACATGCACACACAGAGACACATGCACACAGATACAGACACACGCACACAGACGCATACACACATGCACACATGCACACACGCACACGCATAGACACCTATGCACACACACGTGCACACATACACACACATGCACATGCTCACAGACGCACATGCACACATGCACACACACATGCACACACACACACCACTCCTTTTCCATTTCTCTAATTTCCAATGTTTTTCTATGAGCTTCCTTAGAGTCATGATCTTGATTCTAGAATGAATTCGGGGAGTAAGTCTGTATTATTGAAATGACAGTAAATTCAAACATACCTAAGAAGCTTTTTCAATGTTGGGGAAACCATCTCACAGATCATTCAGATGACCCCAGGAGATGCTTCACCAGGGACCCTTGGACATCCTCCTGTCCCTTCTGCCAACCTCTGTGCTTTAATATCAGGGGACAAACCTCTCGATTTTGGTTTCTCTTCTCCTTGTCCCCATGTACACTGGACTGCACTACTGTGTCAAAGCTACTTGCAGCCTGACCTGGGAAATGTACTTTTGGATTCACTCCATTTGCCGCCTATTTGGGTGGTTTGGGCTGGAAACTGCCCTGCTCACACTCTTGGCTCCCAGCTGCTCCTGCTTTGGGGGTGCCTAGAGACCCCAGCTCATCCCGTGGGTCACATCCCCACAGTGGGGCCGGGGATGCGACTGAGAGTTGTCTGGGCACCTCTCTCCAGCAGCAGTGAGGATGGAGCTCAGCACTGTGTGACATTGGCTGGTGGCCACTGCCTGTTTGGGTCGAAATGACCCAGCCTGATGTCCACATGCACCTCTGTGGCACACTGGCCTGCAGACCCCTGAGCATGCACTGCATGCTTCCCACCTCTAGAGTGGCCACCCAGACAGCGACATAGACACACCAAGAAAACCCACAGGCAAGCCCAGAGGCACCTGTTCTACTAGGGCTTTGTGAGCCTCTGTGATTTGAGTCACGAGCTTCTTGTGGTGATTTCATTTAGCTAACATCCAACACAGTGCATTTAGAGACTCTTTCTCTTGGACATTATATGGAGGCGTGGTCATGGTTTGCTAAGATAAATGTCACCAAACACCCCTCAATAAAATCAAATAACAGCTCATCAAGTCCTTACATTTTAAAAAAATGGACATCTTATAAATAGCAAATATTGGATGACAATAAAGCACAGGAAAAAGCTCATAAGCCCATATCAGCAGTCATCATTCAGTTGTTCCTTAACTACTGACTGTGCACCTGTTCTGTACCAGCACCGCATCCTAGATACAGGGATACCACACAAAATAAGATGACAAGGCACCTGACCCTGTGGAGCTGAGCCACTAGCAGGAGAGATAGTCACTAAACGAATATCTCTATCCTGTGGTTTCTGGGAATGACAATCACATAAAAGGATAGAAAGAGATGGAGGAAAGCTAATTTAGACAACTCAGGATCAGAGTGGGGAGGTGGTTGCATCCCTCAAAATTCAGAGTAGCTGGAGTGCAAGCCTTGTATTAGCTGAGCCTGAATCCTGGCCCTGCCGCTGTCCATGGTGTCCTCAGGCAAATGGCTCAACTCCTCTGACCACCGGCTTCAAGTGCAGAACAGGGGATCAGAGTCCCATCTCTCAGGGTTGTTGCTATGGACTGAATTGTGTTGCCCCCAGTTCACTCATTAGGAGCTAATTAAGGTTAAAGGAGGCCATAAGGGGGGAATCCTAATCTGATAGAATTGGTGGTTTTATAAAAAGAAGAGATGTCTCTGTCTCTGTCTCTCCCCCTCTCTGCCATGTGAGGACAAGCAAGAAGGCTGCTGTCCACAACCCAGGAAGAGAGCCCTTACCGGAAAGTGATTGGTGGATACTTTGATCATGAAATTCTGGCCTCCAGAACGGTGAGAAAATCAATGTCTGTTATTTAGGCCATCTGGTCTCGGGTACTTTGTTATGGCAGCTGGGCTGGCTAAGGCAGTTGTTGAGAGGAACGGACAAGGTAGTTGGGGTAAAGCACACAGCAAGGCCACAGCTCACTGAGCGCAATGTCGGTCTCGTTCCCCTTCAATCGTTATTCTCTGTCTGGAGGATTTTCATGATGGCTTTTCTCCAAGAAGCTCCCCAAGGACTTTGTAAATATGGGGATATTTCTGACAGTAAAAATCCTTACAGTTCTTAACATTGACAATGATCAGGAACAGCAAGACATGAAAATGAGAAGGTGGCTAGAAAAGAGAGGACCCACAGAAGAAACCATCAACCACACAACACACACACAGGAGGAATCCTGACGCAGGAGGACAATAGAACAGCAGGGGACCCCAAGACTGAACTTTGCATCTCATGTATTGAGATCATTCCCCAATATGGTTTGGCTGTGTCCCCACCCAAATCTCATCTTGAATTATAGCCCCCATAATCCACATGTGTCATGGGAGGGACATGGTGGGAGGTAATTGAATCATGGGGTGGGTCTTTCCCATGCTGTTCTGGTGATAGTGAATAAGTCTCACGAGATCTGATGGTTTTATAAAGGGGAGTTCCCCTGCACAAGCTCTCTTGCCTGCTACCAAGTAAGACGTGACTTTGCTCCTCATTCACCTTCCACCGAGATTGTTAGGCCTCCCTAACCATGTGGAACTGTGAGTCCATTAAACCTCTTTCCTTTATAAATTACCCAGCCTCAGGTATGTCTTTATTAATAGCATGAGAACAGACAAATACATTCCCTAAGCCTCTATTTTCCTCTGAGACAGGCTTACCCCAAATAGCCCATCTTTGCAGGCCTTGAATAGCAATACTGTTATGTATTATATTAACATGTATTTTACTGAAGGTCTCTGGTTTTTGTCTCTCTGAACATAGGCAGGCATTGCTGAAACTTGCAGATGGCATTCCAAAATGTGTTCTATCTTAAGATAAGCAGAGAGGGTGGTGAGGAAAAATTGTACATACCTTCCCCTCAATGAAGAGGTCCCCGCGGTGTGGCCGGCCTTGGTATAAGCCTTCTGGCTCTGCTAATTCATGAGGGCTGAGTCTGATTGATCCTCATGGGGAAGACTAACAAGGGAATCCTTGACAACTATTAGGAATAACACTCATGACCCAGAAAGTGGCTCTGTCTTCATGGGGCATGATCTGTCTTGTTTACTAAGTGACCTTCTGGCTCATTTTTCTTCCAGTCAGGGCTGGAATTCAATAATCCTAGTTCCTTCCCGAATTTTAGAGCTGGGAAATGCATTCCTCGGGTTTCTACTTTTCAAAAGCGAAAAATATCTGTGGAGCTCAACTCCTAAATAGTGTGACTTTGTCTGTTTATGTGGTTCTCTTGCTGACTGCCTGGTTACAACTGTGCCTGAACTCAGGCCTCTGTGTTTCTGAATCTTAGAAGTGGTGGTTGGCATGTTAAACTTGAAGTCATCGTCCTTTAGTTATCTGAGTGCTATAATTGAACAGCACATTTATTAACAAGACTTTAGTAAATCCATCAGCATTCTAGGAAGCTTTGATTCATTGACCTACCTCTAATGTAAGCAAAGGCTGCCAGAGAGTTGCTAACAAGAATTCCATCTTTCCTCAGAACCTTCGATCCGCTTGGGTCGAAGTTTATACCTGTTTCATGAAAAATGCAAGACCAATTAATCACAGCTGTTCATAGTACGCCTATTCTAAGACACCCCTGCTGCTCCTACCCCAGGGACCGCCGGAATAATTAAAAGTCACAGAAATCAAACAAATGGGCCTCTGGCTAAATTACAGAAGATTAACCCAGGAAGAGCACTTATTAAATAGTAAGCAGTCCCCGACAATATTAAAGTACAAAAAGGATTAGAAATTGTTTTAAGTGTTGGTTCCAACTTCAGGTGCTGGTCTTCCACTCCACTGTGGAAGGGAATAAGTGGATTTTCCCATCCTAAAGACAGTGACATTCATCACACCCCTCAGAGGCTTAATAATATCTCGCTTTATTTTATTTATTTATTTATTTTTGAGATGGAGTTTCACTCTTGTTGCCCAGGCTGGAGTGCAATGGCACAATCTTGGCTCACTGCAACCATCTACCTCCTGGTTTCAAGCAATTCTCCTGCCTCAGCCTCCTGAGTAGCTGGGATTACAGGCACGTGCCACCATGCCCAGCAAATTTTTGTATTTTTATTAGAGATGGGGCTTCACCATGTTGGCCAGGTTGGTCTCGAACTCCTTACCTCAGGTGATCTGCCCGCCTCGGCCTCCCAAAGTGTTGGGATAACAGGCGTGAGCCACTGCTCCCGGCCAATAATATTTCACTTTAAGCATGGATTTGATGTCTGCTGTGTGGCCAGAGATAAAACAAGCCTCCATTACAGAGGGAGGTTGTATTGGGCTACTTTTTTTGGAAACAACAGCAAAATGTGGGGCAAATCTGCTTTTAAATCCTGGTTACACTGCTGGATGGAGCTTAGCAAGTCTGTGATGGGGTAACCTGATGGCTTGGGGGACTCCTAGCCATGTCAGACAGGACAGATGCCTTTGAGGAGAGACGGCACAGGGTTGGCTCTCAGGCCCCCACTGCAGGGGGACCAGGCTGTTTATGGATCGGGTGGGAACCCTGTTAGAAAAATAAGTGGAAGCTGGGTGCGGTGTCTTACGCCTGTAATCCCAGCACCTTGGGAGGATGAGGTGGGTGGATCGCTTGAGCCCAGGAGTTTGAGACCAGCCAGGGCAACATGGCAAAGCCCTGTCTTTACAAACATAATAATAATAGTTAATTAATTAGTTAAAAGAAAGAGAAGAGGAGCTAAGGAACACAGAGCCTGCCAGAAAGCCAAGGTGGCCAGCTAGAAGGACACAGAAGAACATTACCAATAGTTTTCTTTGAGCTTTTGGAGTAGGGGTGCTTTCATATGGTTTTCATATCAAACATACTTTACTTTTATACTTAGGGGGGAAAGACCTAATACATATAATAAAGGTAACACAAGACAAAACTCTCACCACAGCCTAACATCTTAGATGCTCTACGGGGTCTCTGCAGTTTCTATTAGGGACCCCATGGGTTTGAATTCCATTCTAGATTTGATAAGAAAATCCAAATGCTCAACCCCCTCAACTCCCTACCCCTCCACCCCATTTACAAAAGCCAAGTGAAAACTAAGGAGGGGCCGGGTGCGGTGGTTCACACCTGTAATCCCAGCACTTTGGGAGGCCGAGACGAGGAGAACACCTGAGGTCAGGAGTTCAAGACCAGCCTGACTAACATGGTGAAACCCCGTCTCTACTAAAAACACAAAAATTAGCCAGGTGTGGTGGTGGACGCCTGTAATCCCTGCTACTTGGGAGGCTGAGGCAGGAGAATCGCTTGAACCCGGAGGCAGAGGTTGCAGTGAGTGGAGATTGCGCCATTGCACTCCAGCCTGGGCGACAAGAGCGAAACTCCAAAGAAAAAGAAGAAAAAGTAAGGAAAGAAAGAAAGAGAGAAAGAAAGACAGAAGAAAGAAAGAAAGAAGAAAGAAAGAAAGAAAGAAAGAAAGAAAGAAAGAAAGAAAGAAAGAAAGAAAGAAAGAAAGAAAGAAAAGAGCGAGAGAGAGAGAGGGAGGGAGAGAGGAAGGAAGGGAGGGAGGAAGGAAGGAAGGGAGGAAGGAAACTAAAGAGGAAGGTGGTGTGTACAGAGGTACAGAGGCCCTCAGGTCCTAGTTGGCCCTGGCGCCTACGCAGGTTCCAATGGGCTCAGCTTTGCAAAAAGCTCATTGTGTAACCCAGGAAGCCCAAATTTACTTCTGAGCAGATGTCTTTTCAAAGTGATTTTCCTTTTAGGAAGTGAGAGGAGAATGAAGGGGAGGTTTATCCTACTTCTGATTTTAAAAAAGTCAAAACAAAATAAAATGGTGTTCACCATTTGCAACTATTGGCCGATAATAAGCGCTATTATCACCAGGACCGGTACCTCAAACACACCTCCTGACAGCCCCTTCCATTCTAACCAAGGTGTGCCCAACTGTGGTCACCCAGGGGCTGTTTACCTTTACTTAAAGAGAAATGCTGGTAGTAAGCCATAAAAATTACCATATTCACCATCTTTCTGCTTCAAAGAAGGTTTTAGATTAGCAATGGCTGGATCAATCGCTGTGAGTATGTTCTTGGGAACTAAAAGCCAAAAAAGAAATATTTTAAATTCGTGGTATATTTTTAAAATGTGGACTCTTAATACATTTTTAAATGCAATGTAGATAAGATTTTAAAATCACTTTCCAAATCAGTGCAAGAATCACTCACTCTTCCTGTTAAATACACACATATACACACAAACCCATGGTATCCATGTGATCATCAAATGCTCCAGAGAGGTGGTTTTAGGCCCATTTTGCAATATTAAAAAAAATGGAGAATAAAAACAAGATATGATATATCCATCTAGCAGAATACACCTCATAATAAAACGGAATGAAGGCCCAGCATGGTGGCTTACACCTGTAATCCTAGCACTTCGGGAGGTCGAGGTGGACAGATTACTTGAGGTCAGGAGTTCGAGACCAGCCTGGCCAACATGATGAAACCCCGTCTGTACTGAAAATACAAAGTTAGCTGGGCATGGTGGCACACAGCTGTAATCCCAGCTACTTGGGAGGCTAAAGCAGGGAGAATTTGCTTGAACACGGGAGGCAGAGGTTGCAGTGAGCGAAGAGCGCACCACTGCATTCCAGCCTGAGTGAAAGAGTGAGACTTCATCTCCAAAAAAAAAAAGTGAAGTACCGATATGATACATGCTACAACATGGATGAACCTCTGAAACATCACATTCAGTTAAAGAAGCCAACCACGCACACACACACACAAAACCATCCATTGCATAATTCCATTTGTACAAAATATTCAGAAAAGGCAAATCTAGAGACAGAAAGTTGATGCGTGGTTATCTGGGACCGGGGGGGTGGGAATGGGGCAGTGACGGCAAATGGGCACAAGGGAGCTTCGGGGCATTGTGAAAATGTTTTAAAACTGGAGGGTAGTGATGGTTGCACAACTCTAAATTTACTAAAAATCATTGCATTGTATTCACATGTAATAGAATTTTAAGGAAAATAACACCTCAATAGAGTGGTTAACTCTGGGCTGGGCATGATGGCTCATGCCTGTAATTCTAGCACTTTGGGAGGCTGAGGCAGGTGGATCACTTGAGGTCAGGAGTTCAAGATCAGGCTGGCCAACATGGCGAAACCCCATCTCTACTAAAAGATACAAAAATTAGCCGGATGTGCTCACTTGAACCCAGGAGGCAGAGGTTGCACTGAGCTGAGATTGTGCCACTGCACTCCAGCCTGGGTGACAGAGAAAGACTCTATCTCAAAAAAAAAAAAAAAAAAAAAAAAATAGGGTGGTTAACTCTGAAGATGAGCTTCCCTGGACTTAGTAAAGCAAAATGACTGTGACCAACTCAAAACCCACCATCAAACTCTCCCAGCACCTACTCTTCTGCTTTCTACCCCAAGCTCTTTGCCTCTGTGTTTCCATCGTAAATCTGGAAAGAATTCGAAGACCCTGTGCTAAAGTGATTTGCTAAATATTATCAGAAAGGACTACAGAAAGATGCAGAGAGGATGGCAGCGTGACCGACTCCTCTGAAGGTGGTTTCAGACTCTGCTGAACTGACCCTAAGAATAAGCCCTGGGATGTCAGAATCCCCAGGCAAAGCAGCCGGCAGATGACAGCACCCGCTGAAACAGAGGGCAGAGCAAGAATTCTGCAGGCCAAGCACACTGCCGCAGGCTGGGAGAAGGGAGTGGAAACCGAATATTCCTGCTGCATAAAATTGCTTATTTTTGTTTGTTCCTCAGCCCAGCTGAGATCTCAGAGAAGTAGCAACAGGAAATGGAAAGAAAGCCAAAACAAACTGCAAATTCAATTGCACTGCTTTTTTATAAAAGAACAAGTGAGGCATCTTCAGCAGCAAGAAAACCTTGTTTCCTCTCTCAGAGGGCTTAACTAAATTCTTCTGGGGATGTCCCAGGATCAACAACCACCGGACATTCCTAGATTGTGAGTTTTCCACGTACAGGAGGCCCTGGCGCCTTCATGCCCATCAGCAGCAAGGGAGACTTTCCAGGGAAGCCCGGTGAAGTTGCTGGATGTGGCTGATGATTTCCAGGGCCTTGAGGAATGTCCCTTGGCTGTCCTTGGGGCACACCACTGATCCTGGGACCCTGGCAGCTCCGGAGAGCTGAGCTCAGCTGCTGCAAATTGCTTTCTGCTTTAATTACCTCGCATTCATTTCTGGGCCCTGAGAAGGATGCAGAATCCTAGGAAGTGTCAGCTCTCCCTGCCAGGAGTGGTACTTCTTTCTCATGTCTGCCTCTTGGCTTGTTCTCAAACTATGGCTTCAGGAGGGCCTTGGCTCTTGGCAAATGCCAGAGGCTTTACAGTTTGAGAAAGAATCAGAATTTTGTAGAGGAGCTCAGAGGGGAAGGGCATTCTAGGATGCACTTTGCAGAATAACCAGGCAGTGAAAAGGTTAAATTGGCTGTGTATGACACAGGCCACTGCAGGGAATGTGCCCTTCTACTATGTGAAAATGGCTCTGATATCTGGAGAATCTTTTAGGACCTTTAAAATCACCGTTGTCAACACACTTGTCAGATTTTTGCATCTCCTTGATTCAAACTAGTTCCGAATGAGGTCGGGGACTGGGGTGTGATTGATCACCGTCCTGCTCCACTTCAGATATGTTGGTGAAAACACTAGGGACCACTCTTCATGGAGCTCCTACTGTGTGCAGGACCCTGTTCTCAGCAGTTTAAACCAGGGCCATCTTCCTCCTCATCAACACCTTTCCTCTCCCACTCAGCAACCTCAGCGTCTCGGCCCCTAGTGTGCAGCTAGTGTGCAGCTAGTGTGCATACCCTAGTGTTCACCCTACAGTATGGTTCTCTTTGGAAGAATTAAACCACCACCCCCAAGCTAAATTAGGCCCCCTCCACTGTTACAGTCTTCTGCCCTTTTCTAAAATAGCATTTGTCACAACAGGTCATGATGATGTGTCTGGCTATTTGGTTAATGCTTGCCTTTCTCCCTCAACTGCTCACCCCATGAAAACAGGACCATGTCTCTTTTTTTTTTTTTTTTTTGAGACAGAGTTTCACCCTTGTCACCCAAGCAGTGACGAGATCTCAGCTCACTGCCAACTCCGCCTCCCAGGTTCAAGTGATTCTCCTTGTCACAGCCTCCCAAGTAGCTGGGATTACAGGCATGCGCCATCATGCCCAGATAATTTTGTATTTTTAGTAGAGATGGGGTTTCACCATGTTTTCCAGGCTGGTCTCGAACTCTTGACCTCAGATGATGCGCCCGCCTCGGCCTCCCAAAGTGCTGGGATTACAGGCGTGAGCCACCGCACCTGGCCGTGTCTCTTTGTTTATTACAAAATCCCTGGCACCCAGCACAGCTCCTGACACAAAGAGCAATGTGCTGAATGAGTGACAGAAGGAAGAAAAGCTTGAACTGGGACATGTGACCCCCAGGCCCTGAAAGCTCACCTTCATCTCAGCATTAGTGATGTGGTTTGGCTCTGTGTCCCCACCCAAATCTCATAATTCCCACGTGTTGTGGGAGGGACCTGGTGGGAGGACCCTGTGGGAGATGATTGAATCTTAGGGGCGGGTCTTTCCCGGGCTGTTGTCTTGATAGTGAAAGGGACTCACGAGATCTGATGGTTTAAAAAATGAGAATTTCTCTGCACAACTCTCTTTTTGCCTGCCGCCATCCGCATAAGATGGGACTTGTTCCTCCTTGCCTTCCGCCATGACTGTGAGACCTCCTAGCCATGTGGAACTGTAAGTCCAATTAAACCCCCTTTTTTGTAAATTGCCTAGTCTCGGGTATGTCTTTATCAGCAGTGTGAAAATGGACTAATACAATTAGCTAAGAAGAGCCTCAGCTGTAGGAACTGTTCTTGCCTCATCCTTGAAAGCACACTAGAAACTGCACCTTTAAAAAAAATGTTTTAGTAAATGTTATTGTACAGAATAAAAAAATACATCATGATTCTGTAATGATTTTCTCTCCCACAAGAGCATGGGTGAAAATCAGTAATTTACTTATAAAAATATTTTAATTAGGACTCCAATAAGATAATATGTACCTTCATACCTTGTCTTCTGAATAACTAAATGGGGAGAAGTTCACCTGAAAAAAGTTTTCCCCAGGAAACCCATGGTTTCTTGGCTCAACGGACCCATTAAAAAAGTCCACCTATATCAACTTTCTGCCAATCTGGAGATTTGTTTTCTTTGATCTAATGTCATGTGTTCACAAGCTTCTAAAACATTTGCCAAAATTAAAGTCTGCTGGACGGTTTTTCCCTTAACCCATACTCTTCCATTCATTCCAAATACTATCTTCAGTGGATAGAGTTTTCCCACTTCCTGTTTGATTTCATGATCTGGAGCTAACAGCTTTCTAATGAAGCCCAGTCACTTTAAAAAGCAGACCATCCTGTCCAATGACATTCCTTCCATTGGCTCATCCATAGCTGTCAATACAGACCATCTCTGGTTCCATGTCTTTATTAGCAACCACAAATTGGCCATAGATGAGATCTCCAACCTGCACATTTGGTCTGTTTCTTTTAGTTGCACCTTCAAATGCCAAGTAAGACAAAGAAACTGGCTCACTCCCTCCAACATCAACTCTGAATATATCTCCAGATTTAGCTGTCACTATGCCAGTCACCTGGTCTCCTTTCACTAGAATATACTCCGTTCCCAGGGCTATGGCGGCCCCAGCCCAGCAGTGTCTCAGCTTTCCCGGTCCCCGGCCAAAACTACACCTTATTTGGAGGCTAAAGTTCTGCTTCTTATTCAACACTCTGATGAAGAGGCCTGAAGTTACTGGAACCTCAGTGTGACCCGTGTCCAGTCTACCGTCCTCCATTCTACCAGAGGAGCTATCCAAGGATGTACTCAAAGTGACCTTTTTGGCCTCTGGGGGAACCTCAGCCAAAATGGGCCCCATGCTACTTAGAGTTGCTTAGACATGACAGCAGGAATAAAGACAGAGCAGGTAAAGCCATCCCTCCTGTGATGTAAGAGTGGGTGCCATTATTTTGGTAATACATTTATGTAGTCACTTCATCATATCTATTGCAGCATTGATATTGCAGAGAACAACATTTTTAGTTCAGGATATAAAATTCTAAGGATGCAATGGAATATTATGATGCCACAAAAAGAAATAAAGTACTGAGACATGCTACAACATGTACGAACCTTGAAAACAGATGCTAAGTAAGGAAGCCAGACACAAAGCACCACACATTGTATGATTCCATTTCTAGGAAATGTCTAGAAGAGGCAAATCCATAAAGACAGAAAGTAGATGGGTGGTTGCCTGGGGATGGGGCAGGTGTAATGAATGGGTGGATTTGGTGGGCTGACTGCTAAGGGATACAGGGTTTCTTTTGGGGGGATGCGAATGTTCTTAAACTGATTGTGGTGATGGTAGCACAATTCTGTGCATATACTAAAAACCACTGATTTGTATGCTGTAACAGGTGAATTGTATGCTCTGTGGATTATATCTCAAAAAAGCTGTTGCAGACATAAAATGGCTAGGAATGTTTGGCAGGGGAAAAAGCGATTTCCAAGAGAATAGGTATCAGGTTCTTCAATTATAATGCTCTTTGCTTTCCATTTGCTTTTATGCTCATTTCCAACAAAAAGAAGGCAGTCAACACATTAGGATTACACACTGGAAATCCACAGTATCCTCAGAAAATAATAAACTGCTGATTTGCTTTTACGTGGCTTTATGAAATTAGAATCTAAACGAAGAAGGCATTTCATTTTATCATTTAAAGACATCAGGAAAACAAAGTAATGCTGTCGTGTAACAATTTTTATTGTTTTAGGGTAAGCATTTGATCTGTTGACTCAACACTGTGGGCATGTAGATAAAATAGCTGTTGGCAGTACAGAGAGTTAGTCATTTAGGGCCTAAAAGCAGAACTGGAAGGTTAAATAGGAGACACATAATTCGACTGTGAACTCGCATGACATCCCAATAAATTTTCCCAGATGAAAATCACTGGTCTCAGTGACATCAGTTTACCCCTATTTGGTTGTTCCTTCTCCACCCTCCCCATTGGCTGCCAATCTGATTGCTAAAGGTGCTTTTACACAAATTTTGACCAAAGAAAATTCTATTGCTTATCTGACATGAATATCATAAACAAGAATAAGAAAGAAAAAAAGGGCTCTCGGGTATCTGGGATGACCAAACAGCTTCAGGAGGAGCAGTGTTTGGCTTGTTCTGGGCAAACTCCTGCCGTTCACATGGTCACCACCCTCCCCCAAAAGAGGCAGTGTCATCAGGCAGCTGGTCGGGGGTGTGTTCTTACCACATGCGTAGGTCACAGTGAGGTATTTTTTCACGCCTGGCAAACAGGGGCTTCCAAAATGGTGATTGTTGACGATGATTTTGCATCTCTGCTTCCCATAGCACCTTCGGGATAGGACTTGCAAAGCTGAGTAAGACAAGCAATCTGAAAGGCAGGAAACACCCAGAACTTCAGGTTGCATCCCACACAGGGCCACCACATAGCCTACAGCATTCTCTGTAAATAAATATGCTGAGCTGGATTCAAATCAAATGGAGAGTTTCTCTGCTTATTTTCTGTCTCATTAAAGCACCCAAGATGGGCAGAGCCAGCATCATGATCCTGTCCTAGAAGTCCCAGAGCTGGTTTTAATGCTCTGCTGGCGCCATCTTGAATTTTTTTTTTTTTTTGAAACTGATTCTTGTTCTGTCGCCCAGGCTGGAGTGCAATGGCACGATCTCAGTCACTGCAACCTCTGCCTCCCTGCTTCAAGCAATTCTCCTGCCTCAGCCTCCCCAGTAGCTGGGACTACAGGCGCATGCCACTATGCCCAGCTAATTTTTGTATTTTTAGTAGAGATGGGGTTTCACCATGTTGGCAAGGCTGGTCTCAAACTCCTGACCTCCAGTGATTTGCCTGCTTCGGCCTCCCAAAGTGCTGGGATTACAGGTGTGAGCCACCGCACCCGGTCAAAATTCTGATATATTTTTGAACAAGGGGCTTTGCATTTTCATTTTGCACTGGTTAAAATATGAAGAACATTGAATGAAGATTCTTGGTTCTTTTACGACCTTTACCATGCTTTGAAATATATTATTTGTTTGTTTATTTTGAGAATCAATCTCCTCTACATGAACATAAGCTCCAGGAGAGACTATTTCTGTTTTGTTCATCATCTAATTCTCACACCTCGCCCACTGTAGAAGGCAAGTAAATATCTGATGAATGAATGAATGAAATAAACTAATTGACATGAAGATTTGTTTTTCGGTGCCCTGGCACAACATCATTAAAATCAGTAAATATCAGTTGAACACCTATGGTGGATGAGGCACTGTGCTAAGTACCATCAGAAAAAAACAGTAAAAAGAGGACCAGGCACAGTGGCTCACGCCTGTAATCCTAGCACTTTGGGAGGCGGAGGCAGGCAGATCACCTGAGGTCAGGAATTCGAGACCAACCTGGCCAACATGGCAAAACCCCATCTCTACTAAAAATACAAAAATTAGCCGGGTGTGGTGGCATGTGCCTGTAGTCCCAGCTACTCGGGAGGCTGAGGCACAAGAATTGCTTCAACCTGGGAGGCAGAGGTTACAGTGAGCCGAGATTGTGCCACTGCACTCCAGCCTGGGCGACCAAGCAAGACTGCGTCTCAAATAAATAAATAAATAAATAAATAAATAAATAAATAAATAAATAAAAAGCCTACCTTGCTTTTTACCCAGATGAAAGCATCCTTTCACAGGATTTGCAATAGAGCTAGAGAGTCAAAACACACATGTGAGAGCTGGTGTCTGATAGTGGAAACAGTGAATCACTGTCAGCAGGACGTGGTGCAGACAAGAGGTGCTAGGTCAGAGGCGGGAGAGATCGCTGTGCGTGGGAGCAGAGGGGCTGGATCATGAAAGAAAGAGCAGAAATTGGGTAGAGGCAGGCAAGAGAGAAAGCATGAACACTAAGGCAGTGGGCTAGGAGCCCCTGCAGGGGCTGGCCACAGGCTGGAAAGGCGGGAGTAGGCGGGGCGACCACAGCGAATGAGTAGGAAATGTGAACTGGAACAAGACAGAGACACTTTCAAAGGCTTAGCTAAAGAATTCAGACTTTACTCTGCAAGCAACAGGAAGCCTAAAGAAATGCCTGACACTATTGTCTTTAGGGGACAGTGTAGAGGATTCCCTGGGAGAGAAACGGGAACCAAAGGCAAGGAGAGCAGTTTGGAAGCAATTTTAAGAATGTACATTGAGGGGAGTTACAGGCTTAAAGAGCAAGGAATGGAAGAGGAGAGAATTTTAGAGACTTTGCAAAGTTCCATTCACTTATAATATAACAGGTAGCATGATGTCAGCCACTGCTCTCAGCACTTGTATAGTGAGAAACTATGTTTGTTTTGGTCATCATCTAGTTCCCACACCTGGCCCACTGTAGGAGCCCAATAAATACAGATAATTATTTATGAGATAGGCTGTTTGTAATACACACACTTGTGCATGCACACACACACACACATCAATTTTGTGGCTGAGACAGCAGACACAGAGAGGTTCAGTAACCTCACACAGCTAGAGAAGAGCGGGGCCTGCAGGTTGATCTCTGAGCCCCACTACCCCAGTCTCCATGAAAGGGTGGGTGAGGGACCGACCAAGGATGGTTTCAGATCTTAAGCTGCAGGGCTGGGGAAACAGTGGTGCTACTGAGAGATGAGGGAAGTTGTTAGGAGTAGGCAGTTTGAAGGACACGATCATAAAGTCATTAAAAAAAAAAACAAAAGAAAACTGTCCTGCATTTGAGGTGGGCCGAGATTTTGAAGAAAAGGCTCAAATCTGGAGATGCCTGTGGGGGGTTCATGCCCAGAGAGGCCAAGGGCTGGTGCTGTGAAGAAGCATAGGTCAGGGAGAGTATGAAGGCACAGGGGCAGGGACCCCAGCCACACAAAGTCCTGTGCATGTCTGCTCACGTCTTATAGATGACAAACTCCTCTACCCTCTAACAACAAAAACTGCTCTCCCCAGTTCCCAGGACCTCTCTCCAGACTTATGCTTTTCCTTCAGTCAGCCTTCTAGAAAGGATCTCTATGCCTCCCCTGCATCTCTCCTCCCATCCTGTATCCTCCCCTCCTCAATATGCCCCTGTCCCACACACACCCCGAAACTGATCCCTTTGAGGAGATCACATGGACTTATCACCATCCCATCCAAGAGATGAGGGGTGATCCTAATCCTTCCCTATCTCTGGAACTTCCGGTGCCTAAATGCCCCTATTGAGGGATTTCTCACTGACCTCAGCTCCCTGGTGCTCATCACCCTGGTGGTCTCTGATTCCTCTATCCTGGTGCCCTCTGCAGGCCTGCCCACCCAGAGTAAGCTCATTCCTGTGCCTGGTGGAAATTCTGATATATTTTTGAACAAGGGGCTTTGCATTTTCATTTTGCACAGGGCCCTGCAAAATGCACTGGGTCTGGGCTCTCTTCTCCTTTCTGCACACTCCATTCAGTCCCAAGTCCATCCCTGCCACTACCAAACCACTGAGAGCCGAGGCCAGGATCTCTGCCTTCAGCGCTGGCCACTCCGGCACTCCGCCATGTGCAATGATTGTCTTTACTCTTTCCAGCCACCTTTGACTCCACACGTCTGCACCTATCATCTCCTCCTACTCTCCTGCCATAGCCTCAGTTCCAGCCCTGTCAGTTTTGCAGCAAGTCTAGTAACTGGACTCCCTCCCTCCATTTTCTTCCCTTCAAATGGTTCTCTCTTTGCCCTCCACTGTGCTTTTTTTTTTTTTTTTTTTTTTTTTGACAGAGTCTCGCTCTGTCACCCAGTCTGGAGTGCAGTGGTGCAGTCTTGGCTCACTGCAATCTCTGCCTCCCAGGTTCAACCAATTCTCTTGCCCCAGCCGACCAAGTAGCTTACAGGCGCCTGCCACCATGCCCGGCTAATTTTTGTATTTTTAGTAGAGACGGGGTTTCACCATGTTGGCCAGGCTGGTCTCGAACTCCTGACCCCCGGTGATCCACCCGCCTCGGCCGCCCAAAGTGCTGGGATTACAGGCGTGAGCCACCGTGCCCGGCCCACTGTGCCCCTTCTAATCTCATCACTTCCTGCCTGCTTAAGATCCCCAACCCCCCATCTGACCAAGTCCGACTCCTCAGAACTGTGCACAAGGCCCCATATGACTTGCCTTTTCTACCTTCCTAGCTCCTTCACAGCCGTTATTCTCCCACCCCAGCCTGTGTCGCAGCCTGCAGGTCTCACTGCAGCCCCAGAAAGCCAGGCTGTGACTCTTGACATCTCTTTATCTTTGCACATGCTCCTCTGCCTGCTAGGAAATACTTCCTTCTCCCCTGTCTTCTCAGTTGTACCATCTCCCAGGCGGCAGTCAGTGGTTTCCTTCTCTCTGCCTCTCCTGTTCTGTGTATTGCTCTCACCTCATGGCTCTACTTATTTGCTCATTTGTCGCTATCCAGACTAGACAGGGAGCTCCTGCTCCCAGCACTTATGCTGGTCCTGATGCTCAGTAAATGCTCAAAGAATTATGGGACGAATGAACAAAGGGAAGGTTATAACCTCCATCCCTTCTGAAGCTCCTCCTTGGCTCTTGGAGCCTACTCCTGGTGCCTTTGCTAGCAGGCATTGGAGCTAGCTGCTCACGGGAAGAAAGTCTTGAAGTGGATTATCCAGGAGGAAAGGAGAAGGATTCACTAGCAGTGAGGTACATGAGTGCATGAGAACCCACAGCTGTGAGATTCAAGAAGGAGACTAAAATGGAACCAGAAGCAAGGGAAAAAAACACCATGGCTTCACATCCATGTTCATAGTGGCATATTCACAACAGCCAAGAGGTGGAAGCAACTCAAGTGTCCTTTGATGGATGAATGGATAAATAAAATGTGGTATATACATAGGATGGAGTATCATTCAGCCTTAAAAAGGACTCACTGGACTCCTTCCTTCCATTTTCTCCCCTTCAAATGGTTCTCTCCCCTTTGCCCTCCACTGTGGTCTTTCTAATCTCATCACTCCCTGCCTGCTTAAGATCCCCCACCACCCATCTGACCAAGTCCGACTCCTAAGAACTGACACATACTACAACTTGGATGAACCTTGAAGACATTATGCTAAGTGAAGTAAGCCAGTCACAAAAAGACAAATACTGTGTGATTCCACTTATATGATGGACCTAGAGTAGTGAAATCCACAGAGACAGAAAGTGGAATGGTGGGTGCCAGGAGCTAAGGGAGGGAGCAATGGGGAGTTGTTTTATGGGTTTTGAGTTGCGATTGTCAAGATGAAAAAATTCTGGAGATTGGTTGCACAACAATATGAATATACTTAACACGACCAAACTGTACACTTAGAAATGGTCAAGGTGGTAGGCCGGGCATGGTGGCTCATGTCTGTAATCCCAGCACTTTGGAAGGCCAAGGCAGGTGAATCGCCTGAGGTCAGGAGTTCAAGACCAGCCTGGCCAATGTGGTGAAACCCCATCTCTACTAAAAAAATACAAAAATTAGCCAGGCGCGGTGGCACACGCCTGTAATCCCAGTTACTCAGGAGGCTGAGGCAGAAGAATCACTTGAACCCAGGAGGCAGAGGTTGCGGTGAGCCGAGATCCCATTTACAATGGCATAAAAAATTACCTAGGAATAAATTTAACCAAAGAGGTGAAAGATCTGCACACAGAAATCTACACACACATTGATGAAAGAAATTGAGCAAGACACAGATAAATGAAAAGGTATCCCATGCTTATGGACTGGAAGAATTTATATGGTTACAGTGTTCATACTGCCCAAAGTGATCTACAGGCTCAATGCAATCCCTATAAAATTCCAACGACATTTTCCACAGAAATAGAAAAAACAATGCTGAAATTCATATGGAACTGCAAAAGACCATGAACAGCCAAAGCAATCTTGAGCAAAAATAACAAAACTGGAAGCATCACACTACTTACTCACAAAATCTACTACAAAGCTATAGTAATCAAAACAGTATGATACTGGCATAGAGGCAGACACATAGACTAATGGAACAGAATAGAAAGCCTAGAAATAAACCCAAGGATATACCATCAACTAACTTTTCAACAAGGGGGCCAAGAAGACATTAAGGGGAAAGGATAGTCTTTTCAATAAATGGTGTTGGGGTTTTGGAAAAATTAAATATCCACATGAAAAAGAATGAAATTGATCCCTATCTTCCACCATATGCAAAAATCAACACAAAATGGATTAAAGACCAAATATAAGACCGGAAACCATAAAACTCCTAGAAGAAATCCCAGGGGGAAAACTCCTTGACCTTGGTCTTGGCAATGATTTATTAGCTAGGACACCAAATGCAAAAATAAACACGTGGGACCACATCAAGCTAAAAAGCTTCTGCACAATAAAGGAAACAATCAACACAATGAAAAAGCAGCCTACAGATTGCGAGAAAATATTCTCAAAGCTTATATCTGATAAGGGGTTAATATTCAAATATATAAGGAACTTATACAACTCAACTGAAAAAAGCAAATAACTCAGTTAAAAAGTGGGCAAAGGACCTGGATAGACATTTCTCCAAGAAAGACATAAAAATGGCCAACAGGCCTGGCATGGTGCTCACGCCTATAATCCCAGCACTTTGGGAGGCCAAGGTGGGCGGATCACCTGGGGTCAGGAGTTCGAGACCAGCCTGGCCAACATGGTGAAACCCTGTCTCTACTAAAAACACAAATATTAGCCAGGTGTGGTGGCGTGTGCCTGTAATCCCAGCTACTAGGGAGGCTGAAGCAGGAGAATTGCTTGAACCGGGGAGGCGGAGGTTGCAGTGAGCTGAGATTGCACCACTGCACTCCAGCCTGGGCAACAGAGCAAGACTCCATCTCAAGAAAAAAAAAAAAAGGCCAACAGCTATATGGAAAGGTGCCCAACATCACTAATTGTCAGAGAAATGCAAATCAAAACCACAACAAGATACCATCTCACACCTGTTAGGGTGGTTTCTAATAAAAAGACAAGAAATAACAAGTGTTTGGAGAGGGTGTGGAGAAAAGGAAACCCATCTGCACTATTGGTGGGAATGTAGATTGGTGCAGGCATTATGGAAAAGAGCATGAAGGTTCCTAAAGAAATTAAAAATAGAGCTACTATATGACCCAGCAATCCCTCTTCTGGGTATAGACCTAAAGGAAATAATTCTCCATTTCCTGAAAATACCAACTGTGTGTCCTACAATTTATCTAAATTTTTATGTCTTTCTTGGAGAAATGTCTATTCAGGTCCTTTGCCCTCTTTTTAACTGAGTTATTTGCTTTTTACAGTTGAGTTGTATAAGTTCCTTGCATATTTGAATATTAACCCCTTATCAGATATAAGGTTTGAGAATATTTTCTTGCAATTAATCTCTGATGATGTCCTTTGATTGTTTATGCTGAAAACTTACACTGACTACCTGGAGTTAGTACAGATACCACAGGCTAAGGGCCCAGTCCCACAAGACTACCCCCCAGCCCCTCATCAGATGCCAATCGCAAGCCTGGGCCTCTGACTGACCACCTATAAATCAGGGGTTCTTCTTGGGTTCCAGAATTTGCAAGACTGGCTTACAGAACTCAGGAAAACAGTTTACTTACAAGATTATTAGTTATTATAAAAGGACACAACTCAGGAGGAGCCGAATGTTAGAGATGCACACGGCAAGGTTTGGGGACGGGGCATGGAGCTCCCATGCCCTTGCTGGGGGTTCTACTCTCTCTTTTTTTTTTTTTTTGAGATGGAGTCTCACTCTGTCCCCCAGACTGGAGGGCAATGGCGCGATTTTGGCTCATTGCAACCTCTGCCTCCTGGATTCGAGCAATTCTCTGTCTCAGCTTCCCGAGTAGCTGGGATTACAGGCGCCTGCCACCATGCCCAGCTAATTTTTTGTATTTTTAGTAGATATGGGTTTTCACCATGTTGGCCAGGCTGGTCTTGAACTTCTGACTTCAGGTGATCCACCTGCCTTGGCCTCCCAAAATACAGGGATGTGAGTCGCTGCCACTGGCCTAAAGGTTCTACCCACTGAGCATCTCCATGGAGTCCTTGAGCTGAAAGGTCTCTGAGCCCCATTGTTGAGGGCTTTTATGGAGGTCTCATGATATAGGCATGGTTGATTAAGTCATTGACCATTGGTGATGGACCCAACAACCTCCAGCCTCTCTCTCCAGCTTGGGGAGATAGGGGGTGGGTGTGAGGTTTAAGTTCCAGCCCTCTAGTCACATGATCCATTCCCTTGACAACCAGCCCCCCATCATTAGGGGCTTTCCAAAATTCATTCATCTACGTAAACTCAGGTGTGGTTAAAAGGAGCTAATTTTAATGAATAACAAAAGACGTTCCTTTCATCTTCATCATTCTGGAGCTATTTCAGGAGCCCAGGACAAAATCTAAATATTATAACAAAAGATGTTCTGATTGCACTTATAACTTAGGAAATTACAAAGGTTTTAGGATCTCTGGCCAGGAGCCAAATGAAGACAAAAATATATATTTCTTATTATATTACAATACCTCAACACCATTTTTATTAGCCAAAAAACTAAATAATACAGTTATTTAAAAGTATATGTGTAACATATTTGTATAAATACAAATCTCTACATAGCATTTACCACTGAAAGGGACAGGGCTAGGACAGAGGAGAAAAACATAAGTAGATCCAAGTTATTTGTAGGATTCTAGTTCTGTGGGGTGTAATGCACTATATTATTCTCCTTTTACAACCTACATAAGTGTTACACATATTATTTTGAGTATGTCAAATATATTAAAGAATTTAAAGGTAAAAATGGACTATTAAGGCCTTTTTTCCAAGAAAGTGTTTCTTCCAGAAATTTTAGGATTAAATGAGACCACAGATGTTGGCAGCAAGGAATCAGCTAATAATAGCATTATAGGAAATTTAAAAATATAGATTGGTGGGCATTTAGAGTCAGAAATACCTCACAGGGGCATAGAGGAAGCAGTAATACCTGGTAAAAACTTGAACACAGAGAGAGGGAGAAGTTAGTCAAGAACAACAGTAAGGGCCGGGTGCGGTGGCTCACGCCTGTAATCCCAGCACTTTGCGGGGCTGAGGCAGGCAGATCACCTGAGGTCAGGAGTTCAAGACCAGCCTGGCCAACATGTTGAAACCCCCATCTCTACTAAAAATACAAAAATTAACTGGGTGTGGTGGCACACACCTGTAGTCCCAGCTACTTGGGAGGTTGAGGCAGGAGAATCGCTTGAACCTGGGAAGTGGAGGTTGCAGTAAGCCAAGATCATGCCACTGCACTCCAGCCTGGGCAACAAGAGTGAAACTCCTTCTCAAGAAAGAAAAAAAAGAACAACAGTAAGATCAATAGCTCCGCATCCACTCTTTCTTCCTTTGTCTGCTCATGGCGATTGGTTCAAACAATGCTGCCAGAGCCAACTTCTAAAAGTATATCTCTGATGATGTCCTTTGACTGTTTATGCCGAAACCTTACAAGGTGGAAGAGGCCTGGATCCCTGGGTCACTGGAAGCGAGCTGCCTAGGAAAACCACCCAAGCCTCACTGGACTGTGATATGACCAAGAAATAAACCTTTACTGGGTTAAGCCACTGAGTGGCTGTAACAGTTACATTAATTGCCCTGACAAATGCAGAAGGCTTGGCAAGGCTATGTAACTTGACTTAGGTCTCAGTGTTTGGTGGTAGTGTGTGCCCTAGAACCTCAATCCAGTTGACATTAAAGACTGTGCCCTTAAACATAATGTCTCCACTTAGACAAGAGTGGGAAAAGGTATTGCGAGAATCAGGAACTCAAACAATTTGGCAAGAGAGAGAAGACAAGTCTGGGCCATGGTGAACAAGAAATTAAGGAATCTAGATTCTGAGTCTGCTTGAGGAGCCGGCCCATGAGGAGCCAGGACAAGGGGATTAGAGAGAGAAGGTTCTTAAGGAGAGAAGAAACCTATGGGCTCCATGAAAGAAGAAAAACAAAATGAAAAAAATAAAAAGGGAGTGGCCAGGCACGGTGGCTCACGCCTGTAATCCCAGCACTTTGGAAGGCGGGTGGATCACCTGAGGTCAGGAGTTCGAGACCAGCCTGGCCAACATGGCGAAACCTCACCTCTACTAAAAATACAAAAAATTAGCCAGGTGTGGTGGTGCACGCCTGTAATCCTAGCCACTCTGGAGAGTCGCTTGAACCTGGGAAGTGGAGGCTGCAGTGAGGCGAGATTGCGCCATTGCACTCCAGCCTGTGTGACAGAGTGAGACTATTTCAAAAAAAAAGAGAGTGATCAACATCAGGTGAGTTTCAGGTGTGCAAGACCAGTTGCAGCATCTGAAAGACGTGGCCCTCTTGGAGGAAAACAAGAGGGTGGACAGTCAGGGGAGGAGAATGTCAACTACAGAGGAAGACGCATGCGTCTAATATGTTTGACGCTTCTAGAATGGGCCAAGGGAGAGTGTGGGTTGGGCTCTGGAAGGATTTGGAAGGGAGAACACATTAACAATGCTTGTGCAGTAAAAAAAAAAATCGGCAAACAAGGAAGTTTCTGTGGTCTGGCACAGGCCAGCCCCTCCCTGTGGGTGAGTGGGGACGTAATGGCTATGGAGATGGCAGAGGCCGGAACTTCCTCCAGTGGCGTGGCTGCTCGGCGGACAGACAGAAGCACACACAGTGGGTGGGGGTGAGTCGAGGGAGCTCACTGGGTCTTAGGGAGGCCAAAGGTGCCTGTCCAGAAGAGAGATTAGGGTAGAAATCACAGACCAACACATCTGCTGAGAAAAAGGGGCCAGAGAAAGAAGCAAGAGTCTCTAAGTAGGGGAGGAATTCACAGCCCAGGTAACTTAAAAGGTTGACAGAACCCCGGGTGACACATGTGAGTTGCATGAGTTAGCACAGTGTCCGCCCCAATAAATTTTTTTTTTTTTTTTGAGATGGAGTCTCTCTTTGTCGCCCAGGCTGGAGCGCATTGGCATGATCTCGGCTCACTGCAACCTCCGCCTCCTGGGTTCAAGCAATTCTCCTGCCTCAGCCTCCCAAGTAGCTGGGATTACAGGCACACGCCACTGCGCCTGGCTAATTTTTGTAATTTTAGTAGAGATGGGGTTTCACCATCTTGGTCAGGCTGGTCTCCAGCCCTTGACCCTAAGGTGATCCACCCACCTCGGCCTCCCAAAGTGCTGGGATTACAGGTGTCAGCCACTGCGCCTGGTCCACCCCAAGAAATATTAAATGGTAGTTCCTTCTGCAAGAGCATCAACATCGAACTATGTTCCAGGGAACCCTGGGGTTTGGAGGAGGTACCCTGGGGACTGGGCAGGTAGAGGAAAGTAGGAAGCTCATGTCTCAGGGAAACTCTTCTACTCATTGGAGAACCGTGAAGGGGTCCAGTTGAAAGGAATGATCTATGGCTAACCACTAAAAAATTGGAAAGTCAATGCCCTTGAGGGAAGGACAATTTAAATATATTTAAATACACACACACACACACACACACACACACACACACACATAAACAGTGAGGAACATTATCATAAAAGCACTTGATTTGAATATATTCATGAAGGACGTCTACGGCCATACCACCCTGAATGCACCTGATCTCGTCTTATATCCATGAAGGTTCGGACTTATTTTGCTAAGGTACCATTCCACAAGCCTGATAAAAAGAATCAGGTGCTGGGCACACAGTAGGCACTCAACAATTAAGTGCTTAATGAATGAATTCATGGTCTGAAATGGACAGCCTGGAACATGACATAATGCAAACATCCCACATCTCTGGCTTTAGAATGTGTTATTTTGTAGGGGTGCCTGATCTGTGAGATCGAATCTATGCTGAGAAAGGATGCTCCAAGGGCATTAGGAAGCAGTGAAGCTGCCATCCTTCTGTCTGGTTCCTGGATCAGCTCTTCCCAGCCACTCACTAGGGGCTTGGAATAAATCCATCTTTCCCCTGACTGCCTGGGAGTGGAGTACTCCAGTCTAAAGGAGTGGCTTGCTGGAGCTACTCTGGCGGGTCTTCATGAATGAAGAGTAAACACAGCAAGTCAAGAAGTCTATTGAGCTTTAAGAGAATGTTTTAAGTGCCTGTCTATACCAAATGCCAGAAACGTCAAGTCTGTCTTTGTGAAGGGCAAGTTTAGCTCAACCAGTATAGCAGGAATAGTCACTGCTGCACATTCGGGCGCCAGACAGGCCACCCACATTCAAATCAGGGCTTAATAAATAGACCATTTGCAAAGGTGGGAATGGGATGAGGACATGGCACACCCAAAGGATGGTGCAGAACCCCAGGGGTAGGAATGGCAGGGAGGGCCGGGCGTGGTGGCTCATCCCTGTAATCCCAACATTTTGGGAGGCTGAGGTGAGAGGATTGCTTGAACTCAGGAGTTCAAGATCAGCCTGGGCAACAAAACTAGACCTCGTCTCTACTGAAAACAAAATTAAAAGTAGCTGGGCATGATGGTGTGCGCCTGTAGTCCCAGCTACTTGGGTGGCTGAGACAGGAGGATCGCTTGAGTTGGAAGATTGAGGCTGCAGTGAGCTATGATCGTGCCATTGCACTCCAGCCTGGGCAACAACAAGACTCTGTCTCCAAAAAAAAAAAAAAAAAAAAAGGGAATAACACTGGGATGTGACCACCCCCAAACCCTGAAGGGGGCAGGACAGTGGTTCCAGAACACAAGAGGGTGAAGTTCCGTGAACAGGGCTGCTGAATGGAGCAGGACCCTTCAGAGGAGAGTGGCAATGCTTCTGCTGTGCTGTGTTCATTGTTTGTGCCTGGATCTCCCATTGGGCTGACAGCTGCTGGGGTTCGAGGCATGTGGGTCTCATGGATTAACACAGTGTCCGACTCAATAAATATTAAATGGTAGTTCCTTCTGCAAGAGCACCAACATCAAATTATGTTCCAGGGAGCCCTGGGCTTCCGAGGAGGTACCCCAGGGACTGGGCAGGTAGGGGAAGGCAGGAAGCTCATGTCTCAGGGAAACTCTTCTACTCATTGGAGAACCGTGAAGGGGTTCAGTTCTTCTGTGAAGAGGGTGAGCTCACTACTGTTTGCCCAGCACTTGGTATCTGATAAACTCACTGAGACTCAGTTTCCCTCCTGTGTAGCATGAGGAATATCTTTTTTCACTGTATCTCTATGAGGTCTGTACGAGGCAACTGCAGAAGGTAAGCCCACAAAAACATTTGCTGTTCTCCTCAGCTGTCTCTAAGCTTGTGTGAAAAATCTGTGTTTAAGGTCCCGGAAGACCATCTGTGGCAGCTGTGGGCAGCAGAACAGAGCAGCGGCAAAAAGTGTGACCTTGCTAAGCCTCAGTTTCCTCACTCGGACAAAGAAACTCCTGGGAGCTGGCTCCTGGGATGATGTGATTGTTAAAAAGGCAGTGGTGTGGGCAGTGGGAACAATGCCAGCGCCCTCGCATGTGAATCAGCATTATCATCATCAGGGCACCTAACGTCAGGTAGGAAATGGTACTTTAGGAAAAGGCCTTTGGGACTTCGTCAATTTAGAGTCTAAATTACATGCTCTCTTTGCTCCCTTGAAGTGAAAACAAGCATCTATGGTACAGCGTGGTATGAACTAAATATTCAGGCCCCAAATCTGCATATAGGAAATAAAAAAAGATTGGCAGGAGAATCACCAAGATGGTATTTTTGGCTGGTTGAAAAAAGGTGTTTTATTCTCCCTTATCGATTTTAAGGTACGTTTCAAGCTTTTGTGACTTAACAATGCTTTGAAATGAAAGTATCGAATGATCTTTCTTTAAAAGGAGAATGAAATTTATGTCTAAATAGAAGACAGTTTTTGAACAGTGAGAGTCTTAGAGGCATTTTTTTCAGAATATTTTAATAAACTCTTTTTTTAATATAACTTAATTTGTCCCAGAGGTCATGAAAAGTTTATCTAGGAGTAAAGACATATCCTTTAACTTTTCTTCTAGTTTTTTTTTTTTTCTTGTGGCTGCACGGGGTTGACTGAGGATATTTTTGTTGTCTTTAAGAGCTTTGTTTTATTTGGGGTTTTGAGCTGAGCACATTTACCAGTCAAAAAAAAAAAAAAAAGGTTCTGTTTCTTCTCTACTAAACCACAATCCTTATATGTAAGTGGCCTAAAACTAGCCCCTTCTTCACTGAATTCCTCTCCCTAAGTAGAAAAAACCTTAAGTTTCAAAAGAACATAGAATGGAATATATGATTTCTGTATAAGCTACCTGCATTGGGAACAAATAGTCTGAATTGTGAAATTTATCTTAGAAGTCTAACGTTTCCAAACATAAGTAGTATCGTTTTTTCCTGTTACAAAGTAAATACATGTTCACATTTTAGAAGTACAGAGAGGCCCAAAACTGGGGGAAAAAGCCCTAGTAAATCCCACCATCAAGAAAAAAAGCTATTAACCTTTAAAGAATATCTTCCTAGTCACTTTTCTGTGTGTAAATGTTCTTCCCTCTCAATGGAATCATACATAATTTTATTTTATTTTTATTTATTTTTTTTTTTTTGAGACGGCACTTGCTCTGTTGCCCAGGCTGGTGTGCAGTGGCACGATCTCAGCACACTGCGACCTCTGCCTCCCGGGTTCAAGTTATTCTCCTGCCTCAGCCTCCTGAGTAGCTGGGATTACAGGCATCTGCCACCATGACCAGCTAATTTTTGTATTTTTAGTAGAGACGAGGTTTCACCATGTTAGCCAGGCTGGTCTCAAACTCCTGACCTCAGGTGATCCACCCATCTTGGCTTCCCAAAGTGCTGGGATTATAGGCGTGAGCCACTGTGTCCGGCAAAAAAAGTTTTTTGAGACAAGGTCTTGCTCTATTGCCCAGGCTAGAGTGCAGTGGCGCAGACACGGTTCACTGCAGCCTTGACTCCCTGGCCTTAAGCAATCCTCCCACGTTAGCCTCCCGAGTAGCTGGGACTATGCTATCCATGGCTCTGTCACCTAGCCTGGGACATGCCACCACATCCAGCTAATTTTTGTATTGTTTGTAGAGATGGGGTTTTGCCATGTTGCTCAGGCTGGAATCACATACATACTACTTTGTATGCTACACTTTCCCATTTACTAGTATATTTGTGAACATTTTAAATAAGCAATATTTTAAAGAGTTGTATTGTCTTTCATTTTATGAATGTACCAACTCGGTACCTTTTTTTTTTTTTTAAGAGACAGGGCCTTGCTCTGTCAACCAGGCTGGAATGTAGTGGCACGATTATTGCTCACCACAGCCTCCAACTCCTGGGCTCAAGTGATCCTCCCACCTTAGCCTCCTGTGTAAGAATCCAACCCTATTTATAATACTCTTTTGTCAGACATTCAGATGATTTCTATTTTTTAATATTATAAGCAGTGCTATGTAGAATAATCTTACAGCTGAACATTTGCAAACAAGTATGATATTTCCATAGGAATTATTGGAAGTAGGTTGCTTTGTTAAAGGGTATTCCAAACATCAAGGCTTTTAATACATACTGCCAAACTTATCCAGAAAAAGTTTACCAAGGCATGCAGCTGCAAAAATTCTATGAGAGCACCCTGGGAAACCTATATTTTCTTAGTTTTAAGGATATATGCCTGACCATATTCCTTAAGGCTAACAGAAGAAGAAAAAAAAAAAAGAGTAGCTGGGACTACAGGTATGTGCCACCATGCCTGGCTAAATTTTTAAATTTTTTTTGTAGATATAGGGGTCTCACTATGTTGCCCAGGCTGGTCTTGAACTCCTGGCCTCAAGTGATCCTCCCACCTTGGCCTCCCAAAGTGCTGGGATCACAGGAAAGAACCACTGCACTGGGTTGCTTTTGCACTTTTCAGTTACTCTGGGAGTGCAAGAATTTATTTTAGTGAGAGTGAAAGAACCCACAGGAAGAGGCCCAAGACAACTCAGGTCTGATTCAGGTCTGACTGTATCTTTGTTGACACTGAGCTCTGAATGGTTCGCAGGATTCTGTTGTTGTTGTTGTTGTTAGTGGTTATTTCCCTCCAAGGCTGATTTTATTTGCACCTTCTGCTGCTTCTTTTTTCTGGGGGGTTGGGGAGGGCAGGGACAGAGTCTTGCTCTGTTGCCCAGGCTGGAGTGCAGTGGCACGATCTCAGCTCACTGCAATCTCCGCCTCCCAGGTTCAAGTGATTCTCCTGCCTCAGCCTCCCGAGTAGCTAGGATTACAGACATGCGCCACCATGCCCAGTTAAATTTTTTATATTTTTAGTAGAGATGGGGTTTCCCCATGTTGACCAAGCTGGTCTCGAACTCCTGACCTCAAGCAATCCACTCGCCTCAGCCTCCCAAAGTGTTGGGATTACAGGCGTGAGCCACCGCTCCCAGCCTGCACCTTCTGTTTCTGGCAAACTGCCCTCCACCCCCAATACATGTGATAACAAGATATTCAACCATTTACATTTTTACTTTTTGGCTATTACTTAACAGTGAAACTGAAGTTAATTACTCCTTCCAACCTGTGTTTATTTAGATAATAAGGCTGGCTGCTTAAGTGCCGCTGTCTTGGCAGTGGGAACCTCTGGCACCTCGATCTTTGGCTGAAAAGTCCAGGCCTGCCCACACTTGGCCTCGGAGTGGCCTTAGCCCAGCCTTTGAGGCCTATTGTGTGGTTTTTCTCATCTTCTTATTAAGGAAATAGCAGAATCCCTGGAGCTCACCCGGAAAATGTAAACCACAGCGGGAAATTATGCACCACAGTGGATGCCCAGACAGGGGGCACATTCTGAAGCCTGGCGGCCTCAGGCCCAGCCTTCGGGAAAAGCTCACTCCTGTCTCATGTGAAAATGCTGTTTTGCTGGTGTTCATTGGTCACCAGTGATGGTCACTTTCATGTCTTCCTTTCAGTTTCTCTTCTGCCGGATGAGGCATAAATTCTGATGGACCCCACCTGCTGTAAGATCTTTCAGAAAAGACTTTGGGTCAGTCTCCTTCAAGATTAGACATCAGGCTGGGCACGGTGGCTCATGCCTGAAATCCCAGCACTTTGGGAGGCCGAGGCAGGAGGATCACCTGAGGTCAGGAGTTCGAGACCAGCCTGACCAACATGGTGAAACCCCGTCTTTACTAAAAATACAAAAATATTAGTGGGACTTGGTGGTGCGTGCCTGTAGTCCCAACTACTTGGGAGGCTGAGGCAGGAGAATTGCTTGAACCTGGGAGGCGGAGGTTGCAGTGAGCTGAGATCGAGCCACTGCACTCCAGCCTGGGCGACAGAGTGAGACGTGGTCTCAAAAAATATATATATATATAAAACTTAATTATCTCTTTAAAGACCCTATCCCCAAATAAGGTCACGTTCTGAGGTACCGGGAGTTAGGACTTCAGTATATGAATTTGGGGAGGACATAAGTTAGCTCATAACAGCCTTCAAAAGGGTCCCCAGTGAGGCTCATCTCTTGGAATTCGTGCGTTTGTGCAGCCTCCTCCCACCGTGAACCAGAGCTTGTGTGGGGGACCAATAATGTATGGTGGCGGTGACAGCATATGGCGGAGGGGACAGCGTATGGCAGAGGTGAGGGTGAGTGAGAGCGTATGGGGGAGGTGAGAGCGTATGGCGGAGGTGAGGGCGTACGGGGGAGGGGAGGGCGTACGGGGGAGGGGAGGGGAGGGCGTACGGGGGAGGTGAGGGCGTACGGGGGAGGGGAGGGCGTACGGGGGAGGGGAGGGGAGGGCGTACGGGGGAGGGGAGGGCGTACGGGGGAGGGGAGGGCGTACGGGGGAGGGGAGGGGAGGGCGTACGGGGGAGGTGAGGGCGTACGGGGGAGGTGAGAGCGTATGGCTCCACCAGTTCTTTTGCATCACTTTCTCTGGGGGAAGCCAGCTGCCGTGTTGTAAGGACACATAAGAGACTCATGTGGGGAGAAACTCACGTTTCCCACCAACAATCAGCACCAAACCACCCACCCATGAGCCAGTCCCCTTGCAAGTCCAGCCCTCAGGGGACTGCAGCCCCAGCCACCATCCGGGCTGCAACTTCCTGAAACCCCGTGAGACTGAGCAAGAACTGCCAGACTACACTATCCCTGAATTCCTGTCCCACAGTAATAAACATTTTGTTTTAAGCCATTAAACTTGGAGGTATTTTACTAGAAAACGAATTCACATTTTGATATTTGAAGTGGGTTGCCGGGGTAATGAAATCCTCAAACTGTGGGGGTGGCTTTGGGATCAGGCAGTGAGCACGAGTTGGGGGGACCTTGAGGGGTATGTTAGAGAAAATGTAAGGGCCTTGAAGAGAAACCTGGTATCTGTCATCTTGATGTGCTAAAGCCAAGTGCGTCTTCAGGGCAGAGCTTCCCAGCTCACCTGTGAGTGGACACAGACTTGCTGGGATGTGTCCCCTCAGGCCCCACCTGTCCCCAGGCCATTGATGCCAGCATTCAGTGGCATCTCTCTTTACCCCCTTTCCATATGGATGTAACTGTCTATGTGCTTGATGATGGGGCGGTTGGGAAGCTCTGTTCAATAGCAGAGTGGGGTGTGTGGCCGACACTGACCTCCTCCGTGCCTGCCCTGATGCAGTTCAGTTGGGACCAGCTTAGGGCTTCATATACAGAACACTGCAGCACTGCTCTCCCTCCTCTGCACCCAGAGCTCGGAGGCTTTCTTGACGCAGATGGGGGGACCCTCAAGTCTATGGAAATGCTCAGGAGTGTGTGTCCCACTGCGGTGCAGGATACGGGAGTACTGGCAGCCAGGCCTCGGGCAGCCCTGGGGGTGCTTATGGGGCAGGATGGAGTCACACCGATAACTTGGGGGGATCACACACATGCCCCTACTTCTCCACCCTCTTCCTCTTGAACTTATTATTATTATTATTATTTTGAGACGGAGTTTCACTCTTGTTGTCCAGGCTGGAGTGCAATGGCGCGATCTCGGCTCACCACAACCTCCACCTCCCAGGTTCATGCGATTCTCCGGCCTCAGCCTCCGGAGTGGCTGGGATTGCAGGCATGCGCCACCACATGTGGTTAATTTTGTATTTTTAGTAGAGACATGGTTTCACCATGTTGGCCAGGCTGGTCTCAAACTCCCGACCTCAGGCGATCCACCTGCCTCGGCCTCCCAAAGTGCTGGGATTCCAGTCGTGAGCCACCACGCCCGGCCCCTCTTGAACTTCCCTATATATGACATACACAGAATCAAAAAGGCAACCAGCCCTACATAACAAACCCAAACTGCCAAAAAACAAAACAAAACAAAACAAAAAACCCGAGGATAGGGGGATAATTACAGCAGAAAAAGCATGTCAAGGGTTACTATCCCTACTCTGCCAAGAACTCATAAAATAAATCAATAAAGATCCCAACAGGAAAAAAAAAAGAGGCAAAAGCTAGAGAGACAAGGTGTGCAAGTGCAAATACAATAACCACAAAAATATGAGGAAATGGCCAAGGTCATTCACAGTCAAAGAAAGGCAAAATAAAAACCACATCGAAGGACTATTTTATACCTCTTAAATTGGAAGCATGCAGAAAAATCATACATAAAGCTGCCAGCGTTGCAGGGAAACCACAGTTATACATTCCTGTTTATATAGATAGATAGATAGATAGATAGATAGATAGATAGATAGATAGATAGATAAAGTTTTTAGAAAGAACTCTGTGAAGAACTGTAAACATACTCATGCCATCTTTTGGTATAAAACTTCCGGGAATTTATTCCAAGGAAGTCAGCTGGAAGTCAGCCGGAAGAAAGGGAAAGCTACAAGCACAAGCTCATTATACATTATTTACAATACTTGAAAGTCAGAAAAAATGAAAAATATCTGGCCACCAGGGAACAGTTACGTAAATTATTTGATGTGTCTTTTTAACAAGATATTAGGAAGTGCTCGGCATTGTTAGGATTTTTTTTGGCCACGTGGAAAAACACACATGATATAAAGCAAAGGAAAATAAGGCAGTCTGCAAATGGATCTGCTTAGAACTGCCATTACGTAAAACAGTCCTCAGCTCATACTCGACTTGGAGAGAAATCCAAAAAAAAAAAAAAAAAAAGTAAGAACTTTTTAGCTGATGAGTAACATTTGTGGCTGAATCCTTTTCTCATTTCTGTTAAATATTATGATGGTGTTTGTGCAGAACAATAAAAATGATGATGATGATGATGATGATGATGATATTTTAGAAGAACTGGAAATGCTCTTTTACAGCATCTCAGCACTAAAGCCACACTAAGCTGCTATAAAATCCAAAGTGGTCCCTGACCATGGAGAGACACTGTGGACACTGGGTTTCACCGCGTGTGTTCCAAGGGGGTATCCAGTCTAAAGCAAATGGGGTTTTGCCAGACTTTAACTTATAGGCAAGAGGAAAAATACACAAATCATCCTCTCAAACCAGATGTTCCAGGACTCACCACAAAGCTCCCTTACAGAGGTCTGCAGTGAAACCAACCCCTCGCTCTCACATAATCATCCCACCAAACTCCTGCCAGCTTCTAGGGTTAAGGATAAAGACCCTTTTCCCCTTGAAAGCAGCGAGGCTGAGCTGCAGTAGTAAATGGGAGCACAGAGCAGAGATCACACATGCACTGGCAGCCTGTGGCCCAGGTGCGCCCTGGAGGCATGTTTTGTTTGGCTCACACAATGTTTTAGAAGTTGGAACATTTCACTTAGAAAAAAAGAAAATCCAGATTTCCAGCATCCCATGAGGTTGGAAGCTGTGACACCAGGCCTACATTCCCAGTCTGTAACCAGACGATTATCCATCCTCGGGAGCCGAGTGTGGGCACCTCACTTCAGAGGGGCTCTGATTCATTCCTGTGCCTCAAGATTCACGTGAGCACCCACTCTATGCCTGGCACTGCTTAAGTTGCTGGGAATTCCACAGACCAGTCCCTGCAGAGCTGCTTAGCTCCTGGGGAGATGAACCACACACACATACCATGGTCTATCTCCATGCTGTGGAGAAAGTCCAACAAAAGGGTCGCCAGAGAGGGACTGCAGGGACGAGGTGCCATGCTGGCCGGTGCCTGGAGAAACCTCTCTGAGATGACATCTGGGTCGATGTCTTGTGTGGCAAAGCCAGCCACACAAGATATGGGGTGAGCACAGTCCAGGTCAAAGGGACAGCTTGTGCAAAGGCCCAGGGGTATGAATAAAGGTGGAGTGCTCCAGAGGTAGTGAGGGAAGAGGCGTGTGCAGCAGGACCACAGCTGAAGACTGATGTATTCCAATTACAGTGTGCAGAGTGGAGGGCTTTAAGCGGAGGTGCGGTGTGCTCTGGTTTAATTTAAATAAAATCCTGGTCGGGCTCAGTGGCTCACGCCTGCAATCCCAGCACTTTAGGAGGCTGAGGCGGGAGGATCACTTGAGGCCAGGAGTTGAAGACCAGCCTGGGCAAAATAGCAAGACTTCATCTCCACCATGCCAGGCATGGTGGCATGCACCTGTAGTCCCAGCTACTCAGGAGGCTGAGGTGAGAGAATTGCTTGAGCCCATGAGTTGGAGGCTTGCAGTGAGCTATGATGAATACTTCACTGCATTCACGGCCACAGCCAAAATGCCAGAGCCCTTCTTGTCCTGTGCTCCGTGGCACAAAAAGGCTGAAAGACAAAAATCAAAGGGTCCTGAGGATGCCCTGTTCATCTGGCCCTCAGCCTCACATGGAAGGTTCAGCTCTGACCTCACCGTTCAGGACAGTGCTAAGGGCATTTTCTCCTTGGCTCAGATAGACCATACATGAAGGCTGCACTTGGTGCATCACTGCATTCCAGCCTGGATGACAGAGCGAGACCCTGTCTCCAACAATTTTTTTGAAATAAATAAATACAATCCCTCTGGCTGCTAAGCGAAGAGGGGAGGCAGCTTCGATGTCCAGGGGAGAGATGCCCGGAGGAGGCTGGGAGCAAAGTGGACAGATTAGAGAGGTGCCACCATGGGACCGCCCTGGGACTGTCTGCAAATTCTCTGCAGACGGCAAATGCTCTGCCCATGGGACTGAAGGGAGGGACGGATAGCGGGTAGGAGACGGGAGGTCAAAACAGTGTGCTTTTTCAGGTGGATGATATTAAAGCATGTTTGGACACGAGGGGTAAACTGATGATTCTCTGGGGAGAACAGGCCGAGTGCAGTTTAAAGCCTTCATGTACAGCTACAGTGGCCCGACAATGGTCCCTTTCCCTAAGGCAGTAGCAGGGAGAAGGGAGGAGAAGGTGGAGACATTTAAGAGAGAGAAGAGCACAGCATCCAACTGAACACACACAGGTGTTGTTGGAACACACGCAGGTGTTATTGGCTCCTGGGCCAAGAAGCAAATGATTTCATAGCATTCAATTAGATGGAGAAAATGCACCAGCTCAGAGAGCCAAAGGTTTGTATTTCCACACGCATGCGTGGTTCTGCCCTTAGCACTGACCTGAATGGTGAGGTCAGAGCTGAGCCTTCCATGTGAGGCTGAGGACCTGATGAACAGGGCACCCTCAGGGCCCTTTGATTTTTGTCTTTGAGCTTCTTTGTGCTGCAGAGCACAGGGCAAGAAGGGCTCTGGCATTTTGGCTATGGCCACAAATGCAGAGAAGAGTCTGGTCCTCACCCTTGCACGTACACCAAGGGCAATGGACGCAAGTGCTTGATTGTGAGGGAGAAGGGCGAGCAGGCTTTCACTCTGTGAGCTGGAGCTTTTTACCTTGAACAGCCAAGCAAGGGGCACAGAGCAGAGTCACAGACTTTTCTTCACAGTCCTTTCTACATCAGGGTTTCTGAGGGCGTTAACACTGCTGGCTGACCTCAGAATTCCTCCACTCTCCATGGAAACCTGTCTTTTAGGCCATGGGATCTGCTAACACTTTCTTTAATTACTTTTCCTTTTTTTTTTTCTTTTAAGAGACAGGGTCTTTCTCTGTGGCCCAGGCTGGAGTGCAGAGGTGCGATCATAGCTCACTGCAACCTCAAACTCCAGGCCTCAAGGGATCTTCCCATCTCAACCTCCAGAGTAGCAGGGATTACACAGGCATAAACCACTGCGTCTGGTATACTTTTCCTTTTTAAATCCAACTCTCAGCCGGGCGCAGTGGCTCACACCTGTAATCCCAGCACTTTGGGGAGGCCAAGGCGGGTGGATCACTTGAGGTCAAGAGTTCGAGACCAGCCTGGCCAACATGGTAAAACCCCATCTCTACTAAAAATACAAAAATTAGCTGGGTGTGGTGGCACATGCCTGTAGTCCCAGCTACTCAGGAGGTTGAGGCAGTAGAATCACCTGAACCCGGGAGGTGGAGGTTACAGTAAACGGAGATCACACCATTGCACTCCAGCGTGGGCGACAGAGCGAGAGTCTGTCTCAAAAATAAATAAATAAATAAATTAATTAATTAAATCCAACTTTCATCTACCATTCCTAGGAATGAAAGGCAGTGACCAAGTGAACACAAACCATTCGGCTTACAGATTTACCTGCTTGGCCAACTGAATTCTGCTGAAAAGAACAACTGACAGGGATGTTACTTACTGCTGCTTCTTAAAACACATGTGGCTAAGTTAGACTAGTAAGCCTGGGAAATGAGGTGCTTCTCTGCAATATTAAGAAATGGAGGCCGAGTGCGGTTGCTCACGCCTGTAATTCCAGTACTTTGGGAGGCTGAGGTGGGTGGATCACGAGGTCAGGAGATCGAGACCATCCTGGCTAACATAGTGAAACCCTGTCTCTACTAAAAATACAAAAAAATAGTGGGGCGTGGTGGCGGGCACCTGTAGTTCGAGTTACTCGGGAGGCTGAGGCAGGAGAATGGCATGAAACTGGGAGGCAGAGCTTGCAGTGAGCTGAGATCGCACCGCTGCACTCTAGCCTGGGGGACAGAGCAAGACTCCGTCTAAAAAAAAAAAAAGGAAATGGAGGCTGGGCGCAGTGGCTCACGCCTGTAATCCCAGCATTTTGGGAGGCCAGGGTGGGTGGATCACCTGAGGTCAGAAGTTCGAGACCAGCCTGACCAACATGGTGAAACCCTGTGTCTACTAAAACTACAAAAATTAGCTGGGCATGGTGGCATGCACATGTAATCCCAGCTACTTGGGAGGCTGAGGCAGGAGAATTGCTTGAACCCAGAGGTGGAGGTTGCAGTGAGCCGAGATCGTGCCACTGCACTCCAGCCTGGGTGACAGACGGAGACTCTGTCTCAAAAAAAAAAAAAGAAAAAAGAAAAAAAGGAGTGGGAGTAGGGGAACACAGAGCCCGTAAAGAAGACGTAGATCCACAATGCCTTGCACAATCCCTGTTCTGGAAAGGCATTCTTGAATATTATAAAGGTTAAGAATTAAAGAAAAAAAAAGTGAAGCCCCTTTTTGCAGGAAGAAGTTAAAACACCAAGGGTCCCTCATCCAGCTAAGGAACCATATAATACAGGGAGCCCCTGCAGGGTGTTAGGAAGGGTTAGTGACAGATTTGCCTTTAAGAAAGCTACCTGGGCCGGGTGCAGTGGCTCACGCCTGTAATCCCAGTACTGTGGGAGGCCAAGGCAGGCAGATCACCTGAGGTCAGGAGTTTGAGACCAGCCTGGCCAACACAGTGCAACCCCGTCTCTACTAAAAATACAAAAATCAGCCAGGCATGGTGGCGGGCGCCTGTAATCCCAGCTACTCCTGAGGCTGAGGCAGGAGAATCACCTGAACCCTAGAGACGGAGGTTGCAGTGAGCCGAGATCGCACCATTGCACTCCAGCCTGGGCAACAGAGGGAGACTCCATCTCAAAAAAAAAAAAGAAAGAAAAAGAAAAAGAAAGAAAGAAAGATAGCTGAGGCCACTGTGGGGAGAAAGGCAAGCCTGGGAGTAAGGAGATGGCTACAGTGGCCCAGCAATGGTCCCTTTCCCTAAGGCAGTAGCAGGGAGAAAGGAGGAGGGAGTGGAGACATTTAAGAGAGAGAAATGAACACACGCAGGTGTTATCAGAGAGGGAAGATGGGGTTCAGGAGCTCACAAGTCAACTTACTGGACCAGGACAGTGGGTAGTGTCATTAATGGACAATGGGGACCCACCTCACACGTGCCTCTCTGCCCCATTTGGCTGCTGAGCCTGTCAGGACAGGAATGCTCATGCCCAGATCGAGTTAAGGGCAGTGTATGCCCACACCAGCCTGCTTTTGCAGTCTGCCTGGGCTGCCCTCCAACAGACCCTCCACCATTCTCGACACAAGGGCCTTCCCGGAATACGGGGCTTCGCATTTGGGAGGCACGTGTTCCAAATGGCTTTTTTTGTTTTCTCTTGAGACTCACCTGAGTTAAAGTGCGCTTAGCTCACTTTTTGTTCATTTTCTTTTTTTCAGGTCCAAGGTATTACTTAGGCATGCATTTCTTTTTTAAATTAATGTTGAATTTCACCTGCGATCCACACATACATTGTAGCAATTTAACATATTAAGGAGCTCATTTTAGATTTTGATCAATAAGCGCAGGTCCTTGGGCTGTTTCACAGCTGGGTCTGTTCTCTCTGGTAATACAGCAGAGAGAGATCAAGCTTTTTCACCAGCACAGATTGGAGTGTGATGGTTAATTTCACATGTCAATTTGACTAGGCTATTGCTCCCAGTTGTCTGGCCAAACACCAGCCCAGATGTTGCTGTGAAAGTGTTAAGATGTGACTGATGTTGAAAGCAGTAGACTTTGAGTCAAGCAGATGAACTCCACCACGTGGATGGGCCTCATCTCATCAGATGAAGGCCTTAGAAGCGAAGACCGAGGTTTCCCTAAAAAGGAATCTTCCTCAAGGCTGCAACACAGAAGTTCTGCGTGAGTTTCCAGCCTGCTGTCCTGCAGAATTCAGATGTAAAACTGCAGCCTCAACTCTTTCCTGGGTCTCCAGCCTGCCGGCCTGCCTTACAGGTTTCAGACTTGCCAGCCCCTACCACCCTGTGAACTAATTCTTTAAAATCTCTCCATAGATACAAGCACCTGCGTATCCTATCGGTTCTGTTTCTCTGAATCATATAGGAGGGCTTGATGAGTGAAGCTCTTAGTCCTACCATGGCCATCACCTCTAAGAAGAATGACTTGCAGAGCCCTTCTTAGCACTGAATACCCAGCTACAGTCCAGCCTCAGGGCGTTGCGTCCACTCTTCTCTCTACCTGGACACTTGTCCCCAACTGGCTGCAGGCTCACTTTCTCACCTCCTCCAAGCCCAGCATGCCCATCACTCCCTAAAATTGCACCTCTTTGCAGGAACCCCTGGCCTTCTCCACCTGCCCTTCCCCATGGATTTTTCTCCTTAGCACTTATCCCATCTGCACCTGACATATGACATATGCACCCATTCATTATCTGATTTCTCACCACTTCCCCATCCACTGCTGGAACGTCAGCTCCACGAGGGTGTAGACTTTGTGTTGTGCCATTGATGACTCCCCCATGCTTAGAACAGGGCCCAGCATACAGCAGGTGCTCAATAACTACTCAGTGTGGAATGACGGAACAACTGAGGGATTCAGGAATGTGGAGGAGAAAGAGCCTGTGCATGGTGTGGCGGTTCCTCCCTGCCCTTGACTTTCCCTTTAATCCAGGCACTGCCCGCTGGCATAGCTTCCTTTCTTGGGGAGCCAGGGCCCTAATCCACTCAGACGGCGCCCTGTGTATAACCCTACTGTGATGGTTAATAGTGAGTGTCAACTTGATTGGATTGAAGGATACAAAGTATTTCCTGGGTGTGTCTGTGAGGGTGTTGCCAAAAGAGATTAACGTTTGAGTCAGTGGGCTGGGAAAGGCAGATTCACCCTTAATCTGGTGGGCACAATCTAATCAGTTGCCAGCAAATGTAAAGCAGGCAGAAAAATGTGAAAAGGAGAGACTGCCCTAGCCTCCAGGTCTACATCTTTCTCCCGTGCTGGATGCTTCCTGCCCCTGAACATCAGACTCCAAGTTCTTCAGTTTTGAGGCTTGAACTGGCTCTCCTTGCTCCTCAGCTTGCAGACAGTCTATAGTGGGACCTGTGATCGTGTAAATTAATACTTAATAAACTCCCCTTTATGTATATATATAAAGGGGAGTTGGGTACTATTCTTTATATATATATAAAGGGGAGCTGGGTACTATTCTTAGTGTTTATGTCTTAAGTTCTTGTTTTTTTGTTTGTTTTGTTTTTTTGTTTGTTTGTTTGTTTTTTGAGACAGGGTCTTGCTCTTGTCACCCAGGCTGGAGCGCAATAATGGCACGATCTCGGCTCACTGCAACCTTCACCTCCCGGGTTCAAGCAATTCTCCTGCCTCAGCCTCCCAAGTAGCTAGGATTACAGGTGCCCGCCACCATGCCTGGCTAATTTTTGTAGCTTTAGTAGAGACGGGGTTTCACATGTTGGCCAGGCTGGTCTTGAACTTCTGACCTCGTGATCCACCCACCTCAGCCTCCCAAAGTGCTAGGATTATAGGCGTGAGCCACTGCGCCCGGCCAGTTCTTGTTCTTTTACTTATTTATTTTTGGCAGATTACTGTTTACAAGCATTTATATATATATACATACACACACACACGGGAGTTTATTAAGTATTAACTTACACGATCACAAGATCGTGATTGTGTTAAGTATTGACTTTCACAATCATATAGGATATATATAGGATATATATATATATATTCTATTAATTCTGTCCCTCTAGAGAACCCTGGCTAATACACACACAAAAGCACATACCGAAAGGGGGGAGCCGCTCTGCCTTGGAGGAGCAGATGTCCCTTTCCTGGGTCCTCCTGCCGTAGGTCGCAGAGTAGATGTTGAGGAACTTGGATTCATGGCAGTGCAGTTTCAGCTCCTGGTCTTCACACACGGTTTTGTTTTTTAATTCATCTGAAGCAAAAACAAAAATTGAAGGCACCATCAGCTTCCCCCAGAAGGAATTGGTGAGCTCTGTCCAAGTCCCATTGCTCATTTCCCCGGGGCTGCACCCTGAGAAGGGGGCAGTGGGGATGGCCCTGTGGGCTCATGCTGTCTCTGACCCCAGAAAACAAAGCCCTCTGCAGGAAGCGGGTGGGAAGTAACCTGTTGACAAGCGCAAAGACCCTGGGAATTAAACTAAGGGGCAAATGGAGGAGAGGTGCTGGCGTTAAGGAAGCAGATGCATGGAGTTAGGTCCCAGGAAGGACCTGGCTAGAAAGGAAGTTTCTCTCACTCACCACTTAAGGTCACACATTCCTTCACTGAAGGGGGCCTTTTCTCAAATGTTGGCTTGAGATCCACATAGGTAAAGACAGACCAGAAATTACTTGAAAGAAGCATTAAGCTTCTTTCTCTCTCTGGAGAGAGCCCAGTTAAACCTCACCTCCAGCCCCTCAACTGGCATCCCCATGCATGTAGGTATTATTTGTTATTTTAGTTTAGTTTAGTTCTTTAGAGACAGGGTTTCACTCTGTTACCCAGGCTAGAGTGCAGTGGTGCAATCATAGCTCACTGCAGCCTCGAACTCTTGGGCTCAAACCTAGGCTCAAGCAATCCTCTTGCCTCAGTTTCTCAAGTACCTGGGAATATATGAATGCACACCATGTCTGGCTTACATTTATTTGTTTAAAAGACAAGAAAGAGGCCGGGCACAGTGGCTCACACCCGTAATCCCAGCATTTTGGGTGGGAGGCTGAGACAGGAGGTTCGCTTGAGCCCAGAAGTTGGAGACCAGCCTGGGAAACATAGCAAGACCTCATCTCTAATTTAAAAAAAAAAAAAAGCAAGAAAGATGGTATGATACCAAATCAAATCATTTCCTTTCCTAGGAAAGGGGCAAAAACAAGGCACAGTGTCAGTTAAGAATCCCTCTTTAGAGAAGCATGAAAAGTCTGCCCCAAATCTGGTAAATCCAGGAACAACTGACTGTCAAGCTGATGGTGCATTCTAGGTTAGGATGTTTTGGACCAGGTAGTGCTTTGTTCCCAAAGAATTCAGGGAAAAGTTTGTTTGTTTGTTTAATCTGCTTATCATAGTAAAATCTTTCTTTGCAATGTCGTACAAAGTTGGCATTATGCGTGCACTGTTGAAGAAAACACAGTTTATTTTTTTTTTTAAAGAATGTACTCCAAAACCATTTAATTAGTAAAAATGTTTAATAATGATTTGAATTTTTTTTTTTTTTTTTTGAGACGGAATCTCGCTCTGTCGCCCAGGCTGGAGTGCAGTGGCACGATCTCTGCTCACTGCAAGCTCTGCCTCCCAGGTTCATGCCATTCTCTTGCCTCAGCCTCCCAAGTAGCTGGGACTACAGGCACCCGCCACCACATCCGGCTAATTTTTTGAATTTTTAGTAGAGATGGGTTTCACCGTGTTAGCCAGGATGGTCTTGATCTCCTGACCTCGTGATCCACCCGCTTCAGCCTCCCAAAGTGCTGGGATTACAGGCGTGAGCCAAAGCGCCCGGCCAATGATTTGATTTTTTAAAGCAGTAAGAGCTAACACTGCAGACACAAAAGACTGCGTAGGTATGATTCCACTTATATGAAGGATTCAGAGGAGGCAAACCTTTAGAGGCAGAATGTAGATGAGTGGGTGCCTGAGGCTGAAGGTGAGGTCACAGAGTGACAGAAATGGACACAAGGAAGACTTCTGAGATGGTGGGAATGTCCCATGCTGGACTGTGGTCACGGTTGCACTACTCAGTAAATTCACTGAAAATCATGGGATTGTACACTTGGAAAATGTGAATTTTATGCTATGTAAATGATATCTTAATAAAGATATCTTTAAATAATGGTAGCTAACACGGCTGGGTGTGGTGGCTCACACCTGTAATCCCAGCACTTTGAGAGGCCAAGGCGGGCGGATCACCTGAGGTCAGGAGTTTGAGACCAGCCTGGCCAACATGGTGAAACCTCATCTCTACTAAAACTACAAAAATTAGCCAGGCGTGGTGTTGGGTGCCTGTAATCCCAGCTACTATATTTTGCTCAGCAAAATATAAAGGGGACCACGGTCATTTATTTGCATATGTGGTTCTTATCCTTGCCAACATTTTGTAAAGAAAATTCTTTTAAAAATGCTAGCTCTACCCTATCACCACTGTTCTGGAGTTTTCTACTTTGAAATGGCAACCACATAGCGGACAGGTGCATTTTTCAGCCAAACAAGCATTGGCGTTAACTGCAAACAAGAGTTAAATGGCAAGAACTGCTTGGGCTGTCATGGGCTGGCCTGGGGTGGGTGGGAAGACTGTCCAGAGAGAACCTCTTCCACCCCAGCCTCTCACTCCTCTCACGTGCTCATGTTCTTCCACTTTTCTTTCCTGGATTGGAAGTGCAGGCTGATTCCAGGTCCCAAACACACCTCAAGCCAGAGTTTTCCAAATTGTGATTTGAGGTTCATTCATGAGTCTTGAAATCATTAGTGAGTTGTAACCAGCAATTTTTGAAAATAAAGCATAGAGTAGTTTAGAAAACAACAAAGGGCATCACATGAAGAAAGTATAAACACTGTTTTGTAATTTAAACATTTCTTTTTCAGTTGTGTGTATATGAGTATGTGTTCCACTGGGCCAAAAAGTGAAAATCTTTTCCTACCATGGGCTGCAATCACAATTTGAAAACGCCCACCTTAATCCCTGCAGAAAGGCATGAGCTGTACACATTAGGGCCATGGCACCTGGCTGGATCTTCTTATCCTGGTGTCAGTGATGCTAAGCTCCAAACTTAAAAAATGAAAGACAATAATTTCCAAATATAAATGTCACCTTTTTGTTTTTTGAGACGGGGTCTCACTCTGTCACCCAGACTGGAGTGCGGGGGGTGCAATCTTGGCTCACTGCAACCTCCACCTCCCAGGCTCAAGCGATTCTCCTGCCTCAGCCTCCTGAGGAGCTGGGATTACAGGCATGCGCCACCATGCCTGGCTAATTTTTGTATTTTTAGTAGAGACAGGGTTTCACCATATTGACTAGGCTGGTCTTCAACTCCTGACCTCAAGTGATGCACCCACCTAGACCTCCCAAATTGCTGGGATTACAGGCGTGAGTCACCATGCCTGGCCTAAACGCCATCTTTCTGTACCTTGTAAATTTCCATGACTTTGTACCAAAAGCAGAGAAACAACAGTGAGACAAAATTTTGGACCACAAGAAGGAAAACTACAGAATCTCAAGAGGACCACCAGCTCTGCTGCTGGCAAACTTTGTTGCTATCCTTTCATCCATGAGGACGGGAACATTCAAGATGAATGAAAGGCTGGGAGCAGAAGCCAGCCTACAGATGCTCACAAAATCCCTATCCTGCCCTGGTAGTTTAACACGCAGGAAGAACCTCCACGAGGAAGAAAAATGAAAATGGTGACTAAGCAAATGTCTCGAAGGCCCTTTACCCACTCACTGGAATCTTAATTCAACAGCTTAAACTTAGAGCCAAGGCAAGTTTTGTTTTCTTTCTCTAGATAAAAGACTGCTAAGTCTGACCCGAACGTCAGAAGGTTCGATTCTTTTTGGTGAGTCATATCCGCACTGGCATTTATATGCAGTTTATGAGTAGATGCTAAATCCCACCAACAACAAAATTTTGCCTGACTTCAAAGGCCCAGAGTGAACGATGGCCTTTGATGCAGAAAAGAGGGCTTGGATAGAAACACCAAAAGAGCCAAAGTCCCCTTCCAACCATAAGAACTCAGAAAAATGTTAAGAATGCCTTCCCATGGCAGAGCTGGCACAGAAAGAGGATGGGAGAAGGCAGGACAAAAACAAGCTTTATCTCCACAAATTGGAAACTTTTTAAATGGAAGTCTTTTTTTTTTCTTTTTTTATAAATCAAAATATTTAAAAGTTACAAGAGGTTTTTTTTTTGTTTTGTTTTGTTTAAGGCATGTCATGAAACGCATTTATTAGCCACATCTCTTTGATTTATTAAAGCCCATTCATTAAAGGTAGCCTTGATGCCAACAAAACCCTCCCACAGTAACGCAACACCCACATGCAAGGCCTCCAGCGATTTCGTCCCCAGATTATGGGCAAACCATCTCCTGGAACGGAGGGGCCTGTGCGTGTCACATTACATCCTGGGGGTGACTGTTGTGTTATGTTGAGTCACTTGGTTCCTTGGGAATGTGCGAATTCACTGCCACATAAGAGTGACATTTCTGGATTATAAAAAATTAGGAAACTACTAACATCATTGCTACTTTTCTTAGAAGACTAGAATTTGTTTTAGAGCTGGGTTAGAGTTCTCAATTGGTCTCAGATTAGAGAAGGTGTGGGCAGCCTTCCAGAAGTGGGTTGCCAACTCTCCTGGGAGTTTAGATGGGGAGGATGGCAGGGGCCTGGGAAGGTAGAACCACGACTCTGCTTAAATGACAAGAGCAATGAAATCCCCGCCTCCTCATTTTATTAGGTTGGTGCAAAAGTAACTGTGATTTTTGCCATTAAAAGCAATGGGCAAAAACCGCGATTATTTTTGCACCAACCTACAAATGAGAGGGTTATGTGGGTCATTCTGCTTCTTTTCGATACAACAGTCACAAAAGCACATCACTGCCGAGACCAGCTCGGTCGGGGAGACCCTAAACCAGTGGCGCTAGAAGAATTAAAGACACACACACAGAAATATAGAGGTGTGGAGTGGGAAATCAGGGGTCTCACAGCCTCCAGAGCTGAGAGCCTCGAACAGAGATTTACCCACATAAATCATCACAGCAAGCCAGTGATAAGCATTGTTTCTATAGATTATAGATTAACTAAAACTATTCCTTATGGGAAATAAAGGGATGGGCCGAAGCAGAGGGATGGGCTCTGGCTAGTTACCTGCAGCAGGAGCACATCCTTAAGGCACAGATCACTCATGCTACTGTTTGTGGTTTAAGAACTCCTTTAAGTGGTTTTCCACTCTGGGTGGGCCAGGTGTTCCTTGCCCTCATTCCAGTAAACCCACAACCTTCCAGCATGGGCATCATGGCCATCACGAACATGTCACAGTGTGGCAGAGATTTTCTTTATGGCCAGTTTTGGGGCCAGTTTATGGCCAGATTTTGGGGTGCCTGTTCCCAACACATCACTAGCCACCTTTCAAAGGTGGGCAGAGGAAGGATCTGCCGCGATGGGAGTATTTTATTACTGACATTGCATACAATTGCCAGTGCATAGTGATGCTGAAATGTAGATAGTCACTTTTATTTATTTTTATTATTTCTTTATTTAGTAAATAAATCTCACCCTGTCATATAGGTTGGAGTGCAGTGGTGAGCTCATAGCTCACTGTAACCTCAAACTCCTGGGCTCAAGCAATCCTCCCACTTCAGCCTCCCAAGTGGCTAGGACTGCAGGTGCCTGCCATGATGCCCTGCTAATTGTTTTTTTTTTTTTTTTTTTTAGAGATAGGGGTCTCCCTATGTTACCCAGGCTAGTCTCTAATGACTGGCCTCAAATGATTCTCCTGCCTTGGCCTCCCAAAATGCTGAAATGACAGGCATGACTATATCCTTTAGTCATTCATATCTTTAGCAGAGTGATTTGAATCAGCTTATTGAAATAATAGCTACCAACTGCTGAGCTCAACTCCATGGTCCTGTGCTAGCGTGTTACATACAACACTGTGTTTTCACAGTCTTAAAACAGCCCTATGCAGAAGAGACATAATCCCATGTTACAACTGAGTCCTAGAAAGTGTCCCTACACTGCCCAACACACAGCAGATACGATATGCAGCAGAAAGGAATATGAACCCAGAACTGCCTAAATCCAAGCCTCGCTGAAACCTACATTTCCTGAAGGGATGCAATTTGGGAGGTGAGATTTTGAGGAAGGAAGCATAGTGCACATTAGGGAAAAGAAGGTTCCGGTGAGCCTTGCTGGTAAAATAGCTTTCCGTAAAGACAAACAAATAAACCCGATCAGTGGCATTTGCCCATTTCCCTGGTGTAAATACTCCCACCGTGGCAGATGCCACAGAACACAGGCAGAGCTGGTAAGACATGTGCATAACTGGCTCTCATCATAAGAACTGGCTCTGCACACCACAGGGTGCAGCAGTGCAGCCTTTGGACAATCACAGTGTCCTGCTCAGACTGGAACTGGGAATTGAGAAGAAGAGCCTCAGGAGGTGTGAGAGATGCAGAAAAAGAGGCAGGAAGGTGTGGAGACAATCTCACTTCCACCTCCTAAATGGCAGTGCTCAGGTTTCTGGTGTTCAGGTTACACAGGGGCTCTGTCTCTCATCTGCTCTCTATGGGGCAGCCAGAGGGGCTTTATGACTTCATCACAGCACCCTCCCTGCTTAAATGCTGCCCTATAGATAGAGCCCCAACTCCTTCCTTGGCTCTGAGGACTCAGGATCCCTACTCCGGCTCCCCAGCTGGTGCTCTCTCCTGTCTTGGTGCTGTGCTCCTACCCTGTGGCTGGCTGCGCCAATGCACCTGCAACCCGCAGCCACAGGCTTCCGTATGGAGCACTCTTTCTGTGCCCTCCATCCCTGCAGTTCTCAGCTCCATCATCACTTGCTCCAAAAAGACTCCACTGAACCCCTAGTCAAGGTCAATTCCTCCTATGAGGCTGGGCACTGTGGTTCACGCCTGTGATCCTAGCACTTTGGGAGGCCAATGCGGGCAGATCACTTGAGGTCAGGAGTTCAAGACCAGCCTGGCCAACATGGTGAAACCCTGTCTCTACTAAAAATACAAAAATTAGCCAGGTGTGGTGGTGTATGCCTATAATCCCAGTTACTCAGGAGGCTGAGGCAGGAGAATCGCTTGAAACCGGGAGGCAGAGGTTGCAGTGAGCCAAGATTGAGCCACTACACTCCAGCCTGGGCAATGGAGTGAGACCCTATCCAAAAAAAAGATTCTTCTGTGAGCTGCTTGCGTAGTACCAAGTGCCTCTCCATGAAGCCCTGACCCTACCTGGAATCTTGCACATATTTGTGTGAAACTCACAGTGAATATCAGGCCCCACGGGACTGGATGATCTGGTTACCGAGGACGTGCTCACCTGTGTCTCCCCAATGCTGAGCACAGGACCTGGCCCCTGCTGGGTGAACATTTGCTCTGTGAATACATATTAAGCACCTGTTCCTCTGGGGTAACAATGCTGAACCACACAGAGTTCCTGCTCTCATCATGCTCACAGTCTGATGCAGTGTGTGTGCAAATCATACACAAGCCACAAATAAGGTAAATCTAAACGATGATGCTGCTATGAAGAAAAAATAGGATGCTGTGATAGAGAGGGGTGGCAGGATGAGAGGAAGATGTTTTTTGTTGTTGTTTTTTGGACAGAGAAAGCCTCTCTTGAAAGGTGCTGTTTGGGGTGGAAATTACACAAGGAGAAGGAACCAGCTGTGTGAAGATCTCAGGAATGCTTGCTGGGTGAAGGAAGGTTGAGAAATACCCTGGAGGGGGTGTGGACACCACCCACGATAGAACCGCCACTCAGGGAATCTCTGTGGGATGTGAGTTCTCTTCATATTCCACTCCTGTGCAAAGTAGGGGCTTTGCTGAAATGATATGAATAAACCAGATGAAACCTCACACGATAGTCATGGGGCTGTGGCTCTGCACTGACTTATCCGAGGTTCGGTCAATTTTACAAAGGTCATTTGACTTCTCTTAGAGGCTGGTTTTTCTCAACTTATTATGAAACATTTCAAACATATAGAAAATGTGAAAGAATATCACAACCAACAGTCATATTCCCACCACCTCAGGTCTCCAATTGTTAATATCTTGAACAAGGGCCGCTTTTTTTTTTTTTTTTTTTTTGAGACAGTCTCGCTCTGTCACCCAGGCTGGAGTGCAATGGCGCGATCTCGGCTCACCGCAACCTCTGCCTCCTGGGTTCAAACGATTCTCCTGCCTCAGCCTCCCTACTAGCTGGGATTACAGGCATGCGCCACTATGCCCAGCTAATTTCATATTTTTAGTAGAGACGGGGTTTCTCCATGTTGGTCAGGCTGGTCTCAAACACCCGACCTGAGGTGATCTACCCGCCTCAGCCTCCCAAAGTGCTGGGATTACAGGCATGAGCCACCGCCCCCAGCCAAGGGCCACTTTTTAAAGGGCAATATTTTACACCATGGAAGGAGGGAAGTGGAGAACAGAAAAAAAAGGAAGGCAAAGCTAATGGCCGTCAAGGGTGTCTTCAAGGCTATGACACAGTCGTCTGTGAGATTCAGCGGTTGGAGGGAAGTGAGGAAGAACACTGAGATCTTGATGTGATTTCCTGAGTCTGTTGACTGAGGCAGGAGGTGATCCCAATGCCTAGGGGCGGAGGGAGGGTGGAGAGGGGTCACGAAGGGAGTTCAGGCGGTTCTGAATGGCTGGGCCTGCTTGTAGGTATTTGCGATTGTCTGTACATGTGAGTGTGTGTGAGCATGTATGACAGTGTGAGTGAGTGTGACAGCTTGTATGTGTTTGAGTGTGTATAATGGGGTATAAGGTTGTGTTAGTGTGTGCCTGTGTGTGATGATGTCTATTATGAGAGGTGAGTGTGAGGAGCGTCTGTTATGTGCTGTGAGAGTGTGAGTGCCTTTGCGTGTGCTGTGTTAGAAGAACACAGGGCAGCTTTGACGTATCTGGGCCCTGGCAGGGAAGGGGTTTGACAGAAGCCTGCATATCTGCTGAAGAGATCGGGGGGGTTTCTCCCCACATGTGTACCTGAGACCATAGTACGAGTGTGGCCTGACCTCTCCCCACATAAGTCTGGCACCTAGGCCACCAGGGTCTCGGGGAACCAGGGCGGGAGCTAACAGACAACAAAACGCAAAAAGTGAAAACAGTTGTGTTGGGTGGCAGGGAGGAGGTTTAAAAATGCTTAACTCGACCAGGCGTGGTGGCTCATGCCTGTAATCCCAGCACTTTGGGAGGCCAAGACGGGTGGATCAGCTGAGGTCGGGAGTTCAAGACCAGCCTGACCAACATGGCAAAACCCTCTCTCTATTAAAAATACAAAATTAGCCAGGCGTGGTGGTGCATGCCTGTAGTCCCAGTTACTCAGGAAGCTGAGGCAGGAGAACTGCCTGAACCCGGGAGGCGAAAGTTGTGGTGAGCCGAGATTGCGCATTGCACTCCAGCCTGGGCAACTAGAGTGAAACTCTGTCTCAAAAAAAAAAAAAAAAAGTGCTTAACTTCTCATTTTTTTGGTTAAACACACTGCTATCGTTTCTTTGCAACAAAGTGTGCAAGAACCTCTAATGCCACAGTGACCTATGATTTATCTCAGGCAGGCTCTTGGCTCCTGGAAGTGTGACCCACCCACGGAAGATGGATTATTTTTGCCCATCACAAAGCTGATGCGTATTAGAAATGGCAAAAGTCAATGGAGAAAACAACAAGAATCAGAATAAAAGAGATGGCTCCAGCCATATCCCCTCTCATTCTCCTGGGGAACAAGGAGCCCCTGCCGTGGGTGAGGGCGGGAGGAGCTGGTTCTTAAAGATCTGAAGCAGTGGGCGCAGGTGGCAAGTGGGCCACTGGGCCTCAAGGAAAAACAGGCAGCCTCTCAATCTCAGCACAAGACACCTCTGAAACGCAGAACCAGCTCCTCACTTTGAGGAACAGCAATTGCAGTCTCTCACCACCCCTGAGAGTTGTAGCATCAGTACAACTGAGTTTTACATATTGGAAAGGATTTTTAAAATTCAGGCATTTGTAAGAAAATGAAGGCATGTGCAGACTCACACACACAAAATCTCTCTCTCTTTCTTTCTCTGTCTTTCTTTCTCTCTCTGTCTCTAAAAAACTGGGTAGGATGGAGCCCAATGTGTCTGTTAATGAGTTTCAAAGTTGGACAAATGCCAACGGGCAGAGAATTTTGACCAGGAGTGTGAAGGAAACGAGAACCACACCCCAAACACACTGTCCCCCTCCGAAGTTACTTACTAGGTTGGCATTTAAAGGAGACCAGGAGGTATTTACTGCTTCCTGGACAAAGGTCAGGTCCAAAAACACGGCTATTGACCAGGAGGTGGCAGGCCCGCTGGTTCTGGCATTCGTCCAGCACCTTCTAGAAGGAGAGGGTAGAAAAGGGACAGGCTTGAAAACTGCTCACAGTGACTGCCAGACCCGAACCTGGGCTGCTCTGGGCTCTGCAAAGGGAAGGACGCCTCCCCACCTGGCCAAGCTGTGTCTAAGGCCAAAGAGCATAGACGTGGGTGATTGGGTTAGCTCCCTGTCTCCCTGCTCTTTCTCCTGAAAAGAAACCTGATCCAATAGTGCCAGGCTCCTGGGAAAACTAACCTCTGATCCACCACTACTGGTGCGGCGGCTGCTACTTTCAGCAAAGGCACTGAGTGCCGAGGCTCCAGGGGGTGCAAGCGAGGTCAGAGGACTTTCAGATATTGGGGTGCAGGGTACTTCAGGGTCCCCTTCGAGCGGGGTCCCCTAGCTTTAAGCTGAGAGAGCTGTGACCATCAGGATTCACAGTCCTGGCCTTTCATCCTTAAATAGCCCCACACAGGACACAGGAGAGCTGTGCATCGGGGAGCTCTTGGGGACCCAAACCCTTTCCAGCTTACGAACCATCCACAGGCCAAAAAATAAAAATTACAAAGCTGATTCCCACCCTCATCAAACTCAAGAGGATGGGACCCACTTCTCCCTCGGGGAGCAGTTTTCTTAGTGGAACACTCAGACTTTCTGTTGAGCATTGGCAGTAAAGGCTTTCCTGCAAATCTCAATCTCTCTCTCTCTCCTGATTTTTTCCAGACAGCTCCTTCGTTTTTAAGGCATCTGCTCTGTGGAAGCTCACAGAACACCCTCCTCCAGGTCCTGGGAAGGCTCAGCTTTTTGCTGCTGTTCTCTAGGTCCTCGTTCCCAAATGGAACAAGTCCTGCTTGTGATAAACACAGAGGTCCTGAACTTGGGTCTGGTTAAAACAAAAACAAAAAGGACATCAAGTACAGTTAAAAAAAAAGTTCCCAAGAATCTGCTTATTACTTTAGGTCTGAATTTAGTGCAGACACGTGAGCCTCTCTGAGTCACCATGTTCTCATAGTAGCTCGTGGAATAGCTCCGTGAAGAATGCTGGCCCCGCCAGGTATCCCCCATTCTCTCAGGGGCCCAGCAGATGTGTCTCAATCAGGAAAAAATACCCAAGAAACCCCTCAGACCCCAGAAGGTGCAGCTTTCAGATGACTGCATGTGGCATGGCCAAAGGTCATGGTGAAATGACTTGGCCCACAGATGTCACCGGAGGGCTCCACTGTTACAACCACAGAGCAGACCCCAGGGCAGGGCTATTTCCAAACTATGTCATGAGCTGGAAAATGCAGAGAGGGGGACTTGCTGCTGACAGTCAAGGGATGGATCAGCTGTGGTCTCCTGTGTGGATGTCTCCCCATGTTAAGCAACCTCCCTCTGAGGAAGCACCTTGCCTGTGCTCCGAGTGCAGCTTAAAAGACACAAAAGAAGGCTGGGCGCGGTGGCTCACACCTGTAATCCCAGCATTTTGGGGGGCCGAAGCGGGCAGATCACCTGAGGTCAGGAGTTCAAGACCAGCCTGACTAACACAGTGAAACCCTGTCTCTACTAAAAGTACAAAAATTAGCAGGCGTGGTGGTGGGCACCTGTGATCCCAGCTACTCGGGAGGCTGAGGCAGGAGAATTGCTTGAACCTGGGAGGCAGAGGTTGTGGTAAGCCGAGATTGCGCCATTGCACTCCAGCCTGGGCAACAAGAGTGAAACTCCGTCTCAAACAAACAAACAAAAAAGACACAAAAGTAAAGGACTTCTTGACCTCTGGTTGAAAGAGTAGCGCATGGGGATGTTTCTGGCAAACAAACCCTCCCAACAACGTCAGAACTGTGTTCACAAATGCTAACCTGTCGGCCTGGTTATAGAACATCCTCTTCCCTCAGGGGTATCTGGCAGAGGCAGGTACCCGTGGAATGGTGCAGGTGGTGCCCATGCTCTAGTGTATGCCAAGAGTTCCTACTTTTACAAAGTAGCCACTTTAAAAAAATGTTGGTACTGGCCAACATTCCTTTCATGCACCCAGGAGGGCAGCAGGTAGCCTGGGATCCAAGGATGGATGGCCAGGGCAGGTGGCTGAGAAATGGGGGTGGGTCAAGAGGGATGTAGCTCCTGGGGTGGCGCCCAACAGAGAGAGTTAGGGGTAGGGTGGGTGCTATGGCTGGAATGTTTATCCCCCCCAAAACTCACATTGAAATGTAATTGCTGCTTTAACAGTAACAGTGTTAACAGGTGGAGTCTTTAAGAGGTGATTAGACCATCAGGTCTTCACCCTTATGAATGGATTAATACTGTTTTTGTTTGTTTGTTTGTTTTTTGTTTTTTTTCAGGAGTAGGTTGTTAGAGTGGCACTAGGCTTGTTATAAAAGGCAAGTTGGCCCTCTCTCCTTCTCTTGCCCCTTCCATTCTTCTGCCACATGAGTACCAGCGTTCTCCAACCCCCTAGAGGATGTAGTGTTCAAGGAGCCATCCTGGAAGTAGAGACACCAAACCTATGGCGCCTTGCTCTTGGACTTCCTGACCTTCAGAACAGTGAGAAATCAATCTCAGGTCCTTATGAATTACCCAGGCTCAGGTACACTGTTATAGCAGCACAAAAAGGACTAAGACAGTGGAGCACACAGGGAAAGCAACTTCTTGTCTCCTGAAGAAACATGTTGTCTCTCCTCAAGGTATAGAAACCATGTCATGGGGAGTCATTCAGACACATTCATTTTGGCTACTCAATTGGTGTGTTTCACCAATCACCTAAATACCCAGATACTACCATGCTTGGAGTGGAAGCAAGGGATGGTGTGAGAAATAGAAAAATTCTTACATCATCACATTAGTTTGCGTCTCCTGTTTGGGCCTTAGGGAGAGCTACACAGCATTAAAGCTACTCTTATTTCTCCTTAGTTCTAGCAAATGTATCTTTATCCATATTTCCTACGGTCGACAAAATCAAACAGACTTCCAACTTTCCACCTGCTCTAAACTCCCTGCTTTAAATGTATTCATATGGAACTTGGGAGGCATAAAAAAAAAAATCCAAGGCCAAGTGACTCAGTAATCCTGGTCAACTAGTTATATATGTTAGGGGCCAGGGATGGTGAAGTAGAAGTTGCTCAGATGATTGAAAGCCATGCACAGTCTAAAACCATCATTGAAATATTAGTTTGACCTTCTCCTATACCAAATCTTTCCCTAAATATGCCAACCACAAAAAGAATGACTTAAACCACACCTCTCCCAATTCCTGGTACTATGTAGTAGAAGGAAGGAGTCAGTAAAGGCTGCCTAAAATAGCTCCAAGCAAGAATGACATGATTATCTACAACTGAAGAAGCAAATCATTAAAAAGCACAAGGCAGTTACTGATATTACTGATATTTCCTTCCTTGAATACATTTTCTTTTTTTTGAGATGGAGTCTCGCTCTGTTGCCCAGGCTAGAGTGCAGTGGCATGATCTCAGCTTACTGCAACCTCCGCCTCCTGGGTTCAAGCGATTCTTCTGCCTCAGCCTCCCAAGTAGCTGGGACTACAGGTGCGTGCCACCATGCCCGGCTAATTTTTGTATTATTAGTAGAGATGGGGTTTCACCATATTGGCCAGGCTGGTCTTGAACTCCTGACCTCATGATCCACCCACCTCGGCCTCCCAAAGTGCTGGGATTACAGGCATGAGCCACCGCGCCCAGCCCTTTGAGTACATTTTCTAAAAAGTTGGTCATGACTTCAGATGTCTGCCTCAAAGAGATACTTGTGGTTTCCATTAAAGAACCTACCTTCCCTTTCTACAGGAGTATTTATGGGAGATGTGGGCCTGGAGGTTGGAATCCATCCTGGTTGTACTTTGCTATACTAAAGTAAGGAGTAAACCTACAAATAAATTCATATTGAAGTGTACAAAGGGGGCTCTACAATAGGTAGGAATTCTATTTAGTTTTGTTGGGCAACAAATCCTTTGAGAAGCAAATAATAGCTCACCTACAAAACTGGTGATCTGTATAAATTGGGATTTTTCATGGATCAGTTTTGCTTGGATTGAACTATATAATCACAAATATATTTATACCCAGAGAGAGAGAAAGAGTGTGTGTTGAAACTGTATCATCTTAACATGTCTACAAAAGGCAATACCTGGAAGGTGGTGGCTGCCACACAGGTTAAGCTGTCTTCCCTCTGGGAGGCAGGCTTCTGGGAACTACACATTTGGTAATCTTGCCCATAAAATGCCGATTGGACACTTATCGTAGAATGCCGAGGGCACTGTAGATTCAAATAGTCCCCATCACAGGCATAGGTGGTGTGGTTTTGCAGGAGTTTGGTTAGGTAACCTGGAAAATATTCAGTCGAGTTACTAGAGGCCCAGGAACCCACCACTCCTCCATGGGTTTGGGGACAGGAGGACGTTGGTTCCCCTGGGGAAGGGCTGTTCAATCAACAACATGTGGGATGGGGCCTCCCTAGCAGCTCTGGTGCAGAGGTCACCAAACCAGGCCCAGAGGTGGGGCACAGGAGCCAATGTCAGCTTTCATGTTGACATGGAAGGGGGGCAGGGGAGTGCTGGGTAGAGAAGGGTGGGGTCCCTGGCGAGGGCTCCACCCATGGGCTTGTGCCCATGGACCTTAGTGAGAACAGGCACTCCTGTTTTCATGTCCAAATGTTGCATTTTCCAAGACTACTCTGGCCTGCCATGACCCCCATCCTGTGCCCATAAAAAACCCAAGACCCTAGTGGGCACACACACAAGTGGCTGGACGTCGAGAGGAGCAGAGAAGCAGAAGAGCACACTGACAGACACCAGCAGATGCTGGCGGGCTTTCGACAGCGGGGCGATGTGGAAATCAGTCGGGGGCGGTCGGAGGAGAGTCTGGCTGCTGGGCAGCCCAACTCTAGGGGAAGACCACCTTCCCACTCCATCCCCCTTCTGGCTCCCCATCCGAGAGCCACCTCCTCCACTCAATAAAACCTTGCACTCCTTCTCCAAGTCCATGCGAAATCTGATTTTCCGAGTACACTAGGGCAAGAACCTGGGATACAGAAAGCCATCTGTCTTTGTGATAAGGCAGAGGGTCTAATTGAGCTGATTAACACAAGCCGCCTGCAGATGGCAAAACTGAAGGAGACCACTGTAACACATGCCCACTGGGGCTTCGGGAGCTGTAAACACCCAATTCTACAAGCTGCTGTGGGGTCGGAGCCCAAAAACGCTCCCCACGACCTGTCCATCTGCATGCCCCCTCTAGGGGTTTGAGCAGCAGGGTACTGAGAAGCGAGCCATGCCCCTGTCACGTGCCCTGCAAGGGGGGATAAGGGAACTCCTCCTGTTTCAATGTCTGGGTCAGAAACCTCGGTCTGGGATGGCCCACTGAATGGTTTGGAGGGCTCTTTCCCCTTCAGGAAGCACTAAGATATTGGCCAGGAGCCAAGGAGTCCTGAAGCACCTTTATAAACCAGGAAAAAAATCGGGGTGAGTGTCCCCTGGATGTGTGGATGCCCATCCTGAGGGAGGCTTTCATTTGCTCATCTCCCACTAGTGAGGCCATGCCTTATTGGAATGAGAGGATGCAATTTCATTTCAAGAAATCACTCTTGGCTCTGTCTTGCTGCTGGAGAGGAAAGACAGGCAGGGTGCCCTGCGTAGAGAAGGGGCCTGCTCCAAGGGCGTGGTGCAGGGAGGCGATGGTGGGGCTCTGCTGTGGGTTGAATGATGTCCCCTCAAATTCACGTTCATCAGGAACCCCAGAATGTGACATTTGGAAATAGGGTGGTTGCAGATGTAATGAATTAAGTTGGTGACATACTGGAGTAAGGTGGGCCCTTAACACCATATAACCGGTGTCCTTATAAGAAGAAAAGAAGAGACACAGAGGGAAGACAGCCATCTGCAGCTGGAATGATGCACCTGAAGCCAAGGAATGCCGAGCGTTGCCGGCCACCACCCAAAGCTGGAAAAGGCCAGGAAGGATTCTTCCCTAGAACCTTCAAAGGCAGCACAGCCCTGCCAACACCTGGATTCAGACTGTGGCCTCCAGAACTGTGAGAGGATGAATTTCTGTTGTTTTCAGCCACCCAAGCTTAGGAAAGGGGTTGCAGCAGACTGTGAATAAGACAGGCAGCCAGTCAGACTCCATGGAATTCCCAGGCAGCTTGCAGGAGCCACACTCAGCCCTGGGCTCTGAGAAGCTCTGAGGCCCAGCAGGCGCAGGGGCCTAAACTATTTCTCGGCAAGGAGGAAGGAAGGTTCATCCAGAATGTAGATCCCCTTCCTCCTTCTCACACCTCACGAGGTCACAGCGAGGCGGCTGGGAGGAGAGCCAGGGACTTTTCACTGAGGTGTGTGGGAGACAGCTTGGCAGCCCTTGGTCTCTGAAGGGAGGAGGTGGCGTGAAGGAGGGCAGCTTAGGAACTTCCCGATTCCTGCTCGATGACCTGTGTGTAAAGTATTCCTGTTTAGGTTTCAAAATCCTCTCAGAAACATAATTCTCGGAAAATCCAGGCGCCCAATCCAGCTCCCTGGCCTTCCCTGAAATCTGAAGTCAAAGGGGCTGAGCCAGCCTGCCCTGGGGTCCTCACGCCCACCAGCCCAGAGTGCTCTCTAGAGGAAGGCTACAGACATTTCCTGGCACGTTCATCCAGACGTTAGCTGTCTTGCTGAAACTCCTTTTTTCACCCTTGAAAACCACTGGAAGAATGGCCAAGAACCCAGCTATCCTGAGTAAGTTCACTTAGAGAAGCAAAATCTAACATGAGTGGCAAAACGGACATTGGCACCAGGAGTGTGGGTCAGAGTCCTGCCCCTTGGAACTACATCATTGCTTGCACAGTGTACCCCCCAGGCACCAAGAGACCAGGCCAAGACCCCTCAGTGGCCCTGGGCCTCTGGTCAGTGTCTTCCCGCCTGGCACACAGGCAGGCCCTCATAAAACAATGAGTACTGAAAATTCCAGCCTTCTTGGTGGGTTCTCAGCACCCTGTCATGAGCCACACCCTGCCCCAGGGAACTCAGGGTCACCCTGATGCTACCCCTAGGCCAGTGCCCCTTCTGAAGTGCCCCAGGCTGGCACCCCTATACTTAGATCTCTTCAGCCTCCTCATGAAAACCTTCTTGTCCATCACCCCAGCATTCCCGGACTGTGGTCCGGGGAATAAATAAGCAGCTGACCACACATCAAATCAATTTTCAGAGTTTGCCTTTGGTTTAATATTCATGGCTTATCCAAAAGATCTTGTCACTGTAGCTAGATGAAAAAAAAAAAAAATGACAAGGCTCCAGAGAAGCAGAGCCACAAGATGGAAGATACCTGGGTCCCAGGTTCATGAAGAGAGGAGCTGCCTGCTCCACAGACTGTCACGTGAGTGGGAATGAAACTTTTGCTGCGTTTAGACCATTATCTTTCTTCACTCTGTCACATAGTCTATCCCCGCTAAACAGAACTTGACCTCCTCCAGACCATTTACATCAAGACCTGTACGTGCGGTGCAGTGGCCTGAGCCTCCAATCCATGCCCCACCTATCCAACTGGCCTTACCATATTCTTATTCTGAGAGTGGTATTCTGGGGGCAGAAGCTCAGTGCATAGAATTGACTAATGCCAGATCCTTCAGGTGCTTTGCACTTTGAAGTATATCAGTCCTAGCACATTCCAAGTACAAAGAAGACACGTCAGCAGTACAACCTGCCCTACACTCAGTTCAATTCCTTCTTCAAAAACCTAGGCCCGGCCAGTTGTGGTGGCTCACACCTATAATCCCAACAGTTTGGGAGGCTGAGGCGGGCAGATCACCTGAGGTCAGGGGTTCGAGACCAGCCTGGCCAACATGGTGAAATTCCGTCTCTACTAAAAATGCAAAAAATTAGCTGGGTGTGGTGGCACGCCCCCGTAATCCCAGCTACTCTGGAGGCTGAGGTGGGGGAATTGCTTGAACACTGGAGGCAGAGGCTGCAGTGAGCCGAGATCGTGCCACTGCACTCCAGCAGGGGAAACAGAGCAAAACCCCATCTCAAAAAAAAAAAACAAAACAAAAAACAAAAAACGAAAGAAACCTAGGCCCACATCCAGACAATGGAATGTTATTTAGCACTAAAATGAAATGAGCTATCAAACCACAAAAAGACATGGAGAAACCTTAAATGCATATTCCTAAGTGAAAGAAGCCAATCTGAAAAGGCTGTGTACTGTCTGATTCCAACTATATGACATTCTGGATAAACCACAACTATGGAGACAGCGAAAATATCCATGGTTGCCAGAGGTCAGGAGAAAGGAGGAATGAATTGGTGGAACACAGAGGACTTTTTGGGCATTGCAACTACCCTGTGTGATACCACAATGGTGGAGCCACGTCATTGTCCATACGTCCAAACCCATGCAACGTACAACACCAAAAGTGAGCCCTCATGTAAACTATGGACTCTGGGTGATAGTGATTTGTCAATGTAGGTTTATTGATTATGACAAATATCGCACTCAGGTTTGATATTGCTAGTGGGGGAAGCTGCACGTGTGTGTGTATGTGTGTGGCAGGTAGGAGTAGAGGTTGATGAAAACTCTGCACTTTTTGCTCCATTTTTCTTTCTTTTCTTTTCTCTTTCTTTCCTTTTCCTTCCTTCTTTCCTTCCTTCCTTCCTTCCCACCCTCCCTCCTTTCTTTCTTTCTCTCTTTCTTTCTTTCTTTTTCTTTCTCTTTTCTTTCTTTCTCTCTTTCTCTCTCTTTCTTTCTTTCTCTCTTTTCTCCTTTCTTTTTTTTTCTTTGTCACCCAGGCTGGAATACAGTGGTAAGATCTCAGCCCACTGCAACCTCCACCTCCCAGATTCAAGCAATTCTCCTGCCTCAGCCTCCCAAGTAGCTAGGATTACAGGCATGCACCACCACGCCTGGCTAATTTTTTTGTATTTTTAGTAGAGTTGGGGTTTCATCATATTGGTCAGGCTGGTCTCAAACTCCTGACCTCGTGATCTGCCCGCCTCAGCCTCTCAAAGTGCTGGGATTACAGGTGTGAGCCACAGTGCCTGGCCTCTTCTCCATTTTTCTATGAACCTAGAACTTCTCTAACACATTAAGTCTATTTAAAAGGAAAAAAAAATCCTTATCACCTCGGCCCCAGGATAGCATTACCTATGGGAGGAGAGGAGCTAGCGTTAGGGAGGGGAGAACGAGGAGCTCGGGCGAGCTGGCCATCATGTCCTGTTCCTTGATCTGATGGCAGGCATGTGCTTTACTTTGTGAAAGCTCACCCAGTTATCCACTTTGGATATGTAAACAAAAATGTTTAAGAAAACTTCACCTGTAGTTATCTGACCTACACTTTTAAACAATAAAGAAAGCCTAGGCACATGGAGCCCTGGATAACTCATGGAGCAAGCGGGTGCGGAATGCCTTCTGTAGCCAGCCTCAGTCCCACGAGGATGGGCTGCTGGGTGACAGCAGGACAGGCTGCCCAAATGCTCTGGTCCTCCAGGGTGCCTGCCCATGCCCCATTCTGTTTGGTCCACAGTGCCAAAAGGTCAGGAAGAAGGACAATTAGAACAACCCCATGGTTTCAGCAACATGGAGGCCATCAAGAACCATTTTGAAACCATATGGGATGGGGGATGGGGACAGAAGCTTGTTCGGAAAAGGTTGAAAAGTGAGTGGAGGGGCCAGGCGCGGTGGCTCACGCTTGTAATCCCAGCACTTTGGGAGGCCGAGGCAGGCGGATCACCTGAGAATGAGAATTCAAAACCAGCCTGACTAACATGGAAAAACCCCGTCTCTGCTAAAAATACAAAATTAGCCGGACGTGGTGGCAGGCGCTTGTAATCCCAGTTACTCGGGAGGCTGAGGGAGGTGAATCACTTGAATCTGGGAGGTAGAGGTTGCAGTGAGCTGAGATCGCGCCATTGCACGCCAGGCTAGGCAACAAGAGCAAAACTCCATCTCAAAACACAGAAAAAAGAAAAAAGAAAAGTGAGTGGAAGTGAAGAAAGTCAAAGATGGTCCATGTGGTAGGCAGAATAACGGCCCCCAAAGATGTCCACAGGCCTTAATCCCCAGGATCAGTGATTATGTTACCAGACATTCATGGTAAAAGGGACTTGGCAGATGTGATTAAGTTATCAAAAAAAAAAAAGAGAAACATAGCTGTAAGAACTGATGTTCAGAGAGAGATTTTTAAATAATTGTGATTGAGTTAAAGTGAAAGAGGCTTGTGCATATATGTATGTGTACAGATAAATACATATGCACATGACCCTTAGATCGTATGTATTAGATTTCTTTCCTTTTCCCCCCACCGAGACGGAGTCTCCCTTTGTCACCCAGGCTGGAGTGCAGTGGCGTGATTTTGGTTGACTGCAACCTCCACCTCCCTGGTTCAAGCAGTTCTGCCTCAGCCTCTGGAGTAGCTGGGACTACAGTGCCCGCCACCATGCCCAGCTAATTTCTGTTTTTGGCTAGGCTGGTCTGGAACTCCTGACCTCAAGTGATCCACCCACCTCAGCCTCCCAAAGTGCTGGGATTACAGGTGTGAGCCACTGCGCCAGGCTCATACCTATTAGATTTCTTACCATGGGTTATGGTCCGACAAGTTTGAAGGGGGATATTGTCAAGAGACGGCTCAAAATGATGAACCGTGGGCTCCAAGCTAAATGTAAGAAAGGAAATGAGCACAGAAGAGGGGAGGGGCGCAAGGGACCAGAGTTCCTAATGAGGACCAGCAAGGTCAGAGTGAGGGAATCACACAGCAGGCTGGAAAGGCAGGAGGCTGTGCCCACGAGTTGTTTGAGGAGTGATTTCAAGGTGGATTTGCAGGTTATGGAAATGTCCAGGAGTGGCCATGGAAGGAGGTAGGAGAGGTTGGTGGAGAAGGTTGCTGGAAACAAGGATGCCAGGACTGAGAGTGAAGATGCCCTGTGGACCAGGCGTCTCCCAGGATGAAGGTAGGAAGTGGGGTGGAGCAGGAGCCAGCTGCCAAGGTTGTCCTTAAACAAAAGGCAGATGACAGATGAGCTGCTCCCAATCTCACACCCTTTCCGGCATGCTGCTTTCCCGGTAGGCAAGCTCATGCATTCCAGTGTGCTGGGCAGAGTCATGCCACTGAACTTCCCACACCTTGGTTTCTTGGCTGGTTGAAGAGAGATCCTTTTTAAAGAACAACTACTAATGCAGCTGTTTGTTAATGATTCCCTCCTAGTCAAATTAGCCATCATGTTGGATCAGTCAAAACTGCTTTATTTCTTAATAGTTTCAGCCAGAGCTTTTACAATCTAACTCTATTTGTGGGCAAGTATTTGCTATCCTGGAAGATGGCAGTTGTGCACACTCTGTTAAGAAATCAGTCCTGGAATCCATTAGAGCCTGGAGATGCTCTGTTGATCCTTGTTAAACTGGTGAGGAGAGGAAATGAGAGGATGTGGACTCTTTTTTTTTTTCTTTTTCTGTCACCCAGGCTGGAGTGCAATGGCACAATCTCGGCTCACTGCAACCTCCGCCTCCCAGGTTCAAGCAATTCTCCTGCCTCACCCTCCCGAGTAGCTGGGACTACAGGCACGTGCCACCACACCTGGCTATTTTTTTATTTTTAGTAGAGACGGGGTTTCACCATGTTGGCCAGGCTGGTCTCGAACTCCTGACCTCAGGTGATCCTCCCGCCTCAGCCTCCCAAAGTGCTGGGATTACAGGTGTAAGCCACCACACCCAGCTGGATGTAGACTCTTTTTTATCAGCTTCACATCGCTCAGGGATCTTGGTGCAGCTCATGTGTAACTCCAAGATACTCTTCCCTGGTGAATCCTCCCACTGTGTATCAGCAGAAAGTCTTATAGCTACTGCCATGGGTAAAACCTTCCTCAAAGGAGTATCCTGAAAGGTTTGGGTTGAGCAAATCTTAGAACAGCTTAGACCAAAGTTCTTAGGTTTTCATTTTTTGAATACAGATGAAGAGTTCACGACATGAACCCCTAAGAGTGGCAGGAGCTCTCCTCTGTCTTCTGAAAGACACAGGGAAGTCCTTCTTGGGATCGTCATCCTCATCACATTTACAAGGAAAATCCATTAATATTCAAATAATCCAGTGACTATAGAAAGACCAGTGTGAGAGGAAAATAAATCTTGGGGCCCCATACTTACTAAGCCAAAGGGAACAGTCAAGCTGGGAACTGGGTCGCACAAACCTGCCTCCCATTTGGTTCCTAACTAAGACGGCTACAAAGATAAAAAGCTACATACATCGCTCACCTTTTGCTCACAAGGAGATTCCTTGCAGGCCCCAAGATCTTTACTTGAAAATATTTCTGTTGAATTTCACCCTGGCAATGTCAATTGATAGCTTATCCACAGATGTGGAATGGGACAGGACAGAACTCAAAGTCATCCTTCTGCTCGCCTGAGGCAAATGTATATCTGATTGCTTCCTCTGCACTATTGTTTACGTTATCTTATGTAAAATTGCAGATTCCCTTAGCCGGACAAGTGACAGCATGAATGACTATTTCCTCTACTCACCCTCCTATGAAAATTGTATATTCCCCCAATATCCATCCTTTCCCCTTTAAATATTGAAGCCCTCAAAATTATCTTTGGAGAAAGGCATAGACCTGTCTCCCCAGTGGGTGTCCTTAACTTTGGCAAATAAACCCCCTAAAATGATTACAACTTGCCTTGGTCATTTTCATTGATTTATACCAGAATGATGTAAATAACTGATTTTCAAAGAATCATGGTATGTGTCCCAAAGTGTTCTACAGGAGTGCGATATTGTGAAATATATATTTGATCTTTCACGTGTTTCCTTCCATACAACTCCTAAAACCCTTAGAATCTCCAAAGTGATGTGTTTTTGTATGCTAATAAGTTGACTGATGGCTGGCAGCCCCTAGCTAGCTTCAGGATGGGGACTGGTCCCTGGAAAGACCAAGGCAAGATTAAAGAGTTGGGACTTTGAGCCCAACCCCAACTTCCAGGGAGAGGAGAGGAACTGAAGGTTATATTGGTCACTAATGGCCAGTGATTTAATCAATTGTGCCTATGTAATGATGCTTCTATAAAAATCCAAAAGAACTGGGTTTGGAGAGCTTCCGGATAGCAGAACATGTACAGGTTTTTGGAAGTCAGGGCACCCACGGTGGGCACAGAAGCTCCGCACTGCTTCCTCCATCCCTTTCCCTATGTGTCTCTTCATCTGTATCCTTTGTAATAGCCTTTATAATAAACTGATAAACATAAGTGAACTTCCCTAAAGTTTTTCTGTGAGCCACTCCATATTGATGGAACCCAAGGAGGGGGTCATGGGAACCTCAACTTGAAGCTTGTTGTTCAGAAGTTCCGGAGGCCCAGACTGTGACTGCTGGGAAGAAGGGCAATAGTCTTGGGGACCGAGACTCATTCTGTGGGATATGATGCTGTCTCCAGGTAGATGGTGTCAGAATTGAATTGGAGTATATATCCAGCTGGTATTTGCTGCAGAATTGATTGTTTGCTTGTTGGTGGGGAGGAATCCCCAAACATTTGGTCACAAAAAATATTCCGTGTTGATTGTTGTTGAGTGAAAGAATAGAGAAAGTACTTTGAGTTTGTGTGTGTGTGTGTGTGTGTGTGTGTGTGTGTGTGTGTTTTCACACAATTGGTGTCAGAAGTGGGAGTTGCTGGCTGTGGCCCTGTCTCATAGAAACATGTGCTTTGGGAAGAGAAAGAATGAGAGGATGGAGGATAAGAGACCTTTGATTCCTGGATGGTCGTATGGTCACCCATGGTATGAAGTCACAGCTGTGCTGCACTCTGTTACTAAAGGTGAAAGTTACCTTTCCGGAATTTGGAGACAGATCCAACTCTTGGGAAGTTGGTTCACTGGATGTGCAAGGAAATGCAAACTAATAATAAAGAAGTGAAATATTCAATCCTTTGGTTATTGTTATCTGTAATAGCTAAAATAAAAATAAAAGAGAGCACTAGGAATTAGGGTGTATGACTGTGATAGCCACCTCTTGGAATTGGTGGCTTCATGTTTTGCTGTGATGATTAAATGATATAGTGGGCATAAGCATCTTTTTTTTTCTTTACCATAAACCACTGCACATCTCTAAGGTATTACAATTATACTGTAAGGGTTTTTTTATTTGTTTGTTTTTTGAGATGGAGTTTCGCTCTTCTTGCCCAGGCTGGAGTGCAATGGCGCAATCTTGGCTCACTGCAACCTCCGCCTCCTGGGTTCAGGAGATTCTTCTGCCTCAGCCTCACAAGTAGCTGGGAATTACAGGTCCTTGCCACAAAGCCTGGCTAATTTTTTTGTATTTTTAGTAGAGGCAGGGTTTCACCATGTTGGTCAGGCTGATCTCCAACTCCTGACCTCAGGTGATCCACCCACCTAGGCCTCCCAAAGTGCAGGCATGAGCCACTGTACCCTGCCATGTACTGTAAATCTTAAAGAACACTAATTAACATAGAGCTTCCATTGGTACAATGCTGAACAATCCAGCTCTAATCAAATTACACTCGCGGCCAGCCCTCTCAGCTCTGAGCACCTTGATGTAAGGTAGACAGCTCAGAGACCAGTACATAGCCCCGTGGCTGCCCTCAGTCCAGACATGTCACTGCTGAGCCTGGAGGAAAAGGGAACCCTCCCTCCCCACCCTTCCTCCTTCCTTCCCTCCCTCCCTCCCTCCCTCCTTCCCTCCCTCCCTCCCTTCCTTCCCTTCTTCCTTCCTAATAATTAAGACCTAAAAAGTTACTAGTATTTAGAAGAGGTCAAAAGAGCTGTACATTTTCCTCTCTTTCTTTTCTGAAGCCAGAGGCTTCCAATGCAATCTGAGTTTCCTGAGGGTTGACGTTGCCTGAGTCACTCTGAACGCAGGATATAAGAATATCAGTCACTGGCCCCACATCGGTGTGCTAAAGTCCCCTAATCACCAGGGGCCAATTTCACAATCTTACTTCTGGGAAAAGAAAGGAATTCAATTTGCTACGTCCTTGCCTTCCCTCCCACCCGCTTTTTTTTTTTTTTTTTATAACCTGCCACCCTCCACTTGGTTAATGCTTTAGATAAAAGACCACACCCTTGTATTCACAAATAAACAAATAATAAAAGGTGTTTTTACATGTTTGAAGTCTTTTTCCAGAAAAAGATGTTCTTTTCTTTTGTGTTTGTGAATGCATTTAGAGAATTGGCAATGGCATGGGGTTGGGGGGTGGGGAGCCATGAGTCAGGGGTCCTGAGGGTACAGGAAAGGCCCCATGACCAAGGGCTCAGGACTGGCACTACACACCCAGGGGCATCAAGATCAAAAGGTGAAGTTAGGTATGAGTTTAAGTCCTTCCTCTAGTCCCAGGTGTGAGACTAAGAAAGTGAACCTGGAGGTTAATTGTGAAGAGAACTAGAGCCACCAGCCTGTTTCTTAGATATTTGGGAGGCTCCCAAGTTAGGGATGACCAAGGATAGCTATGACAACTCTTAAGTGATGAGCTCAGATCCTAGTCCTGAAACAAACCACAGAGGAGAGAAGGTAAACTGAGAGTCCAGACAAGGCAGAGACAATATATTTTCTTCCCGAGCACACAGGAGTAGTATATTTCTCAGCCTGCCCTACCCCAATCTCTCCTGGTAGTACAGTGGGCCAGTGGAAAATTCTGGGCAATGGAAAGAGGGCAGAAATGATGTTTGCCACTTGAAGGTCTGGCCCTTGAGACCCCTTGTGACCCTCCACTACCTCTCTCTCCCCGTCTGCTGTCACAAGTGGACAACAGAGGGGACAAGGACAGACTCTGAGGCCCCAGAAGACAGGGGAGGCACCAAATGGAAGAAACCTCGTTCTGGGCTACACCTGGACTTTGAATTCTTGTAGTTAACATTGGTTTCTAATAGTCACCCAATTATCTCCCATCTTGTCACTTTTTCTTACTTCTTTTCCCTTTCTGTACACCAACCCTCTGATTCATCAAGTCCCATAATTTCCCCCCATATATTTGCATGTATTTTAAGTGGATTTTCCTATGTAGTTGTCCACTTGTGTATTTATATGTATGGATTTCAGATTTTCGTGGCTGTCTCGGCATTTGTCTACACATGTCAATCCATTGTACCATTGTATGGGTTTCTGACTCCAAAGAAAAATCCAAAGTCCCATGCCACTGGGCCCCTTCTACTTCATCCAGCCTCATCCAACCTCATCTTCTGCCATTCTCCTGCTTGACTTCAGCCACGGTGCCTTCTTGTTTCTTGAAAATGCTAAGCATACTCTGACCTCAGGACCTTTGCTTTGACTGTCTCTCAGCCCGAAGCAGTCTTCCTCCAAACATCTGCTTTCTCCCTTCCTCCCTTCATTCAGCCTCTTGTACCAATGTGGCCTCATCAGTCAGACCTTTCCGGGTTGCTCTGCAAGACAGCACACCTCCTGCCCCACACCCCTAACTCTGCTTTATCTTGCTACGTAGAAACCTGTTGCCTGTTTCTCCCCTTTGGGATGTAAGCAAGGACTTTGCTTTATTTATTGCTGTATCTCCAGCAGCTAGCAAGAGTTTGTCATATAGCAGTATGTCATCATATAGGAAAATGAAGAGTTCTTTTTTTTGAGAGGGAGTTTCACTCTTCTTGCCCAGGCTGGACTGCAATGGCATCATCTTGGCTCACTGCAACCTCTACCTTCTGGACTCAAGCGATTCTCTTGCCTCAGCCTCCTGAGTAGCTGGGATTACAGGCATGTGCCATCACACCTGGCTAATTTTTTGTATTTTTAATAAAGACGGGTTTTCTCCATGTTGGTCAGGCTGGTCTCAAACTTCCGACCTCAGGTGATCTGCCCGCCTCGGCCTCCCAAAGTGCTGGGATTACAGGTGTGAGCCACTGCGCCTGGCCCAATGAACAGCTCTTGAATGAATGACACAGTGAAGAAGACTACTAGAGCAAGAGCAGATCAAAAGTGAATAATTGAGTAGTAGGTTCTAATTAATCCTCATCAGCAACCAACATAACCCAGGGCTTATAGATTTCTCTGTGTGATATGCTACACACACATCTACGGAAAGAGAGAGAGATCATCAACCAATTTTAAAAAGTTAATTGGTTGACATCTGTCAACCAATTTTAAAAAGTTACTCTAAATGTGCTGCGTTGGTCTTGTATTACAATCCTTAGATTACACTACTATTTTATTTCAAACAGGACTGGTAGAAACTTCTTCATGCCTTTTCAACCAAAGGCCTTCAATCCTATAAAAATGAACACCTTGTTCTTTGACCAAGTACCAACCTTAGAAAGTTATGCAGCGAACACCATCTGACTTAGATTAATTTAAAAGTAACTGGATCAATCCCCCTTTACCCCAAGCAACTAAACGGAACAATTTTCTTTTCTTTTCTTCGGGACACAGCGTAATCCTCAAACTGCAGAGCCACTTGGCGATGAAGCCAGGATCACAGTGCATTTGATAACTTAATGCAACTTTTTACTAGCACTTAAAACTCAGATATGAAATCTATACTTGATCTTTTCTGCTTGGAATTGGCCAGATTAGTGGTTCTGCCCTCACATACAACAAAAGGCTCTCAGAAACACTCAGGGTCGCTAACCAATCGGAAGGACCAACAGAGCTCGACAAACAGACAGGAGGGTGGAAGGGCACCGCCTCCCATCCCACCCGCTTAGACAGCCTTTCAACTCTGCCCACTTTGAGGATGTGTAGGATGATCAAGGTAAGCATGATACCTACCTTAACTTCAAGGTGGAAATTAAGGCTTGAGGGCACTTATTTGGTGCCTTATTCAGTTAATTGGAAGATTATATGGTAATTTCACTGCTCATAATAATTAAACCTTTTTTTTTCACTTTAGGGATGATAATGACATTTGGAGAGTAGCACTATAAACCTCAAAAATCTATTTTGAAGATGACTGGATTTAGGAGCAGGACAGGTTTACTGTACACTTGACCAAACATGCTTTGTTCCCCCAAAGCAGCAAAAAAGCCACAGCCTGGAAGTTTCTAAAACTTGAAGCAGATGTAAATGGCAAATCCAAAAAGCCGTGCCTAAAGAACAGGTCGGGTGACCAGCTGTATCTATTCCAGCCTCCCCATTGGCTCGGTGGAGGATTTCAGATAGGTCTCTCAGTTTCCCCTTCTTTGGTTTCACCTTAGAATGAGGGAAGGTCACAGCATTTCTTCCTTTGTATTTCACAGAAACACAGGAGGCCGGGTTGACAGTCAGCAAATGTAAAGAAATACGGGCGTCCACACGGTAATCATGCTGGCCTGGCCTCCAGCTTCATATTCATCCTTAATTGATTCCCTGGCACACTCGCCAGTGACCTGGCTCCGCTTCACCAAATGGCCCCAAGGGCCCACACTTTCTTAATTGTCCTGTGGACCCTTTATTCACTCCCCTTCATCCTTCCTTTGCTGACGGTGGTCGCTTCTGATTGCCCCAATCTTTTTTTTTGAGATGTAGTCTTGCTCTGTTGCCCAGGCTGGAGTGCTGTGGCAAGATCTCAGCTCACTGCAACCCCCACTTCCTGGGTTCAAGTGATTCTCCTGCCTTGGCCTCCCGAGTAGCTGGGATTACAGGCATGGGCCACCACGCCTGGCTAATTTTTTTTTGTATTTTAGGTAGAGACGGAGTTTCACCATGTTGGCCAGGCTGGTCTCTAACTCCCGACTTCAAGTGATCTGCCCGCCTTGGCCTCCCAAAGTGCTGGGATTACAGGCATGAGCCACCGAGCCTGGCTTCAATCTTATGCTTACTATTCTTAATCTGTTGCCTCATTTTATAGTCACAGCTCAGGTGACAGCTGAGGGATTACATTCATCTGTCTCTGAGCCTCTAAGACTTCTGTTTTCTTCACCACCCTCCAGGAATCCTTTTTTCTAGCTCTTGGTTGCTGGCCATCTCCTGGACGGTTCAGTTGAAAATCTGACCTCCAGTTCATTGGTGCATCTACAATCAATCCTCATTACCTGCAGATTCTGTAGCTGCAAATTCACCTACTTGATAATGTTTATTTATAACCCCTAAATCAATACCAGTGGGGCTTTCCTGGATGTGCGCTGGGTGGTGAAGAGGTTGAATGGCTGCTACTACACATGGTCCCAGCAGAGCTCCATCGAGGAACCTCTGCCTTTTGCTTTCAGCTCTTATACCATAAATGAATGCCCTTTTCTTGGTCGTTTTGGTTTTTTTTTTTTTTTTTTTTTTGAGACAGAGTCTCACTCTGTCACCCAGGCTGGAGTGCAGTGGCATGATTGCAACCTCTGCCTCTCGGGTTCAAGTGATTCTCCTGCCTCAGCCTCCCGAGTAGCTGGGACTACAGGTATGTGCCACCACACCCAGCTAATTTTTGTATTTTTAGTAGAGATGGGGTTTTGCCATATTGGCCAGGCTGGTCTCAAACTCCTGACCTCAGGTGATCCACCCGCCTTGGCCTCCCAAAGTGCTGGGATTACAGGTGTAAGCCACCATGCCCAGCCAGGGTTCTCTTAAATGTAATGGAAAGAGGAGAATTGGAATGGCAGAAAGAGAGAACTAGGACCCTGCATGAATGCATCAAGTTGAGTTGGAGAGAAACTGTATTTATAGGAAAGTCAAGGCTCTGAGTTTGGAGATCAAGCAGGGTGGGGGTGAGCAAAGCTGTGAGAAGGAAAGCAGGGCTTCAAAAAACAGCTGCTCCTCCTTGATAGACGCAGAGCGGAAACAGGAAAGACCGGGGGCCGTGCGGTGTTATTTGTAGCACTTGGATAGCTTGGCTCTTAGAGTCCCAAGGCCTCCAGCTAGTGATCCACAGATGCCATTAGAGAGCAAAAGCGCTCGCTCCTCCCTCATTCGTCACCAAGAAGACCCACTATGGCCCTGGCCTTAAGGACAAGTTAGTCAATTGCTTATTGTACGTCACGAGATGAACACTGGGAGAGAGGAAACGCAGGGTGTGTAGGGAGAGGGCAAAAACGGCTACATCTGACCCACCCCAGAGATGAGGAAGGCTTCCAGGTGGGAGGTGATGCCAGCAGGTAACCAGGTGGAAATCACCCTCAAGTAGCAGGGACAGGTGTGCAAAGGCTCAGAGGGAGCTTCTCCAGGATCAGCAGAGCTCGATTGCAGGGTTTGAGGCTGTCACAGAGGCTGGAGAAATAAGCAGTGCCTTGCTAAGAAGTCTGAATCTTAACCTGAAGGGATGCGGGAGCTACTGCAGGCTGGTAAGCAGGGGAGTGATGCTGGTTGGATTGCAGTGCAGAAAAACCCTGGGTTGGCCTGTGTCTGATGGACTGGAGAGACCCTTGAAGAAATCAGGGTACAGGCAGTCCTCCGGGGGAGAAATGAGGAAGGTGCCAACTGAGACCACAGCAGTGGGGAAGGGTGTGAGAGGGATGGAAATTGAGATGAACTCATGGGTGTTTGGCCTGTGCAGTCACACAGGGCCCCATGCTGAGAGGGACCCGGAGCTTGGCTTAATGCTCTGCTGTTACTGTCTTAAAATTCCTCCTCATTTTATGTTTGAATCTATGTTTGTTTTGTTTTGTTTTGTTTTGAGAAAGAGTCTCGCTCTGTCGCCCAGGCTGGAGTGCAGTGGTGCCATCTCGGCTCACTGCGACCTCCACCTCCCAGGCTCAAGTGATTCTCCTGCCTCAGCCTCCCAAGTAGCTGGGACTACAGCCACCCGCCACCACGCCCGGCTAATTTTTATATTTTTAGTAGAGAGTGGGTTTCACCATATGGGCTAGGCTGGTCTTGAACTCGTGACCTCAAGTGATCTGCCCACCTTGGCCTCCCAAAATGCTGGGATTACAGGCATGAGCCACTGCACCCAGCCTGAATCTATGTTTTATCAGTAAAATCCAACAGGGCAATAGAACATGTGCGTGGGCAGACGAGACACCAGCAACAATATGAGTTACCACCACACTCCCCATGGCGTGTCTGCCGTGCCCTGAGCATAGAATCTTGGGGGGTCCGCAGTGCATGGGAGCCCAGCAAGGCTCCAAGTGGGCATAAGGGAAGCCTACTATGTCCACAACGGAGTCTGCGAGAGATGCTGACAGCACCAAGAGGTTGCACTTTCCCTTATTATAGAATCAGAATTGAAAACCAAGTCAATGGCATTCTAAGAAACAGGAACAAACAAGGAACTCTCTCCCAGCCTTTTCTACTCATCTGATTCCCTGTAGTAGCCAACCACTTCCACTGGAAATGATGACATAGGAGAAGCAAAGATAGCAGAGTCATAGTTATTTTTCCTTTCAATTCTTCCTTACACATCAGTAAGCCAAAGGTAGAGAGTGGTGGTTGATTGTATAGGTGTGAAAAAGTGAAACAAAAACAATTGAATGGCCAGGTGTGGTGGCTCATGTCTGTAATCCCAGCATTTTGGGAGGCCGAGGCGGGTGGATCACAAGGTGAGGAGTTCGAGAACAGCCTGGCCAACATGGCGAAACCCCGTCTCTATTAAAAATACAAAAATTAGGCGGGTGTGGTGACGGGCTCCTGTAATCCCAGCTACTCAGGAGGCTAAAGCAGGAGAATGGCTTGAACCCAGGAGGCAGAGGTTGCAGTGAGCCGAGATCTCACCACTGCACTCCAGCCTGGGCAAGAGAGCAAGACTCCGTCTCAGGCGAAAAAACAAAAACAAACAAACAAACAAACAAAAAACAGCTGAATTAGTTTCCTGCAACGTCTCACTGTTTCTGTGAGGCAAAAAAAACCCACATGCAAAGTACAAATTATGTCATTTCTGTGATTCCACATTTGAGTCCAATGTTCCTATTTAAATCTGGCATTGCACAATGTAAAGAGGAACAGTATAATCCATGCTAGTAATTTAAAATGTGAATTTTTCTTTACTTAGAAGGACATTAAATAACAAATGACAGTATCATGATAAATTGAGACACAGAGACCACAGAAGAAAGAAAATGCTTTATATGTTAGTACTTCAGCAGTGCTTTTCCTCTGATTTTTGAATAAGGGGGCCCATGTTTTCATCTTGCACTGGGCCTTGCAAATTCTGCAGCTGGTCCTGACTGTAAAGACAGGGATTTAGCCATAAAATCAGCAGGGGTTGGTCGTGGGCATATAGAGGATTTAGGCATGGCTGCAGGGTTTTCAGCCAGTGGTACCGTTGGCTGGGAAATCTAGGAAATCCAGCCCTGAAGGACAGGCATTGTGAATCTGTTGTGGATGGGCTGAGCCTGCAGTGGCCATGGGGCATCCTGCCTGGGAGGAGGGCGAGCAGCAATTCATCAGCACAGGTGGTGGCTGAGGCTCAGGAGGGGCTACTGAGGCAGGAACTGTGGGGCAGGGATGCTGGGGAAGGCAGACATTTAGGAGATGGGACAACAGCTGGGTATGGTGGCTCACACTTGTAATCCCAGCTACTCAGGAGGCTGAGACAGGAGGGTAGCTCGAGGCCAGGAGTTCAAGATCAGCCTGCACAACATAGCGAGACCCCATTTCCCCCCCACAAAAAAAATTAATAAAATGTAAAAATACAAAAAAAGAGATGGGACAACAAAGAAGGCCTCATAAAGGAGATGGAGAGGAAGGGGACAGGAGGAAAGGGGAGAGCAAAGGTGATAGCCAGAAGCAGGCATGAGAGGTTCCCTAGAGTGGGGTTTTATTATCTCAAGTGACCATGAGCAAATTACTGAACCTGTCTGTGCTGCAGACATCATGGATAAAACGAAGATAAAATGAAGACAATAACAACAGCACTTATGGGCAGGGAGGTTGTGGTGAAGATTAAATGAAGAGTTTATATGGGAAGGGCTCAGAATGCTGCTGTATTAAATGCCTCGGGCTGCTATAACAAGGTACCACAAGCTGGGTGGCTTAGAACTACAGAAATGCATCGTCTCACACCTGCAGGCCAGAAGGCTGAGATGAAGGCATTGTCAGGGCCACGCTCCATCTGAGGATGCTAGGGAAGGATCTCCCTCCCAGCTTCCTCCAGCTCCTTAGCTTGTGGCAGCATAAGTCCAATCTTCATGTGGCCTTCTCCCTGTGTGCATCTGTGTCCAAAATTTCCCCTTTCCATATCTATATCTATATATATATAAAATTTTATTTATTTATTTATTTATTTATTTATTTATTTATTTTTTGAGACGGAGTCTCGCTCTGTCGCCCAGGCTGGAGTGCAGTGGCGCTATCTCGGCTCACTGCAAGCTCCTCCTCCCGGGTTCATGCCATTCTCCTGCCTCAGCCTCCCGAGTAGCTGGGACTACAGGTGCCCACCACCATGCCCGGCTAATTTTTTGTATTTTTAGTAGAGACGGGGTTTCACCATGTTAGCCAGGATGGTCTTGATCTCCTGACCTCGTGATCCGCCCATCTCGGCCTCCCAAAGTGCTGGGATTACAGGCATGAGCCACCACGCCCGGCCTATTTATTTATTTTGAGACAGAATCCTGCTCTGTCACCCAGGCTGGAGTGCAGTGGTGCGATCTTGGCTCACTGCCACTTCCGCCTCCCGGGTTCAAGCAATTATCCTGCCTCAGCCTCCCAAGTAGCTGGGATTACAGGTGCCCGCCACTATGCCCAGCTAATTTTTTTGTATTTTTAGTAGAGACAGTTTTCACCATGTTGGCCAGGCTGGTCTTGAACTCCTGACCTCAAATGATCCACCCACCTCGGCCTCCCAAACTGCTAAGATTTCAGGTGTAAGCCACTGCGCCTGGCCTATTTTATTATTTTTTAACAGAGATGGGGGTCTTGCTATGTTGGCCAGGTTGGTCTTGAACCTTGGCCTCAAGTGATCCTCCCGCCTCAGCCTCCCAAAGTGCTAGGATTGCAGGCATGAGCCACTGCACCTGGCCAATTTCCCCTTTCCATAAGGACACCCATTATACTGGATAAAGCCCACTCTATCAACCTCATTTTAACTTGACTACCGTTGTAATGACTATCTCCAAATATGCCACATTTTGAGGTGCTGGGGGTCAGGACTCCAAGAAGTCTTTTGTGGGAGAGGGAATGCAATTCAACCCACAACAGTGCCCTGCTCTGTGAAATGTTCACCTTTATGAATATGACGACCTCCACGAGTTGTTTTCTTCAAAGGTATGAGGAAGAGACCAGTGAGGGACAACCTGAGGGTGGGGAACCTAAATTTGTTGTGGCCACAATCTCCACAACAACGCGATGTTTCTCCCGCAGCACTTAGCAGCCCAGGTGAAGGTAAATATAAGGAGAGGGAACAAAGACGAGGGAGTGACACATCCTGATAACGCGCCAGAGACAACCACAGGTAGAAATACTGATGGCAGCGAGGCAGACGGGGAACACTGCTCATTGCTCTGCCTGCCTCACTTTTGTTCAGGGAACACCAGGAGGCCTGAGATCCCAGGTGAACAGAAATCACCACCACCCTGTCTCGGCCCCAACCAACATACGCACAGGAGGCAAACCAAGTTTTGATCATTTATTAAAACAAATAAGAGGTTAATCTGTGGGTAAAAAGGCCTTGTTTGCCAGCAGCTCAGGGGATGCCTTCAAGCTGACTGGCGTTAGTGCACTTTGAAGTGGGAAGCATCACATGGGTTCTGGAGATAAGCAATAGATAAACAGCAGGAGTTACCAGAAGTGTCAAGCCAGGCATCACCTTAACAGAAATTATTCCTGGAGCTAATGTGGAAGTCATTAATCCCAAGAGAAAAGACAGAGGTGGGCGTGGTGGCTCATGCCTGTCATCTCAACACTTTGGGATGCCGAGGCGGGAGGATCCCTTGAAGCCAAGAGTTCAAGATCAGCCTGGGCAACAAAGTGAGACCTCGTCTCTACAGAAAACTAAAATAAATAAAATAAATCAGCCACATGCAGTGGTGCACACCTGTAGTCCCAGCTACTCAGGAGGCTAAGGCAGGAGGATCGCTTGAGCCCAGGAGGTCAAGGCTGCAGTGACCTATGATCACATCACTGCACTCCAGCCTGGGCAACAGAGCAAGACCCTGTCTCTAAAAATAAGAGAACAGAAGACAGATGAAGCACCTGCCAAGGGGGCCAAAACTGAGAAAAAGGGAATTGCTCTGTTTTAGATGAAGGATTACGGAACAACATTTTCAAGAGCAGCAACGAAAGACCTGCCTACCACAGTGTAGCCCTCAGCAAAACCACAAGTGGGCAGACTCTGACTCTCCCATGCCCCTCTCGCTAACCCCAAACCCCTTCTAGACAGAATGCTCTCCTTCCTCTTCATCCTAATGCCAGGAGCAACTTTGGTGGTGCGTTCCCTGGACCTGCCCCCTTTGCCAAAGCTCCAGGTTCCAGAGCCTTCCTTTCTTTCTTCTGTTCTGCTTTAAGGCTTGCTTACCCTGAGTTCAAGACCCTTACAGCCTTGTTAGATAAATGGCTACGGAAGATGATCAGTTAATCAGAGCAAGTATGGCTGATGACGGCTTCTGCAATATAAAGCAATGAACCTGCGCCCACCTTCACTGAATGATCAACATTCACTTTGGTGTAATGGGGTAAACCATCAGCATGTCCCTCCTGATGTGATGCACAGAGAAGAACATGATACCATTGCTGTGACAGTCCCACCCCAAATGCATAAGAATGTCACCACCAAGAAACATCAGCCAAATCCAAAGTAAGGGACATTCCATCAAATAACCATCTTGCGTTCTTCAAGAATACCAATACCATGAAAGATAAAGAAAAACTGAGGAGCTGTTCCAGGCTAAAAGGGACCTACAGAGACACAACAACTGAAAATAATTCATGATCTGGGATTATCTTTTGCTCCAATGTACACTATTGGGTTAACTGGCAAAATCTGAATGAGGTCCATACATTAGAAAACCGTATTGTAGCAGGGTTAGTTTCCTGATTTTGATCATTGCCTGGTTATATAAGAGAAAGTCCTTGTTATTAAGGAATACACAGGAATATTTAGGGGTAAAGGATAACTTATCTGCCACTTAGAAAATAATAAAGCAAATGGGGTAAAATGGTAGCACTGGGGAATCTCAGTGAAGGGTATAAAGGATGTCTTTGTACTATTCTTGCAACGCTTCTGTGTCTGGAAAAATAATAATAAATATTACATATTTAATAACTAAATAAATGAAAAAGCGTGCAATGTTTCTGCAGGTGTCAACCTTGGCGATGTAATAGGATCATCTCAGAAGCTCTGCATGAATATCAGTGCCCAGGCCCCAACCCAGAGATCCATAGTCAGTTAGCTGGGGGTGAAACTGCAGACATTGGCATGTGTGAAACACACCCCAAGGTCATTCTAGTGTGAATCCAGAATAATAAGCAGCCAGCTTAGCCCTTAGTGTCGTTGGGTGACAGGAAAGTTCTAGGCTGGGGACTTTCTGAGCCCCCCATGTCTGCTTGTTTTGAGATCTGATCTTGAGGGCAGCATGGTGACTCAAAACAGGAGCATAGTTGTGGGTCCAGTCTTGGTCCTTCCACTAATAAGATGGGAGACGTTGGGTCAGATCCCTTGCCTGTGCCAAGCCTGGGTTTTCTCAGCTGTGGAATGAGGTTAACCAGGAAGTGCCTCAGAGGCCAATGTGCATTCAAGAAAGAAGATGCCCAGCTCAGTAACTGATATGGTGTGGCTGTGTCCCCACCCAAATCTCTAATTGTAGTTCCCATAATCACCACATGTTGTGGGAGGGACCTAGTGGGAGGTAACTGAATCATGGGGTGGGTCTTTCCCCTGCTGTTCTCATGACGTTGAATAAGTCTCACAAGATCTAATTTTTTTTTTTGAGACCAAGTCTCACTCTGTTGCCGAGGCTGGAGTGCAGTGGTGTGATCTCAGCTCACTGCAACCTCCGCCTCCTCGGTTTAAGCAATTTTCGTGCCTCAGCCTCCCGAGAATCTGGGACAACAGGCATGAGCCATCACGCCTGGCTAATTTTTGTATTTTTATTAGAGATGGGGTTTCAACATGTTGGCCAGGCTAGTCTCAAACTCCTGATCTCAGGTGATCCACCCGCCTTGGCTTCCCAAAGTGCTGTGATTAGAGGTGTGAGCCACTGTGCCCTGCCTGATCTAATGGTTTTATAAAGGGGAGCTCCCCTGCACAAGCTCTCTTGCCTGCTGCCATGTAAGATGTGACTTTGCTCCTCCTACACCTTCTGCTATAATCATGAGGCCTCCCCAGTCACGTGGATCTGTGAGTCCATTAAACCTCTTTTTCTTTACAAATTACCCAGTCTCAGGTATGTCTTTATTAGCAGAGTGAGAATGGACTAATACAATAACCCTTACATCCCCGGACCCCAAAATGGAGTTGCCACAGGATGGCAGTCTGAAACCCTTGTGATGTCCAGCTGCAGAAAGGAATTTGGATGAGTAGGGCTGGCCAACTTCTGGTATTGCTGGCGGGTCCTGTCATTATGTGGGTGACTCCTTGCACCCCTGGCCCTTCACAGGACTAAATTCTGGGAGGGTTCTTGGGAAAGGGGCTAGAGAAGGCGAGAGGGCACCAGTCTTCTTCCAGGCAGTAAGAAGGCAAGCTGGAGAGGCCAAGCTCCCATGTAAACTGAGGCACCTCCACTGGCCCCTTTGTGAGGCATGCTTGACCTGGGTTTTATGGAAAGAAAGTGCCCTCACCAAAGGGTGCTAAACAAGGCCCCAAGCTCCACGCCTGATCCCAGGTGCCCCCCTCTGCCCTGCCCTAGTCTCACCTAAAGCTGTACTGCCCAGAGTCGTGGCCTCAGGCCACACATGGCTACTGGGCACTTGAGATGTGGCCATCTCAATGGAGATATGCTGTTAGTGTAAAATATACACTAGATTTCCAAGCCTTCATAAGCAAAAAAAAGAGAACATAAAATATCTCATTAAGAATTTTTAAGTATTCATTAATGTTGAAATAATAATATTTTGAATATATTGGTTAAATAAATTTACTAGGAGAATTCATTTCACCCCTTTTACTTTTTCTAATGTGGTGACTAAATTATTTAATATTACACATGTGGATTACATTATATTTCTATTGGACAGCTCTGTTCTAAAGTCTGCACATTGTCCTTTTGTGGCTTATTTCCCTGATAATTTTATTAAAATTAAATTGAGGGGCCAGGTGTAGTGACTCATACCTGTAATCTCAGCATTTTGGGAGGCCGAGGCAGGTGAATTACCTGAGGTCAGGAGTTTGAGACCTGCCTGGCCAACATGGTGAAACCCTGTCTCTACTAAAAATACAAAAATTAGCTGGGTGTAGGGGTGCGTGACTATAATCCCAGCTACTCAGGAGGCTGAGGCAGGAGAATCACTTGAATCCTGGAGGCAGAAGTAGCAGTGAGCCGAGATCACACCACTGCACTCCAGCCTGGGGGACAAGAGCAAAAATCCATCTCTAAATAAATAAATAGAAAAATAAAATTGAGGGCCAGGCACGGTGGCTCACGCCTGAAATCCCAGCACTTTGGGAGGCCGAGGCAGGAGGATTACCTGAGGTCAGGAGTTCAAGACCTGCCTAGCCAACATGGTGAAATCCCGTCTATACTAAAAATACAAAAATTAGCTGTGCTTTGTGGTGGGTGCCTGAAATCCCAGCTACTTGGGAGGCTGGGTTAAGTGAAGGTTAAGTGAAGGAGAATCACTTAAACCCGGGAGGCGAGGTTGCCGTGAGCTGAGATTGCACCAAGGCGACAATCTCGCTCTGGGCGACAGAGCGAGACCCTGTCTCAAAAAATAAATAAATAAATAAATAAAAATAAATTGAGGAAGGATTGAGCATGCAAAATAGAATCAGCCTTGGACCCTGAATGCCCTGCAGTGAGAATTCCCCTGTGGTTCTCAGGCTTCTGTAATTCCAGCAAATACACTCTTCCCTCAGGTTCACTAAAATGCAGATATTGTGAGATAATGCTCATTCCTCACAGCTTGCTTGAATAATAATAATGATCATTATAGTAATTTACAACTTAATAGTCAACACTGCCTTTTTAACCCAGTCTGTGAGACTGAATCGTAAACATGACATTCTTTAAAGTAAAGCTCTCAGTTAATATACCAGACTGCATAAACTCTAATAACTTACCTTTCCACGGAAAGAGAATATGTGGGTAATGAAGACAAATAGTGGAGAGTAGACTCTCATCAAAGACCCTCTGGCAGTAATAAGTTGCATTCCAGAAGGTTCCACGAGGTTCAGGGGAAGGGTGCAGTTTGGGATTGGTTCTCAGGTGTCTGTCTGACTCCTTTCTAAGGATGAAGGCTCCTGGTTCGTGTTTTAGCTACACCCACAGGAGCAACAGACTAAGACATTCCTCCACACAGTAACAGACCCAGGCAGTGCAGAGCCATGTGGGCCTTATCTGTCCCGTTGTCCACAGTCTGGTTTTATCTTAGACCCAGCCTGGTGCAATCCATGTTGTGTACTGGCACTCCACTTAAGCTTCCTGTTTGTAAAAAGCCCCTTTCATTCGGTGATTCCTCAGGGCTTTAAGGGAACTTTCTGGAAACCAGGAAGAAGGAAATAAAGGTTGTTTTGCTGAGGATGGGTGACGTTGGGCGCGGGACCCAAATGAGTGGTTTGAGCAGAAAGTCGCCTCCACGCTGGACTAATGCTTGGCAACATTATGGGAAAATTTCTGAGCCCAGAAGTTTATCATCTATTCACAGTTCAGAGGGATCCAGGGGTCAGATACGATGCTTCAGTTCTTTTTTAAAAATATATAGTACACAATCTTTATCAACAAGAGAAGACAAGGGACATGGAGGACAAACTGTGCACTCTACATAAAGTATACATGTAATGAGAAAAGTCACTGTCCACTGTTTAAGGTCCAGGGAAGAAAACAACTAGGAAAAGAGAAACTTCAAAAACAAGTTTTTCCTGCCTTTCTTTTTTTTTTTTTTTTTTTTTTAATAGAGATGGAGTCCTGCTATGTTGCCCAGGCTTGTCTCAAACTCCTGCCTTCAAGTCATCCTCCCACCTTGGCCTCCCACAGTGCTGAGATTATAGGTATGAGCCACTGTGCCTGGCCTCTGCCTATTTTTTTTTTTCCCCTGAGATGGAGACTTGCTCTGTCACCAGGCTGGAGTGCAGTGGCACGATATCGGCTCACTGCAACCTCCGCCTCCCAGGTTCAAGCGATTCTCCTGCCTCAGCCTCCCGAGTAACTGGGACTACAGGCATGTGCCACCACGCCCAGCTAATTTTTGTATTTTTAGTAGAGATGGGGTTTTACCACATTGGCCAGGATGATCTCAACCTCTTGACCTCGTGATCTTTCCGCCTCAGCCTCCCAAAGTGCTGGGATTACAAGCATGAGCCACCACGCCCGGCCTCTGCCTATTTTTAACACTGTCTATACCCAGCGGTAAATACTCCATTCAAGAGGCATTTGAGAAGATCAATAATGTCTTTAGGCCTGCGTTTCCAAACTATATAGAAACAAAGAATAGTAAAGTCTTGCAAGAAGATGCTCTGAAAAAACAAATGTATTATATACATCGTCAAATGTTTTTACTTTTATTGCAGGAAGCCATATTCATTTAAGAGCCACAGTAATCCTTGCTTAAGAACATGGTGCCTTTTTATTAAAAGGGTGTCCAGGGAAAAGATGCTTCAGTTTTTTAATCTGAGCTGATTCTGAAAACTGAAGTTCTATGGCACCAAAGTGAGCAGGAATGAGAAAATGCCCTCCCGTTGGACAGCATTCGTACATCACCCACTTGAAAATTAAATCTGAAACAGAGTTCTGACAGGCCTGCTATTTTCTTCAGTGCCAAGAGCCACACAATAGACCTTTTTTTGGGACAAAGCTCTTAAAATGCTTGGAAATTCAGATGGACTGAGTCACAAAACTGTACAAATACTGCACACCCATTCCTGCTGGTGCCCCTGCTCGCTCTCTTGGAAACAATACTATATTTTCCCTGTGTTTGGCAGAAGGAAAAAAATATTTTAAGTAGAGTTGTGACTTGTCTGAAGGGGTGATGGAGGGAGGCATGCTCAGAAAGTGGAAGCTGCTCTGCAGTCTTGAGGCCTCTGGGCAGGGATGGTAGTTACCATTTCAGAGGAGTCCGTCGACTCCTCCTTCTCGATGTGGGCTGTAAAACGATGCTTAGCCCCATGACCACACAAACTCCAGCGTATCTTGATAAGTGTATAACAGCAGCACAGACTGCTGAATGCACTGTTCACAAAGTAACACCCAAGCTGTCTGTATGTGAGTGCATGGAGGCTGGTGGGGTGGCAGGGGTTGGAGAGAGAGAGGTAGGGGGAATGAGAGCAGGAACACAGGGAAGGAGGAAAGTCGGGGAGGCAGTGGGAGATGCCAAAAAAAAAAAATCTCTGCACTATCTTCGTGACTTTCTCCTTCCTTTTTCATGTTCAAATCAAATTATCCACCCCCCATCATGCAACCATTTCACTGAGATTTTGAAATAATTGAGATGTGTTGCAAACACATCCTCGCACGTCAAGTGAGCAAGTGACTTCAAGTCTGAACACCTCTCCAGAGCAATATTTCACTTTGACGTTAATGATGGCCAAGAGTCTAGCTTGAGATGAAGGCAAAAGGGCCAAACACATAGACAAGGTCCTTGGAGGAAAGGAAGGGGGAAAAATTCTGACTAAAACCCCACTGGGCTAGAGAGGGTGGAGAAGCACAGCAGCCAGTGGATTTTCATTTCTTTGGCTTTATGGAACTGAAGACCTCCTTCGGGCTGCAGAAGGCAAGCTAGATTTGGAGAAGAGAGTCTTTCAGAGCTGTCTAGGGACTCCAGACTCAACTCTGATTTAAAAAAAAAAAGTGTTCACTTTTTTCAGGTTCTAAAAGTGTGGAAAATAAAACAAGGACAAATCTGCTGGTCTAGCCCAGGGTTCCTCAACCTTAGCACAAGGACTGCATGATTCTTTGCTGTGGGGGCGCTGTCCTGGACAGTGTCAGATGTTTAGCGGTGTCCCTGGCTTCTACTCACTAAGAGGCTGTGACAAAGAAAATTGCCTCCAGAGATTGCCAGATATTCCCAAGGGACAAAATCACTCTTGGACTGAGAATCACTGGTTTCAACTAAATATCAGGAAAAGCAAAATGTTCACTGGGTAAAGATCGCCGTCCCCTGTAAAGAGCATATAGCATTTTTGGCAAATGTTGACAAACCCAAATAACCTGCCTTGACTTGAATAGCCAGGGAGAGACACAGAAATCTGAGACAAGAAAAGACCTTTTGCCTCAAAGCCTTAGTTTATGGTTTTTGAGAGCTCTAACACTAATAAAAAATAATCCTGGGCCAGGCACAGTGGCTCCTATCTGTAATCCCAGCACTTTGGGAGGCTGAGACAGGAGAATCGCTCAAGGCTAGGAGTTTGAGACCAGCCTGGGCAATCTAGCAAGACCCTGTCTCTACAAAATACTCTTTTTTTTTTTTTTTTTTTTTGAGATGGAGTCTTACTCTGTCTCCCAGGCTGCGGTGCAGTGGCGTGATCTCGGCTCACTATAACCTCCGCCTCCTGGGTTCAAGCGATTCTCCTACCTCAGCCTCCTGAGTAGCTGGGATTTACAGGGGCATGCCACCACACCCAACTAATTTTTGTTGTTGTTGTTTGTTTGTTTGTTTGTTTTTAGTAGAGATGGGATTTCACCATGTTTGCCAGGCTGATCTCAAACTCCTGACCTCAGGTGATCTGCCCACCTCAGCCTCCCACAGTGCTGGGATTACAGGTGTGAGCCACTGCACCCACCCTACAAAATACTTTTAAAAATTAGCGGGGTGTGTAGTCCCAGCTACCTGGGAGGCTGAGGCAGGAGGAGCTGTTGAGCCCAGGAGGTTGAGGCTGCAGTGAGTCACAATCATGCCAGTGCACTCCAGCCTGGGTAACAGAATGAGACTCTATGAGAAATCATCATCAATCATCATCATCATCACGTCATCATCATCATCTTGGGACATTCTAACTTAAAATAAAAAAAATACGGAAATCAGATGAGAGGGACCTTTGCACTTGAAAGTGGAACAAGCAAGACCACAAGATCTGCTCTGTGTGGTTCTCCACAGCCTGCCGTGACCAGTTCCACAGAGCGGGACCACAGCACTGGGGTTCTCAAGACCTCTTTTCATTCTGAGTCTTTGTGTCCAGGGTGGCCTGTCCACAAAACATTTTGCATCATTAGCTTTGGAAGGAGCGTTCTGGCATTCAGGTTTCAGATAATAGAATGAAGTGTTTAAAATGACAATCCCTTAATTTTACAAGGAAATTGACAAAGGGAGGCATGTAAGCCTGAACTTGGGTTCAGTGTACATTTTTTTTAATGAAAAAGAGACTGTAAAATTATGTGAATTTCTTCAAGTATATCCCTCCAAAGCTGTACAAATTGGACTTCTAGATAAGATCATACATTCCCATTTCCACCTGTCATCTCCTGTTGAGCAGGCAGGGAGGGAAAAGGAGCTGGTGACCTGGGTTTCTCTTGTTCCTCAGTACAGTACGATGATTTATGATTTCTAAGCCTGAGAATTTCGGAAGCCACTGAACATGAAAAGAGTGAAAAATCTTCTAAGTCAAGAGAAAGAAAGGAGATAACTTGGTAGGACAGTGTGCTCTTCTCTCAGACTCTGAAACACTACTCTGAAAGCTGTCACGAGTACGCATCGCATGGGCCTTTGCAGACAAAAAGGATTATTTTATCCAGATTATTCCCCCACATTGCAGGGGAAAAGGGACTCATTTGTAATCATCAAAGGAATGCTGACAGACTTGAAATGGGATTACACTCTATTATACTCATCCGAATTAAAGATTTGTTTTGGAGATCATTCTTAGGTTTCTTCCTCTCTGCTCCTCCAGCCCCAGATGAGGTGATTTGTATTCACAGGGCATCAGAGGCAGACATGAAATCAGACTGTTCACAAACATACATTTCAGACTCCGTGGCCTGAGTTTTGAATTTTAATGTTGCCTGGTTTTCTGCGTGTGGAAAACTTGGCTCTCAGATTGAAACGAACCCTAAGCATCACTTCATCCAAGCATCATTTCATTCTCTAACTTGTTAGTGCAGGAGAAATTCATTTCCAGAGGCTTGAGTGAGCAAATGATACAGGTGTCGGAGAGAACATAAGGATGAGAAATTCATGTAAGGAAATGTAAAATCTATGCATAGCCAGAGTCATCTAGTAGGTCTGTGAACATACTTCCAAACACTCAGTTCCAAGCTCTGTGGTTTGCTTACTAGTTTTTGGAGAATGTGACCTGCCAAATCGATTGCTCATCCCTCAAACTCCTCTGTAATGTGTGTGTCCATGAACCCACTAAGAAGCAAGCTTCCCCAGGGAAGGAATGATTTTTTGGAGTAGGTTGTACCATATCTAGCACAGCATCTGGTACCTGAGAGGCTTTAGACTGTTTCCCATTCTTCCCTACAGAATTTCTAGTGTGTGGTCACCATGAAACTGAGGCTCACCTGTGGAGGAGCCTTGAGTATCTCAGGGTGGAAGTTATAGTCCTTGGAAGAGCTCAAGTGGGTCAAGAAAGTGTCTCATGACTTTTGCTATCAAAAGAGTGAAATATATTACAGAACATCCCTCTCAATACAAAAAGATTATACTCCCTCAGCAGGAAGACAGAGCAAGGAATGTGGATAAAGTGCATTCAAAGTTGTACCATTTCTTTGTCCACCATTTTTTTTTTTTTTTTTTTTTTTTTTGAGACAGAGTCTCACTCTGCTGCCCAGGCTGGAGTGCAGTGGCATGATCTTGGCTCACTGCAACTTCCACCTCCCATGTTCAAGCGATTCTCCTGCCTCAGCCTCGTGAGTAGCTGGGATTACAGATGTGCACCACCATGCCCAGCTAATTTTTGTATTTTTAGTACAGACATGGTTTCACCAAGTTGGCCAGGCTGGTCCCGAACTCCTGACCTCAAGTGATCTGCCTCGGCCTTCCAAAGTGCTGGGATTACAGATGTGAGCCACTGCACCTGACCCCTTTAATAGTTCTTTTAGTAAAGATTCATTAGCGGTAAATTTGTCTTTCCTTCACACACTCTTGAAAAGCAGTTAAGCTGGGTATATAATTCAGGACTGATGGTTGTTTTTTGTTTGTTTGTTTCTCAGAACCTGGAAAATATTATTTCGCTGTCTATGGCTCCCACTGTTTTTGTAGCAAAGACTTTATAGATAACATTTCCTTTACTATCTGATTGCTTTTAAGACTGTCACTTTGTCTTTAGTATTTTACAGTTTCAGTATGACACATTCAGGTATAAATTTATTTTATTTATCTTCCTTGGAATGCTTAACTCTGAATCTTTCATCAATCCTTAAAAATTAATCCTAGGACACCATCACTTTGAGTGTTGCCTCTCTCTCCTTTTCCCTACTTTCTTTTTCTGGAATACTGATCAGATGTATATTCAACCATCATTCCATCCTCCATGTCTTATGACTTTTCTTCCATGTTTTCCATATGTTTACCTGTTTTGCTTCATTCCGGATAATTTCTCCAGCTTTTTTTTCCACCTCACTGTTTCTCTCTTCAGCTATACCTAATCTGCTCTTCAACCTACCCATCAGGCTTTTCATGTCAATGAATATATTTTTCATGTTAGTAGATATCTTTGATTCTTTTACAAATACACCTGTTTTTTCTCGATAGCCTTTTGTTCCTTTCTCATGTTTTAGATTCCTTCTTAAATTTCTTTTTAGATTCCCTCTTTTTTTTTTTTTTTTTTTGAGACAGGGTCTTGCTCTGTTGCCCAGGCTGGAGTGCAGTGGCACAGTCTCAGCTCACTGCAACCTCCACCTCCCAGGTTCCAGTGATTCTCATGTCGCAGCCTTCCAACTAGCTGGGATTACAGGCACCCGCCACCACACCCAGCTAATTTTTGTATTTTTTAGTAGAGACAGGGCTTCGCCATGTTGGCCAGGCTGGTCTTGAACTCCTGACCTCAGGTGATCCACCCACGTCGGCCTCCCAAAGTGCTGGGATTACAGGCATGAGCCACCATGCCCAGACCTAGATTCTCTCTTTTATTACTTAAGAACCGTGTCATTGCTGCTGACTACTGCTCATATAATGTAATTTTGAATTGTGTGATCATAATCAGCAGCATTTTAGCTATAGGAATCTATAGATGGGCCTATATTGATGATATTCCCATGAAGGCAGTATCTGTGTGTTTGTTTTTGCCAGGTATCATGGGACAACTTTATTAGTTTCTCAACTTGGGTTTCCCAGTAAAGGTAATATGAATTCAAAACCCAGACTCTCCAAAAGGCAGAATTTTGATTACACCATCTCAAGAGACATTATTTTTTTCTCCAATCCTGAACCTAGGCTATGACAAGTTTCCTTGTCATCTTTCTTTACAAGAAGGCTGATTTGTTTTACATCCACCTTTTAATGAAGGCTTAGGTTTTCAAAGTCCTGGCTTTATATAGAGGTCTTTATTCTAATTCCTCACTATACAGTGGTCTCACTCCTTATCGCCTGCGCTCAGGCACCTGTTAAATCTTCGTTGTCAAGACCATCAAGCAACTCCAACGTAGCCATAGGGTTAGCACCAGCTATCATCCCTAGTTCTCTATTCTCTCTTCATTTTTGTTTCCTCACCACTCATTTATACATTAAAAGATTTTTCTTATATTTTATTCAGCATTTCTAGGTGTTTTGTTGGGGAAATAGTTTCAGAACACCAATTTCCAGAAACAAATTACAGACCCAATTCTATAATCAGTTCTTTGAGGCTAGATGGTACTATCTTTAAACAGGACAAGGAATGGACATTACTTATGTAAGTCCTGGGAAAGATTTGGCTCTAGGAAATGAAGAGATAAACATGACAGAAGTGCCACTGCTTTAAACTGCATGTAATTTATTTTGTTTTATTCCCTTGGTATTAGAAAGGCTACCTGGATTCAAATCCCCAAAAGTTACTAAATTGCTCTTTGCCTCAGTTTCTTGAACTTTTTATACTAGCATCTCCTTTATAGCTACAACTGGGAGGATTAAATGAGTTAACATGAAGTTCTTTGAACAGTGTCTGGCATAGAGTGCTTTATGTGCTTAATAAATTATTTTTAGGGCCAGGCACAGTGGCTCACTCCTGTAATCCCAGCACTTTGGGAGGCCAGGGCGGGTGGCTCTCTTGAGTCCAGGAGTTTGAGACCAGCCTGGGCAACATAGTGAGACCCTGTCTCTACAAAAAAAAAATGCCAAAAAAAATTAGCTAGGCCTGCTGGCATGTGACTATAGTCCCAACTACTAGGGAGTGCTGAGGTGGGAGGATGGCTTGAGCCCCAGAGGTTGAGGCTGCAGTGAGCCGTGATTGCACCACTGTATTCCAGCCTGGGTGACAGAGCAAGACCCTATCTCAAAAGTAAAAGATAATTTTTTTTCTTTTTTCTTGAGACAGGGTCTCGCTCTATTGCCCAGGCTGGAGTGTGGTGGCATGATCTTGGCTCACTGCAACCTCCGCTTCCCAGGCTCAAGCAATTCTCCTGCCTCAGCCTCCCGAGTGGCTGGGATTACAGGCGCCCACCACCATGCCTGGCTAATTTTTGTATTTTAAGTAGAGACAGGTTTCACCCTATGGGCCAGGCTGTAAAAATTTTTTAAAACCCTAAAAGTATTTTTAACTCACCAACTTTTTTACTCATACTGAGGGAAACCAAGTAAAGAAGTTACTGCCTCTGCTGAGCCGGTGGTGCACACATGGGAGCCAACTAAAGGGGTGGCAGAACGAGATACCCCAAGGGGCAAGGGGAAACTCAGAAGACACCAGAATCACTTGGTCAGCTGCCTTTCCAACCCAAGATTCTTTTTCCAGTACTAAAATCTTCATGACTGTAGGATTTAGGATTTATGTTATTATGAGAAACCATTTCCTTACAGAAGGATACAAATATACCAGCCTCATTAAAATAGTGACAAAGTATCATAAAACTTCAGACCTCCCCCCAGCCCCCACCCCCGCTCCCACCTTCTTGGTCCATTGCTCAGCTTCAGTGACAGTATGTTTTTTTGTTTGTTTGTTTGTTTTTGTTTTTTGTTTGTTTTTGTTTTTACAGGAACTCGCTCTGTCACCCAGGCTGAAGTGCAGAAGCACGATTTCGGCTCACTGCAACCTTCACCTCCTGGGTTCAAGTGATTCTCCTGCCTCAGTCTCCCGAGTAGCTGGGATTACAGGAGCATGCCACTATGCCCAGCTAATTTTTGTATTTTTAGTACAGATGGGGTTTCACCATTTTGGCCAGGCTGGTCTCAAACTCCTGACCTCAAATGATTCACCTGCCTCGGCCTCCCAAAGTGTTGGGATTACAGGCGTGAGCCACAGTGCCCGGCCATCAGTATGGATATTTAAAACCCAATAGGTACTGGGTTCAAATCCTGCTTCTAAATTTTATTAGCAGCTGTGGAGCTGGGGAGAGCAGTACGCAAGTCAGGCAATAGGGGTGGGTAACGAGGGAGCAATTGTTCTCTCATAGTACATTACCCTCAAAGTGGTGCCTCACTAAGAATTTTAAAGATATTAAGCCAACAGGATGGCTGTGAAGATCAGTGACCTCCAAATTTTTTTAACTCATGAACTCATCTACGCAACAAACCTTCCCATGCACCCCCAAACCTAAAATAAAAGTTTTAAAAAATAATTATTATTACTGGCAGAAACAATTATAAAAAACATTATGAACAGAAACATTTTGAGAACACATCTCCAATATATGCACACTTATTTATAAATTACATGTTGTTCTGTCAATTTATATGTTAATTATAAGCAAAACTTAACTCCTTTTTTTATTAAGATGGAAAACCAATAGGCAAGAACAGAAGTTCTGACATGTTTTTCCTACCCCACTGGACCACTTTGTGAGTGCACCCACTTTGGAAGGACTGTGATGAAATGATGCTGATGGGAGGGTAGGAAAAGGTCAGTCTATTCAGAAGGTAACCAAAATGGCAGCAATGACCCCATGAACTTTCAAGAAAGGTTAGGCAAATTGTGGTACTTTTTTTTTCTGGCCTTGCTCCTCCCTACCCCCAACACCCTTGCAGGCGAAGTCCCCAGCCTGGCCCCATCCCTGTACTCTGGCCAGCCCTGGTGCTGGAGCCTGCCTCAGCTCTGCTCCCTAGCTGGGTGGTCTTGGGCAACTTTGTTACCCTCTCTGAGGCTGAGTTCTCATCTGCAAATGAGACTGGTCCTGATCTCACAGAGTTGCTACGAGGATGAAATCAGATAAAACTGAGTTCAATTAACTTTTACCCTCTTCCTTTCTGTTTCTTCCCTGAAACTGCTGCTAGGCTCCCCTTTCCAATAAAGCACCTGGGAGACCAAAGCCATCAATAACAGGGACCACTTGTGGGCCGAGACTCTTCTCTGCCATAAAAAGAGCCGGCAGAAAACTTTTCAGATGTAGTCACTTTCCATGGAAACAGATGAGCAGATTCAGACACTGGCTATTCATCTCTCTTCTTCTGTGGCCTCTAGACAACTCCTTCGGACATTTGGTTTGTTTTTCTTTAGTTACGAGCTGGCTTTTCACTCCATAAATTTTTTTAAAGTAAAGATAAATCTTGAATAAAAAGGATGATGTGACTGAGGCATCATGAAATGCAGAGGGAAGGGTGTGTGCATGCGTGTGTTTGCATGGCTGTGCATGCACAGGTGTCTGTGTTGCGAGGTGCTGATATGCTGGGGAAATACAGTCCTGGTCTCCCTGGTGATGAGCCCTAGGGTAGGGGGTGAAGGGGACACCCAGCCACACTCTGTGCCCTTGGATGACCTGATGCATGGGCAGAAGGTCACCCTCCCCTCTGAACTCCAGAGGTGTCCTCAACTCTAGCTGCATATTAGAATTGCCTGGGGAGCTTTCAAAAAGAGATCAGTGACTGGCTCTCCCAGGGCCAATTACATCAGAAGTCTTGGGGTGCAGCCTGAATGTCCATAGATATTTTTTTAGTCTCCCCAGGAGATTTTATTGTGCTGCCAGGACTGAGACCCAATGCTTATCTGAAAGCAAATAACAGGGTTCAACCTCTCCAAAATGAACAACTGTGTCCATCAATACTGAGTTCCCACCTCAAGGCCCCCGGGATCAATTGAATTACCATATTTCTATACCCTGGAATTCCTGGCCAGTGAAATAAAGAGCTATCAGTCAGGTTTATTTATTGGGCTGCAAATGATCTAAGTTTTGGCTGAACTGCATCCCACTAAAATTCAAACATTGGAGTCTAATCTCTAGCACTTCAGACTATGATAGTATTTGGAGACAGGGCCTTTAAATAGGTGACTACATGAAAATGAGATCATTTGAAGGAGTCTAGTCCAATATGACTGATATCCTTGTAAGAAGAGGAGGTTAGGACACAGACACACATGGAGGGAAGACCATGTGAAGATACAGCAGGGAGATGCCATTTACAAGCCAAGGAGACAGGCCTCACAAGAAATCAACTCTGCCAAGACCTTGATCTTGAACTTCTAGCCTCCAGAACTGTGATAAAATAAATGTTCCTTGTGTAAGCCACCCAGTCTGTAGTACACTGTTATGGCAGCCCTAGCAAATTAATACAATCTGGTACCAAGTACCACTTAATGCTCACTTGGGCTACCAATGGCAGGGACTGGAACACTGGCCCAGGCCAGGTGGGGTGGTGCACACCTGTAATCCTAGCTACTCAGGAGGCTAAGGGAGGAGGATCGGTTAAGGCCATGAGTTTGAGGCTGCAGTGCACTATAACTGCACCTGCAAATAGCCACTGCACTCGGGCCTGGGCAGCAGAGCATGACTCCATTAAAAAACAACAACAACACTTCTATTATAGAGTGACCTTTGTTTGAGGTCTGGGGACATTTGGGTACAAGGAAGGCCTTAAAGACTGCCCCACTCTCCTTGTTTCCCATCCCCTGTCCCTTCTACTTCTCACATTCACCACTATGTGCCCTAGGACAAAATCAAATGTGGAAACATTTGGTCATGTCTACTTTGTCCAAGGGTGGGAGTTCTTGAGGAATTCAAGTGGGAACTAGAACAACTTTCTACCCTTTCCTTCCCTTCCTTCCTCCCCACCTCTACCTAGAAGCCCATCAATCACTTTGAACTTCTTGGAGAAAAAAGGAAACAAAAGAAAAAGAAAAGGAGAGGCTGGGTGCGGTGGCTCATGCCTATAATCCCAGCACATTGGGAGGCCAAGGTGGGTGGATCACTTGAGGTCAGGAGTTCGAGACCAGCCTGGCCAAAATGGTGAAAACATGTCTCTACTAAAAATACAAAAATTAGCTGGGTGTGGTGGTGGGTGCCCATAATCCCAGCTACTCAGGAGGCTGAGGCAGGAGAGTTGCTTGAACCTGGGAGGCAGAGGTTGCAGTGAGCCGAGACTGTACCACTGCACTCCAGCCTGGGCAACAGAGTGAAACTGCGTCTCAAAAAGAAAAAAAAAAAAAAAAAAAGAAAAAGAAAAAGAAAAGGAGAGAAAGGAAAGAAGCAGGGAGGAAAGAGAAGACCCAGCTTACCTTCAGCAGAGAAACAACACAAATTAGAAGCACACACACACACACACACACAAAACAGTAAGTACTGAGGGACCATCACAAACTAAATACAAGAGACACACTGAAACACCACTCTTTAAGGCAAAAATATGAGGATCCCTTGCTTTTTATGGCTGCTACTCAAGAGGGCACCCCTCCCTCCTCTCAGCACTCATCCTCAAGCTCCAGCTCCCTGTCTTGTTCTCTGAACAAAGAACTATGGGCATAGCATTATACTTCTGGGGTTTGTTTTGTTTTTTAAGTCAATGATGAATTTAGACGTCTCAAGCCAAATCCTCAATTTGAGAATGCAGTCAAATGAAGAGAACTCTATCCCAAAGAGGAAAGTGGATGAAAGCCAAGCACATTTGAGTATGAGATTAAGGATCAGAGGCACTAATTTTGCATGAACTTCTCTTGCCTTCGCTGGGATTCATTTTTAATGCAGTGATGATAGCCTTCCAGTGGCCGCTGGCGACATCTCAAAATCTTTGGAGATGAGAGAGAAGGCGGTGTTTGGGGAGCCTGTTTACTAGCAAGCTTGGAGGTGATTAGAACAAGTCACGAGCATGGACAGGGAGGAGGAGGGGGCCATGATGCTGCCTCTGGCTTATTAAGAGTGAGATCGATGCTGGAATCCCTGAGGGCAAAAAAAAATCAATGACCCAGGAAAACGACACCAGCTGACAGCCCCAGGAAAAGGCTCAAGGAAGAGCCGCAAAGAAGAGAAAGGCTTAAGGAACTTTCCAAAACTCTGCACTGCTAATCTCCTGGGGGGAGAAAGGGGCCTATATTGTACAGACAATGGCTGGGACCCCTGACATTCTGGCACTTTCTTTCACATGGATACACCATCCTCCCTCCTCCTTCACAGGGCAGAGGGATCCCAAGTTTCCTCTATCCTCTGCTAGTTTTTGATGTTCCCTTTATTTAGAAAAACAGGCAAGTATCTGCATTGTCAAACACTGCTCTCTAGCCCTGGTTATTGTGATCAGGCTCTGCAGGGGAGGATCCACTGTCTCCTTCCAGGCCTCAGTTTTGGTTTCTATGCACTCCTTCAAGTTCATAAAAAGGAACAGGACCGACTGTCCCAGGAACACAGGCGGCAAGCTTTGAGGCCACATGGGGTTCGCGTCAGCTGAAACACTGAACCGAACAATAAGATGGTCATCTTTGGAGCTTAGGAATTTGCAGAGGGAGGGCGGCTAAAATCCAAGTCAAATGAGCCAACTTTGGAAGATGATCTTTCTTTCTCCCTGAGATTTTTCTAATATTTCCCTGACCTCACATGATATAGAATTAAGGTTTAAATTTAAGTGCATCAGTGGTTTGGGAGGACATTATATTTCCTTTCTTCTCCCCAAAAGGCTTCTGACATGTTCTGCCTAATCTTCAGATCTCTGGAGAGCATCACTGATGAGAGGAAAAATGGGGGCTCGTTGTGGGTGGCAATATCACCACCTACTGCTGGCTCAGGGAGTTTGAAACCCTGGAATTTAGGTTCGTATGGAAAGCAGAAGAAAATGCCTTTTATCATTTATACTATTTAGAATAACATGTATCAAATCATTCATTTTACTAAGGAGTTGATAGCTCAACTCCACTGTATGTAACAGTTGCTAGATACAGACAATTCCAAACTTGGGTGGTAATCTATAGACTGTTACAAGTATTGCAACTGCTTCCCTAAAGCAACAGAACTCTAAGTGTCTATAATCTGTGAAAACAATCTAATGGTTACACTGCAATTTGCCTAAAGCAATATTTGTTCAGTTGCAATGATGTCACAAACACAAAAAGGCTTGTCAGTTTTCAATTATTTCCTTAGAATTCAGAGCTAGATGGTGGCTGAACTCAGAACTGCTTTCCATAGCTCAAATCAGCTAATACAGAGCTTTTCTAGCAGCCAAGAAAGTTCTAGTAGTACAAAAAAAAAAGTTAATAGCCCTTGAAAAGTCTGATGCATTTCCCCACAACTCTTACCACAGAGTTCTGATCCTGGGATGCTTGATTTTAAGGGCCGTGGGTGGCTTGCCAAATAGGCCTTATCTTGGCTTCCTTTGCTAGGTAGGAATACTGCCTTGATATTACATATTCAAAGCAAAGAACCTCTGACCTAAGGGCTCTCCACTAACAATGACATTCTCTGTAAGTAAACTAGAACCCCATCTCAACTTCTGGTTTGCCCTTGTTCTTTGCTATGTACTAGCCTACTGCACAAACAGGACTGAGGAGGACTCCCTTTACCACCATTATGTTGCAAAAGACTCTGCACTGAGGACCCGATAGGGACCGACTGTGCAAAGCCTGAACTTGGCAGAAGATCCCTGGAGAAGGAGGAGTATGGGGCTCAGAGCTGCTCCCTAAGCTGGGCTGGGGAAGGCTGAAGGCCTCCAGCCTTGCCAGAGGGAGATCCAGGTGTGCTTCAGCGGCAAGGACATGTGTTACCTTAAGCAACTGCAGCGCTAACTTAAGCATGTGCTCCTATGGCTATCGTCAACCTAGAAATCCCTTTCACTTTGGGGCGTCACACCTGTAAGCTCAGAACTATCTGAGATCCGCTGCGAGAGCCTGGATCACGATTCCCAAAAAGAAAAGCCTCCTAGTTTATTCGAGAGTAGGAAGTCATTATTTTCTGTGAAGGAAACTGGAATTGGAGAGGGAGGACCCTGGTACACTTTGGCAGAGAGGCTCCTCTCTCTTATCTAAGTATCTCCTCATCCCTCACTGCCTTTCCACCAGACCTCCAGTCCCCGCGGGCTTCCCTTTCTACCTGCCAATGTGGACTCGAGGTCAAGTGTCCCCTGGGCTAGTCTCCTTACATGGGCAAACGGGCTACGCGGGTGACAAACGCGGCGCAACGCCTCCGACCACAACACGTGTATTTTACAGCGCTGGGCGCGGCACAGGGCTCAGTTTAAGGAGCCTCCATAGAACGAGCGTGGCTCAGGACCAGGTCCCTAATGCTAGGAAATTGACGAGGTCAACAGCAGGGCGAGAAACTCTGAATACATTACACACCCTTCCTTCTTGGGAGTGGCAGTCCCCCGTCGCCACTTCACTCGCAGCCATCTATATGCCAAGGGCTCACACCAGACAAGTGTCTGTGAGCACGCCTCAACTTTAATCCTACCCCGCCGTGTCCACTGGTGCGGCTGCCCCCAGTCGAGGGTTCACCTGGGCGCTCCGCGGTGCCGGGGGCACACAGCCAGGGAGGGCGCTCTTACCAGAGAAGTCGGTGAGCGCTGAGATCTCTTTGGAGCAGACCAGGACAGTGCAGTAGAAGAGGCGCAGGAGCTGCCCCGGCGGCTCTACCTGCCGGCGGAGGCCGGGATGCTGCACGGGCTGGGGCGTCGGCGGTTGGCGTGCGCGTCCCGGCAGAAGCATCGTGCGCTGCGCGGCGGGGCGGAGGCGCAGGCCCGGGACGCGCTGGGGGTCGCAGGGCTAAGGACGGCGTCACATGGCGGGGAGAATCGATGGCCAGCGGCTCCGCGGCCCCCCGCCGCCTCCCTGCCCAGGCTGCCAGAGCCTCCTCCCCTGCGCGGGCCAGCCCAGGCGCCCCAGCAAAGGGGAGGGGGCGGAGAACTGGGGCGGGGCGAGGATCCCCGAAAAGGATCCGCGTAGTTTCCCCGAGAGGAAATCTCCGTTGCCGCCGTGCCGGAGGAAGCGAGGGGGGCCGTAGGGAAAGCGCAGCCTTCGCGCGCCCCGCGGCTGCCCAGGCCGATCCCTGGCGCGCTGCCCACCGCGGAGGGCGCCCCCAGTAGCGCGCCCCGGGCCGCGCACCTTGAGCGCCTTCCACACCCGGGAAACAGCCGGGCACCCGTGGCCCTGCCCGCGCTGGCCGGGTGCCAGCCTCGCCCTGGCGGCAGAAGGAGCGCGGCCGGTGCCCGTGACGCACTTTGGAGCCAGCGCCGCGCGTGCAGCTGGGGCGCCCCCGGGGCGGGGCCGATCGGGGGCCGCAGGAAGGTGGGGTCCTGGAGGCGTGGGATCGCACCGCTGCCATCCCCGCCACCCGCCGCGCGCCACGTGCAGTCACCCGGCACATACAGTTATCGCCATTCCACAGAAGAGGAGACTGAGCCCCGGCGCCGTGCCCAAGCTCTCGCAGCCAGGACGGCGACGAGCTGGAGGTCTCAAAACCGGTCAGATGGCTCCGGAGCCGGGATCTTTAGCTCCAGCTCGGCTTCCTTTGGGTGCTGGTTGTCCGCAGCGCTGGGGGATCTGACACTGCACCGGCGCAAACAGCCGCCGAGCGCTAATAATTGGGCTTTGTTTTAAAGTGGGCCACAGCATCTTTCTGAACCTCTAGACTGTGCGCGGGGTGACCCACGTTCGGACGCCCAGCCAGTGGCCTAGGAGTGGCCTGCGTAGCCCCAACTCAAGGGTATCGAGGACAAGTGCGCGAGGGGCTCCGTGGCTGCTTGCCGGGTGCGGGTACCTGGCGCCCAGCGACCCAAACCCTATGGATCGCGCGGGGCCGGCGGAAGGGAGGAGGGCGGGCGCTAGGCACACAGTGTTCCCGAACCCGGCGGGAGGGCCTGCCAAGTTCGCGGCGGGCGTGACGCGGAAACGTAGATAATGAGGCCCAGGGCGGGGCCGGACGCACTGCCCCGCGGGCTCCAGAGCTGCGAACGCCCCAGAGTGTGCAGGGAGGCCTGCAGAAAGAAAATGCGGCTGAGGGTCCCCGTGGGACCCACTCAGAGGTGGGCCGTAAAGATCCCGGAAGGGTGGATGGCATTAGATACCACCTAGTACTCCAGCAAGGGCTGGGTCACCGAATTGGGATCTCGGCCTCTTCTTCCAGTCTGGGGAAAAGTGTGTTAAATGCTAAACATCAGTGTTTATCGAGTGAGGCCCAGCCTGTCTGGCATAATGATTTTTAAAATCTACATTCAAATATTAAATAAAAACTCAACCTCCCCAATAACATTTGAACATAAATATTAGTGTGCGCTCTCTAGGTTAGGGAAACTGAAGCTGGGAGTGTGGGTAAGGATGCCCAGCACTTAGGAGCCACAGGGTAAGTAATGTTTGTCCAAAACTCGGGTCCCTCCTGTACTTTCCATTCTGTCTGTTCATTCATCCAGTTTAGATATGAATTGGTACCAACGTGTGCCAGGTTCTGCGCTAGTGACTGACAGTGTTGGCACAGGGAGGCAGCCATGCTCCCGAGTCCTGGGAGTGGGCAGCACTGCCCTGTGGGTCTGCACTGGCTTCCAAATGTCTAAGTGGGCACTGTTACTCACTGTGACAGCATCCCCAGGCTTTCTTACCTGGTAAAGCAGAAACTCAAACATACTTACACACCAATATTCATTGCAGCATTATTTATGATGGCCAAAAGATGGAAGCAACTCCAGTGGATGAATGCATACAGTTACTATTACAGCAGGGAAGACAGACATTGGAAAATAATGCCCCGTGAACGGACAGTCACGAAAGACAGGAACCATGGGAGCAGAAGCGAGGAATGAAGGAGCTGAGCCCGAGGGAGGAAGGGAGATATTCAGGAGCATTTTAAGGCAAGATGGATGAGAAAGCTAGAGGATGAATTGGCCAAGCAAAAACTAGCAAAACCCGGGTGTTGCGGGAGGATGAACATTTTAGAAAAAGGGACCAGCATGTTGAAATCCAAAAGGAGCATGGCTGTCTTGAAGGATGGGGAAAAGTCTAGACAGCTGGAGCAGAGCAAAGGGAAGAGCCAGGGGACTTGGAGGTAGGCAGGCCAGAGCTCAGGGCCCTGGAGACTTTGGTGAGAATTTCCGTCTTTTATCTTAAGCCAGCAAAGAACTGTAAGTACAAAAGTGATGTGATTGGATGTGTGTTGGTAAAAAGTCCTTCTCGGCTGCTGAGTGCAAATGGACTGGAGGAGTCAAAAGCAGGCCCTGGAAGTATGTGTGCCAAATAACTAAAAGCAGAGACAGACTCAAACAGATACTTATGCACCAATATTCCTTGCAGCATTATTTAGAAGAGCTGACAGATGGAAGAACCTCAGTGGATGAATGGATAAACAATATATGGCATGTGGCCGGCTGCAGTGGCTGGTGCCTGTAATCCCAGCACTTTGGGAGGCCGAGGTGGGTGGATCACCTGAGGTCAGGAGTTCAAGACCAGCCTGACCCACACGGTGAAACCCCATCTCTACTAAAAATACAATATTAGCCAGGTATGGCGGCACACGCTTGTAGTCCCACCTACTCGGGAGGCTGAGGCAGGAGTATTGCTTGAACCCGGGAGGCAGAGGCTGCAGTGAGCCAAGGTTGCACCACTGCACTCCAGCCTGGGCAAGACAGAGCGAGACTCCGTCTCAAAAAAGAAAAGTGGGTCTGGGGAGATGGCCGTGGTGAGGGAGAGAGTGCAGTCAGGGGTTTATGGCTGTGCTTGGGCTGATGTGCTCGCTGTACACCCAGAAAGAAGAGGAGAAGCGGCCACAATGGAAGGATGTTTAGAAGGCAGATGGACAGCACAATGCGACCGGGCAGTCGTGGGCTATGAGAGGGTCTGAAGGACGTCTCCCTGGCTTCCCTCTGTTTTGTCCCTTAGCCCCTCACTGTTAAATCAGAAGATTTTGGTCCTAATCTGATCTCTTTAAGAATTTTGGAATCTTGCGAGAAAACTGAATTGCTCAGTTATCTTTCTCTCTGGACCCCACACTTTTCTAAGAGCTTTGTAGGTCAAATACCTTAACTCTGAGGCACTATAACAACTCATAGGACGGAAAAGTGGGAAAAGGAATATATGTTTCAAAGAGGGATGAACAGTGTAAAATCAATCTGGGGTCTGGAGAGAAATAATCTTTTCCACCGAGGCAGTTTTCCTTAAATGCTTTCTACTATGATGGAATTTGAATAATAAAAACAGTCATAGCCACTTGGTATTTCAACACAGTTATGGGAGCTGGAATTAAAGTGAATGATGACTGGTGTGCCAAATAATAAAGTGTTTCCAAAATATTAATACTCACAACAACCCTTTGAGATAGGTACTAACTAGGCTAACTACGTCATTTACTTGCCCAGTGCAAAACGAAAATGTGGGGCCCCTCGTTCAAGGATTATTAAGAATTCCAGGATGATAATAGCAGAGCATTAAACCAAGCATAGTTTAATGCTTTGAACACAGGGCCCTGAGTGATTGCTCAGGTCATATGAAGCTGGCCCAGGTACAACAGGAATCTTCATTTCTCAGATGGGGAGACTGAGGGCACAGAGTCATACTGACCGTCCGAACCAAGACTTGAAGCCCTCTTATACTGCAAAGGCACAGCAATTAGGTGGAGGTAAAATAAAGGGTTCTTTTCTAAGTGATGGCACCATTGGGCAATCTTGTTCCTTCTTGTACTAGTTTGAAAAGTGCCTCTGTAGTCACAGCATTCAGTCCATGTGTGCAAGAGGCAACCTTTACAGGACATTGTAAATTACACGTCTTACTTTCTGTCTCTTTGTTTTCTTTTAAAGCAATTCCTGCACCTTCTTTTCAGCTCCATGTTACATCTCTATTTTCCTTCTTCCTTGAGATCCTAGCTACTTGTCTCTCACCCTCTGCCATATCCAAGCCTATTTATTTTTTCTTTAGGTGGAGTCTTGCTCTGTTGCCCAAGCTGGAGTGCAGTGGCACGATCTTGGCTCACTGATATCTCCGCCTCCTGGGTTCAAGTGATTCTCCTGACTTAGCCTCCCAAGTAGCTGGGATGACAGGTGTGCACCACCACACCCAGCAAATTTTTTTTCTTCTTCTTCTTTTTCTTTTGTATTTTTAGTAGCGACAGGGTTTCACCTTGTTGGCTGGGCCGGTCTTGAACTCCTGACCTCAGGTGATCCACCCACCTCGGCCTCCCATAGTGCCGTGATTACAGGCTTGAGCCACCAGGCCCAGCCACCAAGCCTATTATGGGAGATGTTTATGTGCTTCACACTCAGACTGCAACCCTGAGCCATGTCCTCTCACCTGGGCCATTGAGGTAAGGTTTTTGGCTTCCAACAAATGGGCTGTAGCCCTTCTGAGAAGACATAAGCTGCCATTTGGAAACCTCAAAGAAACCAACCTTTCAGCTCAGGAGAGAGAGGCCCAATGTCGTCTGGAGCTTAAAAGGCTTTTTTTTAGAAAGCAACAAATGGTAGTTTGTTTCTAGAGCTGGCACCACAGAGCCGCATCAATAGCAAGGAGCCTGCTTGGTCAGAACTGCAAAAGCCACAGTGCACTAGAAAAGTTGTGTGGGAAGGTGTGGCCCCAAAGCCTGCAGAAGGAGGTTTTTGTTTTGTTTTGTTTTTTGAGATGGAGTCTCGCTCTGTCACCCAGGCTGGAGTGCAGTGGTGCGATCTCGGCTCACTGCAACCTCCACCTTCTGGGTTCAAGTGATTCTCTTGCCTCAGCCTCCTTAGTAGCTGGGGTTACAGGCATGTGCCACCATGCCCAGCTAATTTTTATATTTTTAGTAGAGATACGGTTTCACCATGTTGGTCAGGCTGGTCTCTAACTCCTGACCTCCTGATCTGCCCGCCTCGGCCTCCCAAAGTCTGGGATTACAGGCATGAGCTACTGTGCCCGGCCAGAAGGAGGTCTTTAAGAATATGTGCACAGCAGTCAACTGATGTCTGTACTGACAGCCCATCCGAGGTCAAAGGCATCTCATCCAATAGTGTCAACCTATATTCAAATAGCCACTCAGGAGACCTCAGGTCAAGTCCCAGCTCTGCCACTGAGACAGAGGAACCCACAGAGGCACTTGACTCGCCTGTCTCTCACTTTTTCACATTTGCAAAATGAAAAAAATGAATGCTAAAATCCATTTTGACTCTAAAAACCCATAACCTATTTAAAATAGATGTAGGATTTCAAAAAAATCAGGCTAAATCTATACTGATTCTTTTCATTCCTGAGTGTTTTCTTAATTATGTATTCTCACCTTTTGCATATGCTATCAGTTTATATGTGAATCATTGTCTTTGTAAAAGAAGAATGCAGCACGTGCAAACTCTTGGAAGTTTTTGAAGCGTTGTGAAGGACTGAATTCAGATCCATGGGAAATTTTCAAGGCCGAGTGCAGTGGGTATCAGGCCTGTAATCCCAGCACTTTTAGGCCAAGGCGGGAGGATCACTTGAGGTCAGGAGTTCAAGACCAGACTGGCCGACATTGGGAAACCCCATCTGTACAAAAAAATACAAAAATTAAAATTAGCCAGGCATAGTTGCATGCACCTGTAGTTCCAGCTACTTGGGAGGCTGAGGAAGGAGAATCGCTTGAACCTGGGAGGTGGAGATTGCAGTGAGCTGAGATCGTGTCATTGTACTCCAGCCTGGGTGACAGGGCAAGACTCAGTCTCCAAAAAAAAAAAAAGGGAATTTTTCAGTGTGGGAATTCCCAAGTGTTCTAAGTGGCACACTCAGTTTCTGGGGGACACCATGGATTTCATCCTGGAGAAAGCAGGTGCCTTTTTCCCCATCGAGGGAGGCAGGAAGGTGCTGCTTTCAACAGAAGGCCTGAGGTGCCAGTGATCTGCTGCCTTCAGCAAATGCTACAGGGAGCCGGGCCAGCCTGGGCTGTAGCTGGGAACAAAGGGCAGAAACCCCTACTCCCTCTCTCCACCCTCCTTACTGCTCTTCCCTTCCTTCCGGGCACCAGGCACTCTTCCAACCTAGTGCTCTGCCATCATTAAGGAAAGTGTGCTAAAGGAAGGAAACTCCCTAGAACGTTGGAAAGCAGCAGCTCTGGTTCTGCTAAACCAAGCTTGCCTGGTCACGCTTTAGGGCAGTCGTTATTGGTGTGGGCTCTGTGGTCAGAGCTCAAAGATGCAAATCCCATCTCTGCCATGACTGGTACTTGTGTTGTGGATTGTGGTGGAGTTTAGAGCCTGAAGAGCCAGTCGGGACCAGGTGTGGTGGCTCATGCCTGTAATCCCAGCACTTTGGGAGGTCGAGGCAGGTGGATCACCTGAGGTCAGGAGTTTGAGACCAGCCTGGCTAACATGGTGAAACTCTGTCTCTAATAAAAACACAAAAATCAGCTGGGCATGGTGGTGCGTGCCTGTAGTCCCACCTACTCGGGAGGCTGAGGCAGGAGAATTGCTTGAACCTACGAGGCGGAAGTTGCAGTGAGCCAAGACCATGCCATTGCACTCCAGTCTGGGCAACAGAGGGAGGCTTCATCTCAAAAAAAAAAAAAAAAAAAAAAAAAAAAAAAAAAAAGGAGCCAGTCAGAGTAGAAGCTTCACACATGGGCACATGGGTAGCCATGACAATAAATATAATCATTTTATGGACTTTGCATATTATTTTTTATTGGGTATAAGATAGTGTTTGGTTTTAATTTATTTTTTAAATTTTGTTTTTTTGTTTTTGAGACAGTCTCACTCACTCTGTCGCCCAGGCTCGAGTACAGTGGCACAATCACAGCTCACTGCTGTCTCAGCCTTCCGGGCTCAAGCGATCCTCCTGCCTCAGCCTCCTGAGTGGCTGGGACCACAGGCGTACACCACCACACCTGGCTAATATTTTAAAAAAATGTTTAGTAGAGATGAGATCTCGCTATGTTGCCCAGGCTGATCTCAAACTCCTGAGCTCAAGTGATCCACCTGCCTTGGCCTCCCAAAGTGCTGGGATTACAGGTGTGAGCCACCGTGTTTGGTTTTAATTTGAACTCTTAGGTGGAAACAGTTTCCACCTTGTTCCTTTGAGTGACAGCAGCCCTGATCTTCTAGTGCAGGGGTCTCCAGCCTTGGGCCACCATACTGGTGAGAGAAGTGAGAGAAGCTTCATCTGTATTTACAGCCACTCCCCATGGCTCACATTACTGCCTGGCCTCTGCCTCCTTGACTGGAGTGAAGGAGTGACATGGGAATGTGAACCCTATTTGTGAACCGCACATGTGAGGGATCTAGGTTGCATGCTCCTTACAAGAATCTAATGCCTGATGACCTGTCACTGTCTCCCATCACCCCCAGATGGGACCATCTAGTTGCAGGAAAACAAGCTCAGGGCTCCCACTAATTCTACATTATAGTTAGTTGTGTAATTATTTCATTATATGTTACAATGTAATAATAACAGAAATAAAGTGCACAATAAATGTAATGCACTCGAATCATCCCCAAACCATCCCCCCAACCCCCATCTTTGGAAAAATTGTCTTACACAAAACTGGTCCCCATGTTCGGCACAGTGGCTCATGCCTGTAATTCCGGCACTTTGGGAGGCCGAGGCAGATGGATCACCTGAGACTAGGAGTTCAAGACCAGCCTAGGCAACGTTGTGAAA